>NC_000014.9:34460197-34763228 GCF_000001405.40 Homo sapiens
TAGTAATTCAAGACTGGCTTATGTCAAACAATTGCATTTCTAACCTGAGTTAATTCAATAACGTGAAATTTGAAATAAGATTTTTTTATCTTAAGTTTAAAATCATAAGGTTCTATAATATTGGATGTCAGTTGGTTGCAGTTCTCACCTATTTGAAAAAAAAATTGAAACTACTTGTCGCTAAACCATGGTAACTCAAAAACATTAAAGGCAAATATCTACTAAGGCACTATATTTCATTTCATAATTTATTTCTCCATCCCCCAAAAAAGGCATCACCTAGTTATTTATAGGACACTATCACTATTGCAACATAACAGAAAAATCTTAACATCATTGATAACTGTAGCATTTTAGTGTGTAAAATCTATATTAGATTTTAGGTGTCAAATCTATACTAGATTCTAATAGTGCACTCTACATTCAACCTCTGATTTAAAGAGTTTCATTTTAACCCAGCATTGTTTAAATTAATTTTAGGATGTGTTATGTCAGTCAAGATATACTTGCTTCTACTGAGAGACTTCTATTAAATATGCATTCAAGTATATATTTTACAAGGCATGACCTTGCGAGCCCTAAAGAGTGAGACTAAACTGCAGCTACAAATAAATGGTGCAGGAAATCAAAGCAAACTATATTCAGAGTCTAAATCCAAAATATGCATTCTGGTTCTTAAATTCCAGGTTTGGAAAGAAATGCCAACAGTAATAAATAAATAAACTGCTTTGAAAGCATCTCAAATTCCTCAAAAGTGCTTAAACAAAAGACTCAGCTTTGAGTACAACCTTAAGCTATCTCAAAACAAATAAACACACTTGATAAGGCTTAGAATGAAATTACCTCAGTCACTCACTGGAATGCAACAATGCATTCGCAAAGTTATTCTGAAGTAAGCTACTCCAACTAAACCACACTGAAAAGGAGAGAACGTGGATAAACTAAACATGTTTTGTGAAATACCTGTTTTGTATTGGCCTGAGTTTTTTAAAAGTTACATCTCATTCATTATCAGTATTTAATCTGCAAGAATATCATCAAAGGATGTCAATATGGACAAGCAGAGACAAGAAACATCAGACTTTCAGGGAGCCTATCTTCACAACCCTGAGTTATTAACTGAAGTTCTCAAAGTTAGATGAGTTAAGATACAGACAACGTGCTTTGCACAAATGCTTTGCTTATAGTAACCACTCAATAGTCATTAACAAGAATTTATTAACTATCCACCAAAACACAGTTTCAAACCCTACCGACAACTAACCACAAATTGCACCACTTTTCGGGCCGACTTCTACGGACGGTGCACAGAAGCAATAAATACACTTTTAAAACTCCCCAACTTGAAGACCAAAAAGATACAATAACTTAAACTGCTTTCAAAAACTACTGGAGTGTCATGCCTACAAATTCAGAACCTGGCTTAAAAGCTAGTTAACTGACTAGAATTCTTGGTAGACCCAAAGCCAACTAAATCAGGAACACTTAAAGGTCAAAGGCGTCCAAGCCGGGAGCGATGTGCTCCACTGTTACATGATCCCCGCCTCCTACAGGAACAGGGGACTGAACCAAAGGCAGTTGCGGCCGAAGTGCAGGCGACACACAGGGTTACACATCACCTTCGGAGATTTCCTCCAGGAATCAAGACGCTTCCCCCTTGGGTCCAGCGACTCACAGGTGACCCCGGATCTCAAGAGTTCTCGTCTCCCCCACCCCCCACTTAACCCCGCGAGCGCCGCCCTCGGCCCCCAGACCTCCCCCTGCACCCCCGGCTTCCGCGCACAGGACCGGCGGGGCCGCCGCTCCAGCCTCCACCCCAGGCCCGGGGCCTGGGGAAATGCGGCCCCGCGGCCCGCGCCCCCAGCCCGGCCCCCGCGCGCGCGGCCGGGACAGGATACTGAACACCGTCCGCTCCCAGGGCTCCAGCATGTAGAGCGCCGTGACCAGCAGGTACTGGTAGTAGAACCAGGACATCTGCTTCCAGGCCCGCGCCAGCGCCATCCCCGCCATGCGCCTCCCGCGATGCAGCTCACACGTCAGTCTGTCCGGCCGGCCGCCCGCTCACGTCCTAAAGCCCCCGGCCGCCAGGCCCGCCCGCCCGCCACCCAGCGCCCATTGGCCCGCCCGGCCCCGCCGTCACCCGCGGCACGCCCAGACCCGCGCGCGCCCCGGCCGCCGGCCCCCAGCCCCGCCCGACCCGCGCTCATTGGCCAGGCCGCTACCTCGCGTCGCGTCGTCCCCTCCCGTTTCCCCGCCCGGGCATCGCCCACGCTAGCCGGAGAACGGTCCCCGCGAGAGCGCCCAGCCGCGCCCCACCCCGCCCGGGCCGGCCGGTGGTGGGCGGGGCGTCAGTGCCGGCCGGGGTCCCGGGGCCCCCGCAGCCCAGCGGGCGCTCGGTCCGTCCAGACTGGCCCAGAGCGCTTGCGGAAGAAATATTTCTGGAACACTTGTTATGCCTCAGGCATCCTTCTGAGAAGGAGGATTGCCAGGGAGAACCGGAATGCCTTCGGTTCCTTACCTTGTGCAGCTGGCGGCCTAGCTGGGAGACAAGCATTAATCAAGTCGTGATCCGTGTAAGAGGAGATAAGGGGCTGAGAGAGGGTGAGGAGGCGAACGCCACCTAATAAGGAGGTCTGGAAAGGCGTCCTTGTAGAAGGGATGCACATTCGGCCTCCTTCCTCCCTTCCCCCACCCATGCACACACACACACACACACACACACACACACACACACACACACACACCCCTAGACGGACATAACCCATGCACTCCCTAACCCAGAGACCACTTACCAAAAACATCTATCTGCCCACCTCTTAGTGGCTGTAGGTAACCACCAAGTGGGTCAAGGCCAGAAGCGCGCTGATCTAGTGGGTTCTGCAGAAGACAGGCAGCTTGAGATTGGTGTGAGGGCTGGTGATACTTCCCTAGAGATGCACTCCTGGATGCCCAGATTTTCCCACTGCCAGATGGGCCAGCAACATTGCACTGGCCACAAGGAGCTCCATGCACTGGTGTAGCATGTGAACTGCCACAATTAAATGGCCTGCTGTTTAAATGTTAAAAGTCTTCCAGGTTAAACATACTACTGCTTAAACTTTAAAAGTTTCATGGTTAATAACTATTCATTAAAAGTACCAAGTGCCGGCCAAGCGCCGTAGCTCATGCCTGTAATCCAAGCACTTTGGGAGGCTGAGGCTGGCGGATCACTTGAGTCCAGAAGGTCGAGACCAGCCTGAGCAACATGGTGAAACCCCGTCTCTACCAAAAAAAATAAGTAAATACATAACAAAAAGTTAGCCAGGGGTGGTGGCGTGCACCTGTAGTCCCAGCTACTCAGGAGGTTGAGGCGGGAGGATTGCTCGAGCACGGGAGGTCGAGGTTGCAGTGAGCCAGGATGGTGCCACTGCACTCCATCTTAGGTGGCAGAGCAAAAGAAAGGAAAGAAAGGAGACAGAGAAAGAGAGGAGAAAACAGAAGAGAAGAGAAGAAAAGAAAGAAAACAGTAAGTAATATCAAGTGCCAGACATTGGGATAGCAAGCCAGATAGACTGAGACCTGCCTTCATAAAGTACCCAGTCTGCTGGGGAAGAGAGGCAAGTTAATGGATTACAGTGAGGTGTGGTAAATGATATTTTTGTGGATCGTATCCTTTAGGATACCAAGATAGCCCAGACAAAATCAGATTGGGCTTGTGAAAGTCTTCTGAGAAATGGTGCTTGAACTGAGTGTTGAAGGACAAGCAGAAATGGAAGAATGAATGAGCTTGGGGAAGAGAGGGTGAGACAGACATTCTAAGGATGAAGTTGTGATGTTTTTAGAAGACTGGAAGAACTTCCATGTGGCTGGAGCAAAAAGAATGTATATGCAGTAGCAAGAGATGGGCCTAGACAGCAAACAGGGACCATATTCTGAAGGACCTTGTTTGAGAAGCTAAGAAATTTTTAACTTGATGTCCAAAAGTTACTGGAGCCAACAACTTAAATAAGATTTTCTTTCAGGGCTGGGTGTGGTGGCTCACACCTATAATCCCAGCACTTTGGGAGTCCAAGGCGGGTGGATCACATGAGGTCAGGAGTTCCAGACCAGCCTGGCCAACATGGTGAAACCCCGTCTCTACTAAAAATATAAAAAATTAGCCGGGCGTGATGGTGGGTGCCTGTAATCCCAACTATTTGGGAGGCTGAGGCAGGAGAATCGCTTGAACCCGGGAGGCGGAGGTCGTAGTGAGCTGAGATCACACCATTGCACTCCAGCCTGGGCAACAAGAGCAAGACTCCGTTTAAAAAAAAAAAATGCTTTCGGAACAAGACTTGGGTGTGGGTAGTAGCCTGGAGGCTACCGAGGGAAAAAACAGGTTGGGAAGACATTACAAAGGTAGAACCCACAAATACTTGAAACCTCCTTACCCCTCAGAGATGCAGGTACACGTGCCCTCCTACTTTCAAACTTAACTGTTTTGGACTTCTTTCTGTCCCTGTTCCTGTTCAGGCACAGGCAAGCTCATTCCTTTTTCCTCGAGAACTCCAACTACCCTCAGCATCTGGTGATGCTACATAAAATTCATCCAAGATTGGAAGCATCACCCGTAGCCACCCTTCCTTTACTGGGTCCACTCCCTAGCACCATGTCTGCCAGGTGGTTGTCCTCACTGTTAGTAGCTCCCAATCCACTGCGTGTCTCTCGGAGACCAGCTCTACCACCTCATCTCACTAAAGTTGGTGACTGACTAGAAATGAGGAAAAGAGGCTGAGATCCTGGATGATGACAATACAAAGAAACCGAAGGAAGACGTTTGGCTGAAAAGATATTGATTTTGTTAGGATGAAGCTATGTCTGAGGTACCTGAGGGACACTTAAATGGAGGTGTCCAGGGGACAATTGAGCACATGGTTTGGAACTCAGAAGTGAAGCCTGAATGGAACTAGAGGCATATGAATTTTCAATATGTCCCTGGTCATTGAAGCCAGAAGAGCAGATGAGGTCACCCAAGGAAAGCACATAGAATGGGAAGAGCAGGGTACAGAATAAACCCAGAGATTCTGGCATTTGGCCAATGAGAGTCCAAAGGAAGCCAATACAGGGAAGGAGCTACCTGAGATTTGACAGCAATGAGGAGAGACATACAGGAGAAGCTAATGGAGGAAGGGATAGCCAGCAGAACAAATGGCTCAGGGAGGATAAGCAAAATAAGGAAGGGAAGCGCCAATTTGTTTTGTCCACATGGGGCTAGATTGATGACTCAGCATTTCATTGTGGAATGATGATAGGACAGAAGCCGGATTATAGAAGGCTGAGGAGAGAACAGGAAGTAAAACAATGAGGACAGTTAATTCAGGCTTAGTTTTGCAGGAAGCTTGCCTGTGAAGGGAAGGAGATAGAATGGTGGCAAGGGTTTCAGTTTGGTTTCATTTTCAGATGGGAAAGGAGTAAGCAAGTTTATGGGCTTAGAGTAAAGATATGGATAAAGATGGTGGGCTGGGGGACCAGATCCAAAGCCTTAATAAACAGGAACTGGTAGCTCTTTCCCCAAGAGGAGGAGGATGGAAAGATGGGAGCCAGATGGACATAAACACAGACAAGTAAGTTAAGGAACTCCCTACCTTACAACATCAGTTTTCTTAGTGAAAAAATAAAGGCCTCTTGTTGAGAGTGAGCAAGATGTTGAAGAGTGGAGGGTATGAAAAAGAAAAAGGGAGATGGGAGAAGTTTCCTAAAGCTGCCTAAGGATTGTCAGGCAGAAAAACCATACAGTTTTTACCAACAATACACAAGTACCGAGTATATATAGAACTAGAGAAGTTGAATTAGGAGACTTCCTCCAAGGCAGGGTTTGCTGGATGGATACAATGGAGAAACAAGCAAGAAGGTTGATGGAGAGAGAATAATTGAAATAATGACTAGGAGAATTAGGTCACGGAGGGAAGTAAATGATGAAAAGATAAAATGGAGTAGTCCAGAGCTGTGTGAGGTTGGAAACTGTAGGAGTAGGTGCATGGGAAAGAGTCTATGTTGGAGGAGGAGGGCCACGGCTGTGCTTCTGAAGCTTAGGAGTACAGAAATAGGCCAGTCTTAGACAATGACCAGGCACAGGTTGTGACCATGGGATAGGCAGCTAAAGTGGAGTGGAGGGGATAGTAAAGACCACAGGAAAGATAAAGTTGTCCAGGATGATGGCAGAACTAAGTGTCGAGAGGAAAAGTCTGTAAAGCAAATGTCAAAGTCTTCAGTGAGCATAGAGGAAAACTCAGGAGACAGGTGGATGAAGGGGGCAAAGCCCAGTGGCACATGGTTTTGGTTAGGAGGCAGTACTGGAGAGCAAGAAGAAAGCCAATCCCGCCCCACCCCCAGTCCCACCCCCAGCTCTCTGGTAGGAGGACTTAGGTCATATCCTCAGGGGAAAAGAAAGAGGTAGAGTGTTCCCAAAGAGGGTGACAGTAGAGGAGTCTTTGTTTATACAGGAAAGTGAAGTCGGGGGCAAGAGAGAGAGGGTTGGCAAGAAGGGTTCTGTTGCAGGGATGTGCCTGGAAGATGGAAATACCAGGGCAGAATGGGAAGGCAGAACATTGGTACCTTAGCAACATAGTGCTGATGGCAAAGTGGGCCAGGCTGACCTCAACATCTGACTTACAGCAGCATCAGGACAGACACCAGCAGGCCCCAAGTGGTTTCCAGGACTATGGGGCAACCACTGATTGCTGTCTAATCAGCAAACCAGGACCTTGACTCACTTTCAGTCTTTCAAATACATGTTAGTAAGAAGTCATTTTGTGCGTTAGCAAAGCTCAGCCCTGAGGTAGCAGGTGAGGCAGGTGATGGAAGCAACAAATAGCCCATGAACACTGCCCAACCTCAGGCGCTCTGCCCAGAGAGGAGAAGGGGCATAGGAAAGCATGTCAGCCCAGGGCTTCCAACCTGTTCAAAGCAGAGCCCTGGGTCAAAGCTACTGGCATAATTAGGTCTGAGTTGGGTATGCAAAAAATAAAATAAAAAAATAGAATGCCAACTGCAACAACTTAAACACACACACACACACACACACACACACACACACACACACACAGAGCCACATAGTTGTATTCATAAATAAGGTCAGTGCCTAGCTGAAATCTAATAAATAGACCTTAATTCGACCAGCATTTATTAAGGATCTAGTTACTATATATTTTCAGAATTGTGTGAAAATGCACAGTTTTTAGTTGGGTATGGACAATAAATATTTGAGACGGGCATGGTGGCTCAAGCCTATAATCCCAGCACTTTGGGAGGCTGAGGCAGGCAGATCACTGGAGGTCAGGAGTTTGAGACCAGCCTGGCCAACATGGCGAAACCCCATCTCTATTAATAATACAAAAATTAGCTAGGAATGGTGGCATGTACCTGTAGTCCCAGCTACTGTGGAGGCTGAGGCACAAGAATCGCTTGAACCTGGGAGGCAGAGGTTGCAGTAAGCCAAGATCGGGCCACTGCACTCCAACCTGGGCAACAAAGTGAAACTGTCTAAAAAAAAAAAAAAGATATTTGTATTTTTGAATTTTTGTATGCTCTTTATACTACAAGAAACATTTGCTAAATATCTAGCATTTTTTTCCAGGACAGTTTCACAGCCTCTCTTCTTAAACTGCCCAATTCTATCCAATTCTCTCTTACTCTGCACTCAGTGGGCAGCCTCCCTCCTGCTCTGCCTCTCTTGTGCTCTCCCAATGCTCTGAGATCCTCCAAACATCCTTTACAAGCCCTCCCCTTCCTCACAACCATCACCACCCTACACTTACCACCGCACATTTTCTCCCAGCCTCATGAGAGTTATCTCTAATCTGTAAAGCTATGCCCTCCTCTTGGACTTTGTCACTTTCTGTCACAGATCAAGAGTCTCCTCTCTCTCCTCTTCCACTTTCCTGCACCTAATCTTTCTGCCCTTTTTGAACTAATTCTCCCCACTTCGCTGGTCCAAATCCTTTTTTGGAATGAGAGTTACAAAATTACATTAAGCTATCTTTTCTTTGGCTGTGAAGTACCTGCAGTTGTGGTGATACCTATAGCCACCATTCCTCTCGTTGGGTACCTTAAGACCTAGTCCAACCACCCCTCCAAAACATACAAAATCTGGGTTCTCTCTCTACCCCCTACTAAAACAATTTCCTCAAGTTTACCAAAACTTCCTTCAAGCCAAATTCAATGAAGTTTAATCATCTTCTTACTCAACCTCTCTGCAGCATTTCACACTACTGAACATTTCTTTTTTTTTCTTTTTTTTTTTTTTTTGAGACGGAGTCTCACTCTGTCACCCGGGCTGGAGTACAATGGCGTGATCTCGGCTCACTGCAACCTCCGCCTCCTGGGTTCAAGCGATTCTCCTACCTCAGCCTCCCTAGCAGTTAGGATTACAGGCACGCACCACCACACCTGGCTAATTTTATATTTTTAGTAGAGACAGGGTTTCACTGTGTTAGCCAGGCTGGTCTCGAACTCCCGACCTCAGGTGATCTGCCCACCTTGGCCTCCCAAAGTGCTGGGATTACAGGCATGAGCCACCGCGCCCGGCCGCTGCTGAACATTTCTACCGTCTAAAAACTCCCCACAGTCTTGGTTTCTACCACAGTGCACTATCCAAACTTCTCCGGGAGTTCTCACTGCTCCTTGGATTCCTTTGAAAAAACCTATTTTCTTCTGCATTCCTAAAGATCTGTTGGCTCCTCTGCCTCTCCCCATTCATGCCTGCTTCCTCAGGTGGCTCAGCCCTCCCTTTGGATCCCAAATAGCACTTCAGGTCTTTATTCTACCTGCTGGCAGGATGTATTTAAATATAATTAAAATGATAACGATTATCACTAACACATTACAATCATCTGGTCCTTCCTAGTTTACAGAGTGCTTTCATTATCTCATTTCATCAGAGCAAGTACGGCTCCTATTTAATAATGGACACTGAAGTTCAAGGACACAAACTAATCTTGCACCACAAACTAACTTTTCTTTCCACCTTTCTCATTCCTGTTTATGACAGAAAGAACCTTGATTTTCAGGCCAGAAATGGCATACCAGTTTTACATCCCTTTTCCTCCCCCCACCCCTTGTTTCTGTCCCTGGGTGACAACGAGTCATTCCTCCAAGTGTCTCAGGTCTGCCTCCTTTGTTAGGATATGTCCCCATACAACCTCACTCTCAAGTGCGTGAGCTGACTATTGTCGCCCAAACGTGGCTTACCTGCTGCCGCTGGCTATCCCTGTTTATTAACCGTGGATCATCTCGTACTTTCAGATCCAAGAAAATTTCTATACTAAAAGTATTTCCAACCTATGAGAAAAAAAATGACAGGTTTTCAGAAAACTATTTCATGTTGTCTGTATCCTGAAAGTTTTCACTTGTCTTTTCAGTTCCAATTACCTGGTAGTTCCACCAACCCCTTCACTTACTGCCCACTGCCTTGTGCCCACAATACAGTGGCTGAGCCAGTGCCAAGTTACAGAAAGACCAGTGTCACATGACCTCTGCTCTCAGAGAGTCTATGGTCTAAAAAGAAATACGTTCATATGGCCTATGGAAACGATGATGTAATTAAGTTTAAGACTGTACTGGCCAGACGGTGGCTCACGCCTGTAATCCCAGCACTTTGGGAGGCTGAGGCAGGCAGATCACCTGAGGTCAGGAGTTTGAGACCAGCCTGGCCAACATGGTGTAAACCCCATCTCTACTAAAAATACAAAAATTAGGCTGGGCGCGGTGGCTCATGCCTGTAATCCCAGCACTTTGGGAGGCCGAGGTGGGCAGATCACCTGAGGTCGGGAGTTTGAGACCAGCCTGACCAACATGAAGAAACCCTGTCTCTACTAAAAAAAAATATATATACAAAATTAGCCGGGCGTCATGGCGCAAACCTGTAATCCCAGCTACTCAGCAGTCTGAGGCAGGAGAATCGCTTGAACCTGGGAGGCAAAGGTTGCAGTGAGCCAAGACTGTGCCATTGCACTCCAGCCTGGGCAACAAGAGCGAAACTCCTTCTCTAAATAAATAAATAAAAATACAAAAATTAGCCAGGCATGGTGGCAAGTGCCTGTAATCCTAGCTACTTGAGAGGCTGAGGCAGGAGAATCGCTTGAACCCGGGAGGTGGAGGTTGCAGTGAGTAGAGATTGTGCCATTGCACTCCATCCTGGGCATCAAGAGTGAAACTCCATCTCAAAAAAAAAAAAAAAAAAAAAAAAAAAAACTGTGTAAAGGGCCTACCTTTGCCAGGGGCTGTGGGAGTGATAGGGCAGGTAGCACAGAGCCAGCCCTTGAGGAGTTCATGGCCCTGTGTAGGAGACATGTGCACACAGGAAGACCACAAAATATGGGATTCCCCCTGCCTGCTAGGTTTTCATGATATTCCTAGACTGACAGCCACAGTAACCTCTGGGTTCTAGACCTGAGTCCCTCCTGCTGGGACACAGCTGAGCTATTCCAGGAGCACTGAGGGAACTGTTTGTGGGGGAATGAGAAAGAAAAGGAGGAGATGAAAAGCCAGAGGGTTCCAGGGCCAGCAGATGGAAAAGCAGGGGTGACATTTGGTTCCCAGGGCAGAAAAAGTGCTGATCTGGTCGCTCGATATAGGGAGGAAAAAGATCAAGCAAGGCTAGTAAATTCGAGTATAAACGAAAGAAAACCCTCAAGATATATTACACAATGTCTCAAAACACAGTAAAAGGTTGCTAAAACTTTTATGCATTTTTTATTATAGCAAATACTGAAAGGCACAAATGAAAATAAACAGAACTACTATCAACATTTCATCTATATGTATTTTATTCAAATAGGCTCTCATTGTGGAATAAGAAGAGTTTAGCAAATGCATGTGCCTCAAAATGGAACAGAATCATCCAGGCTTGGTCTCATGCCTATAATCCCAGCATTTTGGAAGGCCGAGGCAGGTGGATCACTTGAGCTCAGGAGTCCGAGACCAGCCTGGCCAACATGGTGAAACCCCGTCTCTACTAAAAATACAAAAATTAGTGGTGGCGTGCACCTGTAGTCCTAGCTACTAGGGAGACTGAGGCAAGAGGATCCCTTGAACCCAGGAGGTGGAGTCTGCAGTGAGCCAAGATCGTGCCACTGCACTCCAGCCTGGGCAACAGAGCAAGACTCCATCTCAAAAAAAAGGCGGGCACGGTGGCTCACGCCTATAATCCCAGCACTTTGGGACACCGAGGTGGGCAAATCACAAGGTCAGGAGTTCAAGACCAGCCTGGCCAACATGATGAAACCCCGCTTCTACTAAAAATACAGAAAATTAGCTGGGCATAGTGGTGGGCGCCTGTAATCCCAGCTACTTGGGAGGCTGAGGCAGGAGAATCGCTTGAACCCGGGAGGCGGAGGTTGCAGTGAGCCAAGATCACACCACTGCACTCCAGCCCAGGCAACAGTGTGAGACTCCGTCTCAAAAAAAAAAAAAAAAAAAAGGTATAGAAGTGGGGCGCGGGTGGGCACAGTGGCTCACACCTGTAATCCCAGCACTTTGGGAGGCCGACATGGGCAGATCACTTGAGGTCAGGAGTTCGAAACTAGCCTGACCAACATGGTGAAACCCCATGTCTACTAAAAATACAAAAATCAGTTGGGTGTGGTGTGGGCGCCTGTAATGCCAGCTACTTGGGAGGCTAAAGCAGGAGAATTGCATGAACCCAGGAGGTGGTGGTTACAGTGAGCCGAGATGGCGCCACTGCACTCCAGCCTGGGCGACAGAGCAAGACTCCATCTTGAAAAAAAAAAAAGGCAGCGAGGTGGCGGGGGGCAGAATCAAATTTGGAGTTTCAGCAATTTTCTGTGTAAACACATTGAACTATGGCTAAATATGGTAATTTCATTCAAGATAAAGGAGTTCCAAGAAGGTTTATCTAACCACCATACATACAGTAGTGAACCACTTAGCTACTGTATGCCAGGCCCCAAGGCCTGGTTTCTTTTTCTTTTTTTTTTTTTTTTGAGACGGAGTCTCACTCTGTTGCCCAGGCTTGAATGCAGTGGCGCGATCTTGGCTCACTGCAACCTCCGCCGCCCGGGTTCCAGTGATTCTCCTGCCTCAGCCTCATGAGTAGCTGGGACTACAGGCGCGTGCCACCACGCCCAGCTGAGGCCGCACCCGGCCTCCAAGGCCTGATGTCTAATACTCTTGTTTGACACTACCCTACTCACTAGTCACTTCTGAGAAACCAAGGAGCAATCGAGGATGTCCTGGTAGACGAGGAACCCTGATGTCAGCTGACAGTCTAGATGCCAGTACTTTAGGTGATTTTCTAGATGAGCAGCTGGCAGTGAAGGCTTTTATCCCACCACACAGGGGCTTTACTGTCAGCACCATCAGTCCCTACTCTGACCTCAACTCTTCAGGAAAATGAAAACTTGATTTTCCTTGCAAAATGCATTATCTACAGACCTGTGGAAGGAGAAGGGTGGCAGGATCTTGTCCTCTTCCCACCAGAAATAAATGCAAAGAGTTCATTCAAATACCCAGATAAATGAAAGAGGAGGCTGAGAGAGGGAGGTCCAGACTGCGAAAGCCGATGAGAATGGAGGAGACCAAGGAGTCGAGGCTCGAGAAGTCAGAGGCTGAGGATACAAGGAGACAAAGAGGCTGAGACTCCAAGGATGCAAAAAAGGTGTGGAGGCTGGGGAGTCAGAGAAAGCTGAGGAAGCTGAAGAAGTTGGAGAAGCTAGTAGTTGAAGAAGAGGCTGAGGAGGCTGAGGCACTGAGGCTGCCGTGAGAAGGGGAAGGCTGGAGGTGCAATGTTTGGCTGGAAGGGTGGGGCTCTGCTGTTTGGAGGAAGGGATGTCCAAGAGCAAGAGCCAAGTGTGCCCTGTCAGATGCCATCAGTCTTGAACCAGCCTGTCTCTTTAGCAAATGAATGTAAACTAGAGGCTCTATTTAAACAAGTTTCACATAACATCTCCTACTTCTCCTGACTCGTTCTAATTTCCATATCCAAATACAGTAGTGATTTCATGGTTAGCCTCCTTTATGTTGCAAATAAATATCAATCCATGCCCATTGTGTCATTCTTTGTATCCTTTATAATAACTTCTGGGGATACAGATAGAATAGAATATAAAATAATTTGCCGTGGAAACTTGATGTGAAAAGCAAATCATTTTGACAGGTGACCAGCAATTTTAGGGTGCTTACCTAAAGTCTAGAATTCATATGTAGGTGATCTGGCTATTTTATAGAGAGATGATTCAATTAGCAGTCCACTATGAGGCAGAATTCTATAAAATAATAATTTGTTAAAGTAAAATAACTTCTATAACTCTGAAAATTATATCAAATAGTTTTTAGACTGTGCTATTTGAGCTGAACATAACTGAATCAATTTAAGGTCCTGAAAGAGTTCGAACAAATTTAAAGTGGAGGTGGTTTCCAACTATTTGCTTAAATTACACATCTGGTCATTAAAGCAAATTAGTGTTTTGTGTCATTGACGCTAGAATGCTGAGCTTCCTACTGCTTAACTTCAGTCCCATCTGGAATGTGTATTAACATAGGCCAGGGACTTAGGAGCAGATGTCCCATATCATTCTATATCACATTATATATTATCTAATTATAAGTTTAGAAATTATATGTACAATAAAAGCTGGATTATCCGACATTGCCCTAACTCATGTTTTTTGTTTTTTGTTTTTTGTTTTGAGACGGAGTCTTGCTCTCCTCGCCCAGGCTGGAGCGCATTATCTTGGCTCCCAGTTTCAGGCGATTCTGCCTCAGCCTCCTGAGTAGCTGGGATTATAGGTGCCAGCCACCACACCCGGCTGTGTTTTGTATTTTTAGTAGAGACAGGGTTTGGCCATGTTGGCCAGGCTGGTCTCGAACTCCTGATCTTGTGATCTGTCCACCTCGGCCTCCCAAAGTGCTGAGATTACAGGCATGAGCCACCATGCCCAGCCCTAACTCATTATAATTTTATGAATTATGTGTACAATAAAGTTGGATTATCTGTCATTGATCTAATGAGTTCTAGGAATTAGAATCTCTGATACCCTCCCAAAATAAATCTTCATGCTAGTTGGCTCCTGATATGGCTTGGCTGTGTCTCCACCCAAATGTCACCTTGAATTATAATAATCTCCATGTGTCAAGGGTAGGGCCCAGTGGGAGATGATAATTGAATCATGGGGGCAGTTTTTTCCATACTGTTCTCCTAGTAGTGAATAAGTCTCATGAGACCAGGTGATTTTATAAAGGGTTTCCCCTTTCGCTTGGTTCTCATTCTCTCTTGCCTGCTGACATGTAAGACGTGACTTTGCTCTTCATTCACCTTCAGCCATGATTGTGAGACCTCCCCAGTCATGTGGAAATGTGAGTCAATTAAACCTCTTTCCTTTATAAATTACCTAGTCTCAGGTATGTCTTTATTAGCAGTGTGAGAACAGACTAATACAGCTACTAATGCTGAAATTCAACAAATGTCAACACATTTTGAAGATGTCAGAGTTGTTTCAAAGTCTTTAGATAAGCCGAGTAAGCCAGGGGAAAAAACCTTTCTCCTAAAATTCAAACAATAAGAAAAGCTTCAGAGATTCATTAGAAATTCCTCTTTTAGGCTGTGCATGATGGTTTATACCCATAATTCCAGTGCTTCAGGAAAATTGCTCAAGGCCAGGAGTTCAAAACAAGCCTGGGCAACATAGCAAGACCCCTATCCCTACAAAAACTAAAAAAAAAATAAAAAAAAAAAAAATTGCCAGGCATGGTGGCACACATCTGTAGTCCTAGCTACTGGGAGGTTGAGGCAGGAGGATCACTTGAGCTCAGGAGTTCAAGGCTGCAGTGAGCTATGATCACACTACTACATTCCATCCTGGGTAACAGAGTGAGACCCTGTCTCCAAAAAAACAGAAAACTAAAATCAAACTGAAATAATTGAAAAATATATTAAATGTGATTACACAACATAGGAAACTGAAGAAAATTACAGAAAAGGGAAATCAACTGCGGAATATTCATTAAAATAATCTGGCTTCCACATAGACCAATGGAACTGAAAAGAGAACCCAGAAATAACACCAATTATGTAAAGCCAACTGATCTTCAACAAAGCATACAAAAACATAAACTGGGGAATGGATACCCTGTTTAATAAATGGTGCTGGGAAAACTGGCAAGCCAACATGTAGATGAAACTGTACCCCCTGCCTCTCACCTTATATAAAAATCAACTCAAGCTCTCCCTCTCCCTCTCCCTCTCCCTCTCGCCCTCCCCCTCCCCCCCCCCCCCCCCCCCCGCCCCATGGTCTCCCTCTCCCTCTCCCTCTCTCTCCACGGTCTCCCTCTGATGCCGAGCAGAGGCTGGACTGTAGTGCTGCCATCTCGGCTCACTGCAACCTCCCTGCCTCATTCTCCTGCCTCAGCCTGCCGAGTGCCTGGGATTGCAGGCGCACGCCGCCACGCCTGACTGGTTTCGTATTTTTTTGGTGGAGACAGGGTTTCGCCGTGTTGGCCGGGCTGGTCTCCAGCTCCTAACCGCGAGTGATCTGCCAGCCTCGGCCTCCCGAGGTGCCGGGATTGCAGACAGAGTCTCGCTCACTCAGTGCTCAATGTTGCCCAGGCTGGAGTGCAGTGGTGTGATCTCGGCTCACTACAACCTCCACCTCCCAGCCGCCTGCCTTGGCCTCCCAAAGCGCCGAGATTGCAGCCTCTGCCCGGCTGCCACCCCGTCTGGGAAGCGAGGAGCGTCTCTGCCTGGCCGCCCATTGTCTGGGATGTGAGGAGCCCATCTGCCCGGCTGCCCAGTCTGGGAAGTGAGGAGCGCCTCTTCCCGGCCGCCATCCCGTCTAGGAAGGGAGGAGCGTCTCTGCCCAGCCGCCCATCGTCTGGGACTTGGGGAGCGCCTCTGCCCCGCCGCCCCGTCTGGGATGTGAGGAGCGCCTCTGCCCGGCCGCGACCCCGTCTGGGAACTGAGGAGTTTCTCTGCCCGACCGCCACCCCGTCTGGGAGGTGAGGAGCGTCTCTGCCCGGCCGCCCCGTCTGAGAAGTGAGGAGCCCCTCCGCCCAGCAGCCGCCCCGTTTGGGAAGTGAGGAGCATCTCCGCCGGGCAGCCGCCCCCTCCAGGAGGTGGGGGACAGCCCCCTTTGGCCAGCCGCCCCGTCCGGGAGGGAGGTGGGGGGCAGCCCCCACCCGGCAGCCGCCCCGTCTGGGAAGTGAGGGGCCCCTCTGCCCGGCAGCCACCCCGTCTGGGAGGTGTACCCAGCAGCTCATTGAGAATGGGCCATGATGATGATGGCGGTTTTGTCGAGTGGAAGTGGGGGAAGTGTGGGGAAAGGAAAGAGAAATCAGATTGTTGCTGTGTCTGTGTAGAAAGAAGTAGACATGGGAGACTCCATTTTGTTCTGTACTAAGAAAAATTCTTCTGCCTTGGGATGCTGTTAATCTATGGCCTCACCCCCAACCCCTTGCTCTCTGAAACATGTGCTGTGTCCACTCAGGGTTAAATGGATTAAGGGTGGTGCAAGATGTGCTTTGTTAAACAGATGCTTGAAGGCAGCATGCTCGTTAAGAGTCATCACCACTCCCTAATCTCAAGTACCCAGGGACACAAACACTGCGGAAGGCCGCAGGGTCCTCTGCCTAGGAAAACCAGAGACCCTTGTTCACATGTTTATCTGCTGATCTTCCCTCCACTATTGTCCTATGACCCTGCCAAATCCCCATCTCTGAGAAACACCCAAGAATGATCAATAAATACGAGAAAAAAAAAATCAACTCAAGATGGATCAAAGACTTGAATCTAAGACCTGAAACCATAAAAATTCTAGAAGACAACATTGGAAAAATTCTTGTAGACACTGGCCTAGGCAAAGAATTCATGACTGAGACCCCAAAAGCAAAGGCAATGAAAACAAAAATAAGTAAATGAGACCTAATTAAACTAAAAAGCTTCTGCACAGCAAAAGAAATAAGGACAGGAAAAAGACAACCCACAGAATGGGAGAAAATATTTGCAAACTATGCATAGAACAAATGACTAGTATTCAGAATCTACAAGGAACGCAAACAAACCAGCAAGAAAAAAACAATCCCATCAAAAAGTGGGCAAAGAATATGAATAGATATTTCTGAAAAGAAGATATACAAATGGCCAACAAACATAAGGAAAAAATGCTCAGCATCACTACTTATTAGGGAAATGCAAATTAAAACCACAGTGAGGGCTGGGCGCGGTGGCTCACGCCTGTAGTCCCAGCACTTTGGGAGGCCGAGGCAGGCGGATCAAAAGGTCAGGAGATCGAGACCATCCTGGCTAACATGGTGAAACCCTGTCTCTACTAAAAAAATACAAAAAATTAGCCGGGTGTGGTGGCAGGTGCCTGTAGTCCCAGCTACTCGGGAGGCTGAGGCAGGAGAATGACATGAACCCGAGAGGGAGAGCTTGCAATGAGCCGAGATCGCAACACTGCACTCCAGGCTGGGCGACAGAGTGAGACTCTGTCTCAAAAAAAAAAAAAAAACACACACACACACACACAGTGAGATACCACCTTACTCCTGCAAAAATGGCCATTTTTTATTTATTTATTTATTTTTTGCAACAGTTTCACTCTTGTTGCCCCAAGCTGGAGTGCAGTGGCATGATCTTGGCTCACTGCAACCTCCGCCTCCCAGGTTCAAGTGATTCTCCTGCCTCAGCCTCCTGAGTAGCTGGGATTACAGGCATGTGCCACCCATGCCTGGCTAATTTTGTGTTTTTAGTTGAGACAGGGTTTCTCCATGTTGGTCAGGCTGGTCTTGAACTCCCGACCTCAGGCGATCCGCCCCCCCTCAGCCTCCCAAAGTGCTGGGATTACAGGCATGAGCCACCGCACCTAGCAAAAATGGCCATTATTAAAAAGTCAAAAAAACAATAAATGTTGGTATGGACGTAGGGGAAAGGAAATACTTATACGCTGCTAGTGGGAATGTAACTTAGTACAACCTTTATGGAAAACAGTATGGAGATTCCTTAAAGAGTTAAAAGTAGATCTACGATTCTATCCAGCAATCCCATTACTGGGTATCTACTCAAAGGAAAAGACTTTATATGAAAAAGACACTTGCATACATATGTTTATAGTAGCACAATTCACAATTGCAAAGGTGTGGAACCAACCTAAATGCCCATCAACTAATGAATGAATAAAGAAAATGTGGTATATATACACCATGGAATACTCAGCCATAAAAAGAAATAACATCTTTTGCAGCAACTTGGATGGAGGTGGAGTCATTATGCTAAGCCATTATGCTAACACAGGAGTGGAAAACCAAAAGCAGTATGTTCTCACTTATAAGTGGGAGCTAAGCTATGAGTACGCAAAAGCATACAGAGTGACATAATGGAATTTAGAGACTCAGAAGTGGGGGGTAGGAGGGGGACTAGAGATGAAAAACTACATATTAGGCACAATGTACACTACTCAAGTGACAGATGCACTAAAATCTCAGAATTCACCACTACTTAATTCATCAATGTAACAGAAAACCACTTATACCCCAAAAGCTATTTAAATAATTTTTTTTTTAAGACAGAGTCTCACTCTGTTGTGCAGGATGGAGTGCAGTGGTAGAATCTCGGCTCGCTGCAACCTCCGCATACAGGCTCAAGCGATTCTCCTGTCTCAGCCTCCCAAGCAGCTGTGATTACAGGTACCCACCACCATGCCTAGCTAATTTTTGTATTTTTAGTAGAGATACGGTGTCGTCATGTTGGCCAGGCTGGTCTCGAACTCCTGACCTCAGATGATCTGCCAGCCTCAGCCTTCCAAAGTGCTGGGATTGCAGGCATGAGCCACCGCACCCAGCCTGCTTCTGTCTCTTTAAAAAATATTTTAGGCCTGGCCGGGCGCAGTGGCTCCTGCCTGTAATCCCAGCACTTTGGGAGGCCGAGGCAGGTGGATCACAAGATCAGGAGTTCGAGACCAGCCTGGCCAATATGGTGAAACCCCGTCTCTACTAAAAATACAAAAATTATCCAGGTGTGGTGGCAGGCACCTGTAGTCCCAGCTACTTGAGAGGCTGAGGCAGGGGAATTGCTTGAACCCGGGAGGCAGAGGTTGCAGTGAGCCGAGACCACGCCACTACACTCCAGCCTGGGTGACACAGCTAGACTCCATCTCAAAATATATATATATATATTTTTAGGCCTGTAATGCCAGCACTTTGGGAGTCTGAGGCGGGCGGATCACCTGAGGTCAGGAGTTCGAGACCAACCTGACCAACATGGTGAAACCCTGTCTCTACCACAGATACAAAATTAGCCGGGGGTAGTGGCACGCCCCTGTAGTCCCAGCTACTCGGGAGGTTGAGGCAGGAGAATCACTTGAACCCAGGAGGCAGAGGTTGCAGTGAGCCAAGATCGTGCCACTGCACTTCAGCCAAATAAAAAAATAAAAATAAATTAAAAAGAAAAGAGACAGAAGCTAGTAACTTTGGGCCAGCAAGCAAATAATAATAATAATCTGGCTCCAATATTCCTAATAACATACAAAGAATTCTTACAACTCAAAGTAGAAAAGATAAACTAGTGGCATAAATCCTTCTGTCTTCCTACAGAATCTTTGTTAATGTTGACTTTACTCCTTAAGAAAAAAAAAAAAAAAAAGCCAGGCATGGTGGTTCATACCTGTAATCCCAGCACTTTGGGAGGCTGACGCAAGTGGATCACCTGAGGTCAAGAGTTCAAGATCAGCCTGGCCAACATGGCAAAACCGCGTCTCTACTAAAACTACACACACACACACACATACACACACAAAATTTGCCAGGTGTGGTGGAGCATGCCTGTACTCCCAGCTACTCAGGAGGCTGAGACACAAGAATTGCTTGAACCCAGGAGATGGAGGTGGCAGTGAGCCTAGATCTCCCCATTGCACTACCGCCTGGGTGACAGAGCAAGACTCTGTCTCAAAAAAAAAAAACAAACAAACAAACAAATGCGGAGAGAAGCAAGTCTAAAAAAAGAACAAAAATAGATGAACTATACTTTTAAATAGACAAAAGAGCCGGGCGCCGTGGCTCATGCTTGTAATCCCAACACTTTGGGAGGCCAAGGCGGGTAGATCACCTGAGGTGGGGAGTTCGAGACCAGCCTGAACAACATGGAGAAATCCCATCTCTACTAAAGTCTCTACTTAGCCGGGCATGGTGGCGCATGCCTGTAATCCCAGCACTTTGGGAGGCTGAGGCGGGCAGATCATGAGGTCAG
The DNA here is from genome assembly GCF_000001405.40 of Homo sapiens. Taxonomy (NCBI): domain Eukaryota; kingdom Metazoa; phylum Chordata; class Mammalia; order Primates; family Hominidae; genus Homo; species Homo sapiens. The sequence continues at coordinate 34,480,410 of NC_000014.9, forward strand.
GAATTCGAGACCAGCCTGACCAATATAGTGAAACCCCGTCTCTACTAAAAATACAAAAATTGGCTGGGCGTGGTAGCACACGCCTGTAGTCCCAGCTACTCAGGAGGCTGAGGCAGAAGAATCCCTTGAACCCAGGAGGTGGAGGTTGCAGTGAGCTGAGATCTCACCACTGCACTCCAGCCTAGGCGACAGAGCAACATTATGTCTCAAAAAAAAAAAAAAAAAAAAAAATTACCCGGGCTTAGTGGTGCATGTCTATAATCCCAGCTACTCGGGAGCCTGAGGCAAGAGAATTGCTTGAACCTAGGAGGTGGAGGTTGCGGTGAGCCGAGATGGCACCATTGCACTCCAGTCTGGGCAACAAGAGTGAAACTCCATCTCAAAAGAAAAAGACAATAGAAATGAATGAACGAGTGTTTCACGGAAGAAATAAATACAACTTATAAACATGAAAAGATGCTTGACATCAGTAGTAACTCAAGAAATTCAAATTAAAGCAATGATTAGATGTTATTTTTATCCTAACAGAATGGCAAAGGTGAAAACGATAGTCACTGTTACTATAGGTGGAGGAGGACTTTAATCACTATTAATAAAAGTGTAATTTATTGCAAATTGCCGAAAGAGTGTGATTTGGCAACCTATATAAGAACCAGAAATTTCACTTCTGAGAATTTGCCCTAAGGCAATAAATCCATCCTGGTGACCAAAAGCACATAAACATTGTTTATGGAACCCAGGATGTGGCTGCAGACTGACTGGGGTTCCACCTTGCACCAACCTCAACACGCAACCTCACCCCTTCAGGGGATTCCACCAGGAACCCAGTCACAGTGAGGATGCAGGGATTTTTGCAGCTGTGCCGAGGTAGGCAGAAACACAGGTGGGACATCACATCTCTCAGTGGCATTTCCCTGGAAAATCCTCTAAAGATCTGCCTTTTCAGCCTCCAGCTCTCCTCTGACCCACCCTGAGGCCCCTCCAAACCCTTATTATTCAGAAAATCAGGTGGCCAGTCTTGAAAATCCAGCCCCAGAGGTTGGCATCTGCTCCACAGGCAGGGTTTATCAGACCAGATTATTTCTGCCCAAGAGGCAGGATTGTCATATTAACTGCTGACAACATAAAAATGTCTCTGTGTTAATACATTTATAATAGCAAAAAAATAGGCCACAAGTATAAATGTACAGTATAGGGGATTACATAAATTATGATACATTCATACAATGGACAAACTTTTGAAAAGAATGAGTTGGCCGGGTGCGGTGGCTCATGCCTGTAATCCCAGCACTTTGGGAGGCCGAGGTGGGCAGATTAGGAAGTCAGGAGATCGAGACCATCCTGCCTAACATGGTGAAACCCCATCTCTACTAAAAATACAAAAAATTAGCTGGGTGTGGTGGCACGCATCTGTAGTCCCAGCTACTTCGGAGGCTGAGGCAGGAGAATCACTTGAACACAGGAGGTGGAGGTTGCAGTGAGCCGAGATCGCGCCACTGTACTCCAGCCTGGGCAACAAAGCGAGACTCCATCTCGAGAAAAAAAAAAAAAGAACAGAATGAGTTGGGTCCATTTTGGACTAACATGGGATGAGCCAGGTGTGGTGGCATGTGGCTGTAATCCCAGCTACTCAGGAGCCCAAGGTGGAAGGATCACTTGAGGCCCGAAGTTCAAAAGCAGCCTGGACAACATAGTGAGATCCTGTCTCTAAAAAATAAATAAAATAAAATGCAGTGATGTCTAAGAGGTACAGCTGGCTGGGTGCTGTGGCTCATGCCTGTAATCCCAGCACTTTGGGAGGCAGAGGTGGGTAGATCACCTGAGGTCAGGAGTTCAAGACCAGCCTGGCCAATATGACGAAACCCTGTCTCTACTAAAAATACAAAAAAATTAGCTAGGCGTGGTGGTGCATGCCTGTAGTCCTAGCTACTCAGGAGACTGAGGCAGGAAAATCACTTGAATCCAGGAGGCAGAGGTTGCAGTGAGCCAAGATTGCGCCATTGCACCCCAGCCTGGGCAACAAGAGTGAAAAAAAAAAAAAAAAAAAAGAGGTACAGATGAAGGCAACAGACTTGCAGAACAGGATATATGCTATGAACACATTGTCAGTTTTGTGCATTGAGGTACCCCAATGTCTTGAGCAATTCCTGGCATAAAAGAGGTACGCAAGTATTTGTTGAATGGATGAATGTTTGTTAAAAGAAAGATGTAGGAGGCCTAGAATCTTGTCTACCGTTATCTCCAGAGTCTCCCAATGGCTGGGAAATTGCCTAGGGGCCCATAGTGTGTCCTTTAAAAATATGTAACAGGACTGGTGAAGTAGCTTATGCCTGTAATTGCAGCACTTTGGGAGGCTAAGGCAGGAGTATCACTTGAGCCTGGGAGTTCAAAACCAGCCTGGGCAGCATGGGAAGACCCTGTCTCTACATGAAATTTAAAACTTAGCCAGGAGTAGTGTTACGTGCCTGTAATCCCAGGTACTCAGGAGGCTAAGGTGGGAGGATCAATTGAGCCCCCGATGTCGAGGCTACAGTAAGCCATGATTGTGCCACTGCACTCCAGCCTGGATGACAGAGCGAGACCCTATCTCAAAAAGAAAAATAAAAAATACACAATAGTTATCAGCTACTAATCCTGAGGACAGGGATACTGAAGAAAGAAAGAAAAGAGATCACTTTTTACTTTACGTGATGCTATATTGTTTACCTTACATGCATGTAATACTATCGTGAAAATTCATAATAGTAGAGGTTGGGAGCAGAAAGCTTGAAGTTCTGAGAAAAACAAGGGCAAATAAGTATGATATCTTACAATCTGTTATACCTCTAATTGTTCTCATTTTAACTACTTCACTCAAGCCATTTTCTTCTAAACCTCTCTAAGTAACCCAGGAAAAAATAAAAATTAGCATCTGTATGACTGCTTGACCAGGCCTGTTTACATTAACAATCCCTTCAGGTCCACAAGTTTAAATCTTAAGTAACACAGATTTTTGATTGCCTAAAAACCACCATTTCACCAATACAACAATAGCTGGAGCTTTTACCATAGCACAAATTGACATTTGGGTATTGTTCTAAAATGACATGTCCATAGTTCAATAGTTGAGTGAGATTTTGGGTTTTTTTGTTTTGTTTTGTTTTGTTTTTAGACAGGGTCTTGCTCTGTCACTCAGGCTAGAGAGCAATGGTACAATCATAGCTCACTGCAGCCTCCAACTCCTAGGCTCAAGTGATTCTCCCATCCTCACCTCCTGCCTCAGCCTCCCAAATAGCGGGGACTATACAGGTGACCACCACAATCGAGAGTTTTCTTTTTTTCCTTTACGTGGATTGCAGATTTGATGGCAGTAGTAAAAAAAGTCAACACAGGCCAGGTGCGGTGGCTCATGCCTGTAATCCCAGCACTTTGGGAGGCCGAGGTGGGCAGATTACCTGAGGTCAGGAATTCGAGACCAGCCTGACCAACATGGAGAAACCCTGTCTCTACTAAAAATACAAAAATTAATCAGGCGTGGTGGTACATGCCTGTAATCCCAGCTGCTCGGGAGGCTGAGGTAGGAGAATTGCTTGAACCCAGAAGGCAGAGCTTGCAGTGAGCCAAGATTGAGCCATTACACTCCAGTCTGGGCAACTAGAGTGAAACTACGTCTCAAAAAACAAAGTCAACACAAAATAGAGGGAGATTTCCTGGCTCTGCTGCCCCAGTCCGTGCTAGCCCCTGAGCTTCAGCACTGTGACATGTCCTAAATCTCCTTAACTTCCCCATCAATTCCATGAAGAATACCTTAGCTGATCCTCTTACTCATTATCGCTCACTGAGTTACCCCGTGAGGCCAGAAGACAGCCTTGTATATTGTTTCAATATATAACATATATTGTTTCAATATATAACATATTGTTTCAATATATAACATATATTGTTTCAATATATAACATATATTGTTTCAATATATAACATATATTGTTTCAATATATAACATATATTGTTTCAATATATAACATATATTGTTTCAATATATAACATATATTGTTTCAATATATAACATATATTGTTTCAATATATAACATATATTGTTTCAATATATAACATATATTGTTTCAATACATAACATATATTGTTTCAATACATATTATATATTGTTTCAATACATATTATATTGTTTCAATACATAATATATTGTTTCAATACATAATATATTGTTTCAATATACAATATATTGTTTCAATATATAATATATATTGTTTCAATATATTATATACTGTTTCAATATATATTATATACTGTTTCAATATATATTATATATTGTTTCAATATATAATATATAGTTTCAATATATATTATATATTGTTTCAATATATAATATATATTGTTTCAATATGTATTTTCCCCCAAAATCTCCCAAGTGAATCTGATGTTCCAAGGAAGACATGAATCTATCCGGTGGTTTCAAGTCTCCCCAGCACACAAACTGACTTAGAAAACCTGGCCACAGGCCTTTCCCACCTTATCTTCAGCTCTGATTTGATTATCAAAGTTTTCTGGCAATTACAGGACTCCAGGATCTGTAGGCTTCAATCAACAGCTCACACCACCTCCCTAACAAATGGCTGTCCTTATCATTCTTCTGCTCACAAAGCATAAGGGCCCCTATTTTCTTTTCTTTTTTTTTTTAATTTTTTATTTTATTTTATTTCATTTTTTTGAGATGGAGTTTCTGTCTTGTTGCCCAGGCTGGAGTGCAATGGCGCGAACTCAGCTCACTGCAAACTCTGCCTCCTCGGTTCAAGGGATTCTCTTCTCAGCCTCCCGAGTAGCTGCAATTACAGGCATGAACCACCATGCCTGGCTAATTTTGTATTTTTAGTAGAGATGGGGTTTCTCCATGTTGGTCAGGCTGGTCTCGAACTCCTGACCTCAGATGATCCACCCGCCTCAGCCTCCCAAAGTGCTGGGATTACAGGCGTGAGCCACCACACCTGATCATTTTTTTTTTTTTAAGACAGTCTTGCTCTGTCACTGAGGCTGGAGTGCAGTGGTGTGATCTCGGCTCACTGCAACCATCACCTCCTGGGTTCAAGTGATTCTCCTGTCTCAGCCTCCCGAGTAGCTGGGTTTACAGGCACAGGCCAACACACCCAGCTGATTTTTGTATTTTTAGTAGAGACGGGGCTTCACCATGTTGGCCAGGCTTGTTTCAAACTCCTAACCTCAAGTGATCCACCCGCCATGGCCTCCCAAAGTGCTGGGATTATAGGAGTGAACCACCGCGCTTGGCCCAGGGCCCCTGTTTTCCTTTGCATCTGGTAGGAACTCCTTTGTCTTGCTTTTGAAGATCTCCACCGTCAGACTGCAATCTCCTGGTTACTAGAGTCTCCACACATGCTGGTGGCCCCCGCATCCACAAAAGGCCCCTCCATTCATAAACACCACATGCTTGCCCCTACCTTTATGTCTGGAATTTCTTCCCCACTTGCCTCTAAGTGTCCAAATTATGTTATATCATGTTCTTCCAGATTTAGCTTAAGTTTTCCTTCTTAAATTTAATGGAATTTGCCCTTTTCACAAGATGGCGTTGAAAGCAAAGAAGGAAGCGCTTGCCCCTCCTAAAGCCGAAGCCAAAGCGAAGGCTTTAAAGGCCAAGAAGGCAGTGATGAAAGATGTCCACATCCACAAAAAAAGAAGACCCGCACGTCACCCACCTTCCAGAGGCCCAGGACACTGCGACTCGAGGCCACCCAAATATCCTCGGAAGAGCGCCCCCAGGAGAAACAAGCTTGACCGTTATGCCATCATCAAGTTTCTGTGGACCACTGAGTCCGCCATGAAGAAGATAGAAGACAACACCACATATGTGTTCAGGGTGGATGTTAAAGCCAACAAGCAGCAGATCAAACAGGCTGTGAAGAAGCTCCCTGACAATGATGCGGCCAAGGTCAACACCCTGATTCGGCCCGATGGAGAGAAGAAGGCATATGTTCAACTGGCTCCAGATTACGATGTTTTGGATGTTGCCAAAAAAAAATGGGATCATCTAAACTGAGTCCAGCTGGCTAATTCTAAATATGTGTATCTTTTCACCAAAAAAAAAAAAAAAATTAATGGAATTTAACGATTCTCTGCTCTTCCAAAATGTAGTAACAGCAGGAGTCTGCATCAACAATTTGGCTCATCACTTGATTTTTTTTTTTTTTTTTTTTTTTTTTTTTTTTTGAGACAGAGTCTCTCACTGTCACCCAGGCTGGAGTGCAGCGGTGTGATCTCGGCTCACTGCAACCTCTGCCTCCCGGGTTCAAGTGGTTCTCCTGCCTCAGCCTTCCGACTAGCTGCGACTACAGGCCCATGCCACCACGCCCAGCTAATTTTTGTATTTTTAGTAGAGATGGGGTTTCACAATGTTGTCCAGGATGGTCTCGATCTCTTGACCTCGTGATCCGCTTGCCTTGGCCTCCCAAAGTGCTGGGATTACAGGTGTGAGCCACTGGCGCCCGGCCCATCACTTGATTTTTTTCCTCTTTTTTATTTATTTATTTATTTATTTATTTATTTATTTATTTATTTATTTTGAGACAGAGTCTTGCTCTGTTATCCAGGCTGGAGTACAGTGGCATGATCTTGGCTCACTGGAACCTCCGCCTCCCAGGTTCAAGTGATTCTTGTGCCTTAGCTTCCCCAGTAGCTGGGGTCACAGGCAAGCGCCACCACGCCCAGCTAAATTTTTTCGTATTTTTAGTAGAGATGGGGTTTCACCATGTTGGCCAGGCTGATTTCGAACTCCTGGCCTCAAGTGATGCGCCTGCCTCAGCTTTCCAAAGTGCTGGGATTACAGGCATAAGCCACCACGCCCAGGCTTTTTTTTTTTTTTTTTTTTTTTTTTCTGAGGTGGAGTTTCCCTCTTTGTTGCCCAGGCTGGAGTGCAATGGCACAATCTTGGCTCATTGCAACCTCCACCTCCTGGGTTCAAGCGATTCTCCTGCCTCATCCTCCCAAGTGGCTTGGATTACAGGTGCCCACCACCACGCCCAGCTAATTTTTATATTTTTAGTACAGACAGGGTTTCACCATGTCGGCCAGGCTGGTCTTGAACTCCTGACCTTGTGATCCACCCACCTCGGCATCCCCAAGTGCTGGGATTACAGGCATGAGCCATTGCGCCCAGCTTTTTTTTTTTTTTTTTTTTTTTTTTTGAGACAGAGTCTCACTCTGTCATCCAGGCTGGAGTGGCATGATCTTGGCTAACTGCAACCTCCACCTCCTGGGTTCAAGCAATTCTCCTGCCTCACCCTTCCAAGTAGTTGGGACTACAGGCCTGCGCCACCACGCCCAGCTAATTTTTGTATTTTTAGTAGAGATGGGGTTTCACTTTATTGGCCAGCCTGGTCTCGAACTCCTGACCTCAAGTGATCTGCCTGCCTCAGCCTCCCAAAGTGCTGGAACTACAGGTGTAAGCCACCTCGCCTGGCCGACGCACCCAACCTTTTCCTCACATTTTGGATAATGCCTTATCTCTGATCCCTAAGTCCTCAACTAAACCATCCCAGTAGCCCTTTCCCTTCCCCACACCCCTGACTCCATGCCAAGTTCCTGCCTTGGTCCCTGTCTCCTCTTGCCCTTCCAGGCCTCCCAGAGGCAATTATCCTGGCTTTGAACCCCAGCTCACCCTACCTTCATTTCAGTGTTCCCCGATGGCTACCTATTGCCGGTGCCAGGTGCTAAGAGGTTCTACCCCCAGGCTGGACACCTTCCTGTAGCCTCCTAATGGTGGCCTCTGGGTTCCAACCCTCTCAGACAGATGGAACGTTAGTTACTACATTTCCAAAGCCTCCACAACTCCACCAAAGGAATTACATTTATGTTGGGCCATGGCAGCTCATGTCTGTAATCCCAGCACTTTGGGAAGCCAATATGGGAGGATCGCTAGAAGCCAAGAGTTCAATGCCAGCCTGGACAATATAGCAAGACCCTATCTCTACAAAAAAATATTTAAAATTTAGCCAAGTGTGGGCCAGGCACGGTGGCTCATGCCTGTAATCCCAGCACTTTGAGAGGCTGAGGTGGGCAGATCACCAGAGGTCAGGAGTACAAGACCAGCCTGCCCAACACTGTGAAACCTCGCCTTTTCTAAAAATACAAAAATTGGCTTGGCGTGGTGGCGGGCACCTATAATCCCAGTTACCCAGGAGATTAAGGCTGAAGAATCGCTTGAACCCAGGAGATGGAGGTTGAAGAGAGCCAAGATCGCACCACTGCATTCCAGCCTGGGCAACAAGAGCGAGACTCCGTCGCAAAAAATAAATAAATAAATAAATAAATAAGTAAATAAATAAATAAATAAATAAATAAAATACAATTTAGCCAAGTGTGGTGGCTTACACCTGTGGTCCTAGCTACCCAAGAGGCTTAGGCAGGAGGGTCACTTGAACCCAAGAGGTCAAGGCTGCAGTGAGCTATGATTACACCACTGCACTCCAGCCTGGGTAGAGTGAGATGCTGTCTCAAAAAAAACAAAAATGCTGTATAGCAGGTGTGTGAATGATGGCAACTCAGAGATGAGCATGAGGGCCTCCATTAAAAGAATGCGCAGGCTAGTAGGGAAAACAGTCCAGAAGAGGCAGGGATTTTTTCTGCCTGAAATGTCTGGGTGTTAGGAAGGCCTGATAGAAGAGATGACATTTAACATGGGCCTTGAAGGGTGTGTAGGATTCCCCAGCCTAGAGCTGGAAATGTGAGGAGGGGGCCATGTGGAGACATTCCAGACAGAGGAAACTGCATGAGCCAGAGACATCCAGGACTCGAAAGGTCCCGGCCTCTTCAGAATGGCAAGCCCCTTGGCTAAGTCAAAGGCTGAGTTTTGACTACATTTTTCCAATTAAGAAATGTTTTCCCATTTCCACGAGAGAAGAAAACATTTTTTGAAAAAAGGGACAGAGCATGGGCATGTTCTCTTACAAATCCTTACTGGTGGCAAATCTTGTCCTTTGAAAGTAGGTCCTTTTTTATAAATATCCCAAAGTCAGTTAGAGAATAATCTGATGATTCATGTAGGTTACCAAACTGGTTCATGTTCTCTTGAATGTGCAAAAAAAAGTCATGAAACGTTTCTCATGATAAAGTCATGAAACTGATCTTGGCCCATACAGGAACTCAAAAGGCAATTTCAAAAGTTAGTGACCAAGCCAGAAGTATAGGAATTCTCCTAGACTCCTCCCTCTGCCTCTACCTTCACTTTAGATTACTGACCAAGATATATAACCATTCCCTAGCCATTGGATGACTCCACTGTCCTGGCCACCTCTCTCCTTTCTTCCCAGGCCATATCTTAGGTTAACCACTGGTTCTCACCTGGATGAGCCAAAGGTGCAGCCTGTGTTTTGGTTAGGTGGAGGGTGGTGGAAACTAGTTCGTCATTTTCCACCTTGATGAAAAATGTGTAATTGTTACGCTCTCGAAGAGCACGTGGAACTGTGGGTTATATTTCACCATGTATATATATGGTATATATATGTATATATATGTATATATATGTATATTTCACCATATATATGTATGTATATATATTTCACCATATATATGTATATGGGAACCATGTATATACATATGTATATGTGTGCGTGTGTGTATATATATATATATATATATATATATATACACACACGCACACATACATACATACAGTTCTCATATTGGATAGTTCTAACACTTTTCTTTCTTTCTTTCTTTTTTTTTTTTTTGAGGTGGAGTCTCGCTCTGTCACCCAAGCTGGATCTCGGCTCACTGGAAGCTCCGCCTCCCAGGTTCGCGCCATTCTCCTGCCTCAGCCTCCTGAGTAGCTGGGACTACAAGTGCCCGCCACCACGCCTGGCTAATTTTTTGTATTTTTTAGTAGAGACGGGGTTTCACTGTGTTAGCTAGGATGGTGTCGATCTCCTGACCTCGTGATCCGCCCTCCTCGGCCTCCCAAAGTGCTGGGATTAGAGGCGTTAGCCACCGCGCCCGGCCCAGATAGTTCTAACACATTTCTGAGAGTTACAACAATTTTTTTGTTTGTTTGGTTTTTGTTTTTGTTTCGTTTTGTTTTGTTGTTTTTTTCTTTTTGAGACAGAATCTTGCTCTGTCACCCAGGCTGGAGTGCAGTGGCGCAATCTCGGCTCACTGCAACCTCTGCCTCCTGGGTTCAAGCAATTCTTCTGCTTCAGCCTCCTGAGTAGCTGGGATTACATGCATGCACCACCGCGCCCAACTAATTTTTGTTTTTTGGTTTTTTTTTTTATTTGAGACGGAGTCTCGCTCTGTTGCCCAGGCTGGAGTGCAGTGGCGTGATCTCGGCTCACTGAAACCTCTGCCTCCCGGGTTCAAGCAATTCTCCTGCCTCAGCCTCCTGAGTAGCTGGGATTACAGGCGCCCACCACCACGCCCAGCTAATTTTTAGTAGAGACAGGGTTTCAACATGTTGTTCAGGCTGGTCTCAAACCCCTGACCTCGTGATCCACCCACCTCAGCCTCCCAAAGTGCTGGGATTACAGGCATGAGCCACCGCGCCTGGCCAATTTTTGTATTTTTAGTAGAGATGGGGTTTCGCCATATTAGCCAGACTGGTCTCAAACTCCTGACCTCAGGTGATCCGCCTGCCTTGGCCTCCCAAAGTGCTAGGATTACAGGCGTGAGCCACCCGCACCTGTATTGTTGAAAAACAACAGCTTTTCAACTCCCTCTAGGAATCAGTGGGGAAGGTGTACCTGTTCCCCTCAGGCACCTCCCACAGAGCCTCCCCACACCCTTGTTGTGCAATGAGCTTCATTAGCCTCATACCTCATCTTCCTCTCTTGTCCTCTAACCCTATCTTCCTTCACTGCTGCCTGAGTGTATCTTCCTAGAACCTTTCTATGATTTTTCGTCATCTCAGTAGGATAGGCAAGGTTCTTCATGCTTTTACTCTGGCCTCTCCCCACCAGGCACACTGAATTATGACTCCTCTCTGTGGAACACGTTCTTTCTCACTTCCCTGTGCCGGGCAGCACCTGAGTCCTCCTGGTGAATTCCAGCTCATCTGTTAAGGATTAGCTCCACTGTCTCCTCCTTCATGCTGCCTTTGTTACTTCCTTCAGGCCCCAAGCACCCCTTTCTCCCTGAACAAGGACACAGGCCCTAGCACACCCCTCCCCTGGAGCACCTGCTACCTGCATTGTCACAGTCTACCCAGGGGTTGCACCCACCGTTCAGTGAGCTCCTGGATGACAAGCCCTAGACTTTTTGATCTTTATGTTCCCCGCACTGCCAGGAACAAAAATAGACTCAACAAATGCTTGTTGAATGAATAAGTAAAAGAATGAAGAGTTCATGGCCACGTGCAGTGGCTCACGCCTGTAATCCCAGCACTTTGGGAGGGTGAGGCAGGCAGATCACAAGGTCAGGAATTCAAGACAAGCCTGGCCAACATGGTGAAGCCCCGTCTCTACTAAAAATAATTTTAAAAAAAATTAGGCGGGCATGGTGTCACAACCCTGTAATCCCAGCTACTTGGCAGGCTGAGGCAGGAGAATTGCTTGAATTCAGGAGGTGGAGGTTGCAGTGAGCTGAGATCGAGCCACTGCACTCCAGCCTGGGCAACAGAGCAAGACTCCATCTCAGAAAAAAGAAAAGAAAAGAAAAGTTCTAAGAATGTTTTAGCAAGAATAGCATCAGAACAATAAACATACAGTTTCCCAAAGTAATTAAGAATAAAATTAATTATTCTGACAGTATCAACTATGTTTTTGCTCATAGTAAACACAAAATAAAATTGAAGAAACTGAAAAAATATATTCATGTTGTGTAGGAAAGAAGAAAAAAAGAAACTGAAAAAAATTAATTATTCTGATACACATATTTTTAAAAATAGTGTCATATTATATTTACATTGGATGTCACAGGGGAAAAGTCATGGGTTAAAAACATAAAGGTTTCAGGCTGGGCACGGTGGCTCACGCCTGTAATTCCAGCATTTTGGGAGGCCAAGGTGGGCAGATCATTTGAGATCAGGAGTTCGAGACCAGCCTGGCTGACACAGTGAAACCCCATCTCTACTAAAAATTTAAAAATTGGCCTGGTGTCGTGGCAGGCACCTATAATCTTAGCTATTCAGGAGGCTGAGGCAGAGTCTCACTCGGCTGAATCACTTGAACCCAGAGGACAGAGACTGCAGTGAGCCTAGATTGTGCCATTGCACTCCAGCCTGGGCAACAGAGCAAGACTCCATCTCAAAAAAAAAAAAAAAAGAAAGGAATGGTAATCAACTTACATTGCTTAGTTCACCCATAATGTAATCACTTGATATCAATTTTTAAAAGAAAGCCTCTACTGCCAGGCGTGGTGGCTCACACCTGTAATCCCAGCACTTTGGGAGGGTGAGGTGAGTGGATCCCTTGAGGTCAGGAGTTCGAGACCAGCCTGGCCAACATGGCAAAACCCTGCCTCTACTAAAAATACAAAATTTGCTGGGTGTGGGGGCACACGACTGTAATCCTAGCTACTTGGGAGGCTGAGGCAGGAAAATCACTTGAACCCGAGAGGCAAAGATTGCAGTGAGCCGAGATCACACCATTGCACTCCAGTCTGGGCAACAAGAGCAAAACTCTGTCTCAAAAAAAAAAAAAAAAGAAAGCCTGTACTATAGTCATATTGAAGGCAGGGTAGAGAAGAGTTCTAGGTTTCTTTCTGACCATAATATAAAGTAAATGTAATTAACTAAAGTAATATGAATCAAGAATCCATAATATAAACATATTATTATTTAGACAGAGAAAGTGAATACCAGAAAAAAAAGTGAATTGGAAGTAGATACCTCTGAGCAACAGGATCATGTCTACGGGAGGGAAATGCTGTTTTTGTTGCTTTTTAGTACTATTTTATGTTTATAACTGTTTACATGTTAAAAATTTACAGGCGGGCACAGTGGCTCACACCTGTAATCCCAGCACTTTGGGAGGCCAAGGCAGACAGATCACGAGGTCAGGAGATCGAGACCATCCTGGCTAGCATGGTGAAACCCCGTCTCTACTAAAAATACAAAAAATTAGCCGGGCGTGGTGGCAGGCGCCTGTAGTCCCAGCTACTCGGGAGGCTGAGGCAGGAGAATGGCGTGAACCTGGGAGGTGGAGCTTGCAGTGAGCCAAGATCACGCCACTGCACTCCAGCCTGGGCGACAGAGCACAGCGAGACTGCGTCTCAAAAAAAAAAAAAGTGTGGCCCCAAGACAAATATTCTTCAAATGTGGTCTAGGGAAGCTAAAAGATTGGACACACATGGAATAGTGTAGGAATACACATACCATAGTAATCTATGTGTGGATCGAGGGAAGCAAAAGAACACAAAGGCTGTTAAAGGAAAAAGTGAGGATTACATAATTGTTTTAAGATAATTATCCTTGCCTACAAAGACCAATAACAAGGGTGATACCACTTCAAGGTTGAACAGGCAGTTGCTGGGCAGATGTCCTTGCAGAAGTATTTTGTGTGTAAGGTTGTGATGGCCTTTGTGCAACATTGTGGTTTTTGCAGTCTTTTTTTTTTTTTTTTTTTTTTTGAGACGGAGTCTCACTCTGACACCCAGGCTGGAGTGCAGTGGCGTGATCTTGGCTCACTGCAACCTCCACCCCCTGAGTTCAAGCAATTCTCCTGCCTCAGCCTCCGGAGTAGCTGGGATTACAGCTGCCTGCCACTGCACCCGGCTAATTTTTTTATTTTTAGTAGAGATGAGCTTTCACCATCTTGGCCAGGCTGGTCTTGAATTCCTGACCTTGTGATCCACCCGCCTCAGTCTCCCAAAGTGTTGGGATTACAGGTGTGAGCCACCGCGCCCGGACTTTTGCAGTCTTCTGTGATAGATTTTGTTATTAGGCGTAGGAACATGAGAATTTCTCTTCCTGGCCTTCCCCAGCTCTGTTTGTCAGAGGTTTTGTTTTTGTTTTAATATTAGTGAGTCCATTTTTTTTTTTTGTTTTTTGTTTTGTTTTGTTTTTGAGACAGGGTCTCACTCTGTCATCCAGGCTGTAGTGCAGTGGCACGATCTCAGCTCACTGCAACCTCTGCCTTCCGGGTTCAAGTGATTCTCCTGCTTCAGCCTCCTGCGTTGCTGGGATTATAGGTGCCCACCAACACGCCCAGCTAATTTTTTTCTTTTTTTTTTTTTTGTATTTTTAGTAGAGACAGGGTTTCACCATACTGGTCAGGCTAGTCTCAAACTCCTGACCTCAAGTGATCCGCCCGCCTTGGCCTCCCAAAGTGCTAGGATTACAGGCATGAGCCACTGCACCCAGTCAATATTAGCAGCTCCATTTTGATTCTGACAACTTTCACATATTCAAAACACAGTGGAGCCAGGCACTGTGGCTAATGCCTGTAATCTCAGCACTTTGGGAAGCCAAAGCAGGAAGATTGCTTGAGCCCAGGAGTTTGAGACTAGCCTGGGCAACATGACGAAACACAGTATGTACAAAAAAAAAAAAAAAAAATTAGCCAGGTGTGGTGGTACACGTCTGTAGTCCCAGCTACCCAGGAGGCTGAAGCAAGAGGATTCCGTGAGCCAGGGAATTTGAGGTGGCAGTGAGCTCTGACTGTACCATTGCTCCCCAGCCTGGGCAACAAAACAAGACCCCGTCTCAAAAAAACAAAAACAAAACACACTGGGGAAGGCACATTTCACGCAAGTCTGTGTCATCCGTGTAATGCTCTCTGGGAATCTCTACGAAGGCACATGATATATTTTGACAGACTGTGATCCTCCCTAGGAATTATTTATCACATGTCATATAGAGGAAAGCTGTCTTGCCCGGTGCAGTGGCTCATGCCTGTAATCCCAGCACTTTGGGAGGCTGAGGAGGGTGGGTCACCTGTGGTCAGGTGTTCCAGACCAGCCTGGCCAATGTGGCAAAACCCCGTCTCTACTAAAAATACAAAAATTAGCCAGGCGTGGTAATGCACACCTGTAATTCCAGTTACTTGGGAGGCTGAGACAGGAGAATCGCTGGAACCCAGGAGGCGGAAGTTGCAGTGAGCTGAGATCACACCAGTGTACTCCAGCCTGGGCGACAAAGCGAGACTTCATCTCAAAAAAAAAAAAAAAAAAAAAAAAGGAAAGCCATCTTGGCAGCCTTGTGTTGCAGAACTTTTCCTTAGTTCAGCTAAAGATGGGGTCCTTGTCCATCCCATGGCCAAGACAACTGAGGCTCGTAGATGGTCTGAAGGATGAGTAAAGCAGGGTTTTATTAGGTAAAAAAGAAGAAAAGGGGGAAGCAGGGACTAATAAGCAGGGACCACTATATTTTATTCAATAAAGTAATTCTGAACCAAAAGCTAAACACTTAAAAGCCAAAGTTGGCCAGGCACGGTGACTCATGCCTGTAATCCCAGTGCCTTGGGAGGCCGAGGCGGGCAGATCACCTGAGGTCAGGAGTTCAAGACCAGCCTGGCCAACATGGCGAAACCCCATCTCTTCTAAAAATACAAAAATTAGCCAGGTGTGGTGGCTAATGCCTGTAATCTCAGCTACTTGGGAGGCTGAGGCAGGAGAATCTCTTGAACCTGGGAGGCAGAGGTTGCAGTGAGCTGAGATCATGCCATTGCACTTCAGCCTGGGCGACAATAAGTGAAACTCCATCTCAAAAAAAAAAAAAGCCGAAGTTACTTTATAAAGCAGGTTACTCAGTAAAAGAAGAAAGATTACTCTGGCCCTAGTCCCTAAAGCCCTGCAAAACCTGGCATTTCTGCACATGCATGGGAACCCTGGGGAACTCCCACCTGTTTGGCAATTTACAGACCCAGGAACAGAGCCTAGCGCGTTGGCTCACGCCTGTAATCAGCAGTAGGAGGCCAAGGCAGGCCGATCACTTGAGGCCAGGAGTTGGAGACCAGCCTGGCCAACATGGAGAAAACCCGTCTCTACTAATAATACAAAAATTAGCCTGTGTGATGGCACGCACCTGTAACCCCAGCTACTCAGGAGGCTGAGGCAGGAGAATCACTTGAACCTGGGAGGCGGATGGTGCAGTGAGCCAAGATCAGGTGACTGCACTCCAGCCTGGACAACAGAGGGAAACTGTCTCAAAAACAAAACAAACAAACAAAAACACAAGAACAGGGGACAGGAAAAGCCACTTCGTTTGGGAGCCTTTAAAGTCATTAATGTTAGCTACTTCTACGTCAGCACAGAGGAATTACACACCAAGGTGGTCTAAGATGTTAAGAATTCATTTAAACATGAGATTACTTCTTTTGGATTCTGTAAGTGCTAATGTTGAGAAATTCATGACTATTGCTTACCTGTTTGCATTTTATTTAAGGATGTTCTGGAAGAGCATTATCACATTTTCCCATCAGAGCTTGTGCAAAGAGGAAGCATTAGTGCTTCCTCCATCACTAAAGGAGAGGCCTTGCTTTTGAAGGCGGGGCCAGAGATTCTGCAAGTAGCTCACAGCGTGGCTTAAGGCTCTGCGTGAAGGCTCAAGTTAGCCGATTTTGACACATATGCAAATGATTATTTGCTAATCAAGCAACAACCAGAGTCATTAGCGCCTTTACAGCCCTTGGGATTGTGAGGACAAGTTGGTCAGGAGACAGGTGGCGCTCACTACCCCCATCTTGGATCCGTTGAGAGTTGCAGATCAGTAAAAACTTGGGAGCAACCCCGATGACTCATCTCTGAGTTGTCTCAACAGTGTGTTCCGGGAACTGGTAGAACAAATGGAATCTTTCAAAGGCCCGGGTCGCAAGAAGCTCACAGCCCAGATACGTAAGCATTACGCACAATTCCATTACCCCTGCAAGGCAAGCAGCCCATGCCAGCAACAGAGGCCAACCAGCCACAGGCTTCACTCAGGCAGCTTTGGTTTCATCTACAGATCCTGCTTTATTGTAACATGAGCACTGATGAAAAATTGGTAGGACTGAGAAAGTTAAAACTCTGTGCTGCCCAGATTAGGATAACAGACACACATAAAGGCATCTACAAAATTAAGAAGAAAGCGTCTCTCCCAATGACACATTACAGCTGTAAAGTATTGTCTTCTTTGAATGACCACTGCTCTCTTACTGAAATCCTTTGTTCTTTGAAATCACAGAGTATCAGAAACTTTGCTGTATGAAATTCTATCAGTAAGAATGAAATATTCCACTCTTGGCCAGGTGACTCTAAGTCACCTTAATACAGAGAAGCAGCCTTAATTGACAACCCAAGTCTAAGGCTTCCGAATGGGGATCTGTGTACACAGCATTCCTCATCTAAACTTTGCAGTTTCCAAGGAAACAGCACTCTAAGGGCATTTTGCAGTTCAGGCCTGACATTGATTTTTTTACACAAGCCCTGTTTTGCTTTGAGTTGTCAAAACACTGCTTCATTGAAAGTTTATCTCCACCCTTCCCCCAAATCCTACATAAACTGTCCTTTGAGGGCAGGCGTGGTGGCTCATGCCTGTAATCCCAGCACTTTGGGAGGCTGAGGCAGGCGGATCACTTGAGGTCGGGAGTTCTAGACCAGCCTGGACCCGTCTCTACTAAAAATACAAAAATTAGCAAGGCGTGGTGGCAGGCGTCTGTTATCCCAGCTACTGGGAGGCTGAGGCAGGAGAATCATTTGAACCTGGGAAGCGGAGATTGGAGTGAGCCCAGATCATGCCACTGCACTCTAGCCTGGACAAGAGCAAAACTCCCTCTCAAAAAAAAATAAATAAATAAAATAAAACACACACACAGAAAAACAAACAAAAAACTGTCCTTTGGTCCTCTGGTGTACAGTCTACCTCATTGCAACGGGTTAATAAACCTGACTTTCTCAGATTCCAAGTCTGTGCCTGAATGGGCTAGGACTGCATCGCAATCTATGAGAACCCTGCTGGTCTCAAAAAGGCTACATAACAATCTGTTTAGTATAGTATTTGGGATATGACTATACAGGTGTTGCAGGGAAAAACATTTAGCAAATTTATGCCTGAGATTCAGTTTCTTAATAAATATAGTCATTTGTTAGCTTAAAACTTAATTCTGTCCTTGAATTATGATTATTAAAATGTGAAAATAGCATTTTAAGAGCCTTAAAGTCTGCTTTAAAAGAAAAGTAAGATATGGGACCAGGCATGGTGCCTCACACCTGTAATCCCAGCAGTTTGGGAAGCCCAGGTGGGAGGATTGCTTGAGCCCAGGAATTTGAGACCAGCCTGGGCAACATAGTGAACCCTTGTCTCTAAAAAAAAAAAAAAAATTGTTTTTTAATTAGCAAGGCATGGTGGGCACACCTATAGTCCCAGCTACTTGGGAAGCTGAGAGGGAGGATTGCTTGAGCCTGGGAGGTAGAGGCTGCAGTGAGCCATGACTGCACCACTGCACTCCAGCCTGCTCAACAGAGCAAGACTCTGTCTTGAAAATATATACACGGAAAATTTGCATTCAGAGAAAAAAAATTCTCAGAGTTTGGTCAAAGAAAGTTAGCCTCACAGGGCTGAATTCCTGGCCAATTCATACTAATCCTGTAAGACTTGGCTCAAACATTCTCTCTTCTTGAAAGCTGTCCCTAATCCTTCTCTTCTATACTCTGGTGGCACCTGCTGTTATATTTGTGCCATGGCACACGCCAACCACAATATTGGGGTTGTTGGTTTACCTGTTTTCCCTGTTCATCTCAACTCATTGAGAGCAGAGCCCCTGTCACTGATCTGTAAATTGCACCTGGCACACAGGAGGAACTCAATTCATGATGAATAGATGAAGCTGTGAATGGAGGGGAGGTTAGGAGCAAGAAAACCAGTTGGAAGATGGTTGTGATGGTCCACAAGGGATGAACATAACCTGGACACCGTGTTTGACTAGATGAAAAAGTAGATGAGTATGGAACATTATATTTTATTCTATTTTTATTATTTTTTGAGATGGAGTTTTGCTCTTGTTGCCCAGGCTGGAGTGCAGTGGCGTGATCTCAGCTCAATGCAACCTCCGCCTCCCGGGTTCAAGTGATTCTCCTGCCTCAGCCTCCTGAGTAGGTGGGATTAGAGGCGCCTGCCACCACGCCTGACTAATTTTTTTTTCTTTTTTTTTTTGAGCTAGAGTCTGACTCTGTCGCCCAGGCTGGAGTGAAGTGCAGCAGGCTGGTCTTGAACTCCTGACCACAGGTGATCCGCCCACCTCGGCCTCCCAAAGTGCTGGGATTACAGGCATGAGCCACTGCGTCTGGCCTAATTTTTGTATTTTTAGTAGAGACAGGGTTCCGCCATGCTGGCCAGGCTGGTCTTGAATTCCTGACATCAGGTGATCTGCCTGCCTTGGCCCCCCAAAGTGCTGGGATTACAGGTGTGAGCTACCGCGCCCAGCCTTGGAACATTTTAAAGGAAGAAGAGGCTGGGTGTGGTGGCTCACGCCTGTAATCCCAACTGGGAGGCCGAGGCTGGAGGATCACTTGAGGTCAAGAGTTCAAGATCAGCCTGGCCAATATGGTGAAGCCCTGTCTCCACTAAAAATACATAAATTACCCAGGAATGGTGGTGGATGCCTGTAATCCCAGCTAGTTGGGAGGCTGTTGCTAGAGAATCGCTTGAACCTAGGAGGCAGAGGTTGCAGTGAGCCAAGATCGCGCCACTGCACTCCAGCCTGGGCAACAGAGGGAAACTGTGTCTCAAAAATAGGTAAGTAAATAAATAAATAAAGGATTAAAGGAATAAATAAAATAAAGACTTGATGATTAAGTGAAAACAAGAAACAAAGAATAGAGAATCAAATAAATTTAAAATTTTTTAAACCTACACAGATAGGGAGTGGAAACTACAACTGGAATAGAGGAATCCTAAAGTAGCTAGTTCATGCATTTGAGATAAGATTTTGCGAGATCCTTGGAAAATCTATTATGCTTTTGGACATTCAAAATTAAAGTCAAGGCTCAAAATAGACTTGGGAGTCATTAACATTGAGGCTGAAACTTTTTTTAAAAAGTAGATGAACTCTCTGAAGAAGAGACTGTGTGTTGAGTACAAGGCTGAAACACTGAAACTTGGAAAATGCAAAGGTCTAAAGCAAAAAAGGAGGGAGGAAGAGGCAACAAAGATGAGTGTGTTCATGGAGAAACAGGGAAGTGCAACAACCCAGACACCAATGGAGAAGCGCTGCCTGCAGGGGAGGAGAGGAAAACCCAAGAGAATCACCTGAAAAACTATTCAAACTCAAAGTTCAGCAAGGTGCTAAGTTGCAAAGTACAGCAACCACTTACAACAATTGATGGCTTTCCTCCAACTATAGCCTATTACAAAATATAATGGACAGGCCGGGCGCAGTGGCTCACACCTGTAATCCCAGCACTTTGGGAGGCCAAGGCGGGTGGATTACCTGAGGTCAGGAGTTCGAGACCATCCTGACCAACAAAGTAAAACCCCGTCTCTACTAAAAATACAAAAATTAGCCAGGTGTGGTGGCAGTCTGTAGTCCCAGGTACTCAGGAGGCTGAGACAGGAGAATTGCTTGAACCCGGGAGGCGGAGGTTGCAGTGAGCACCATTGCACTCCAGCCTGGGCAACAGGAAAGACTCCGTCTCAAAAAAAAAAAAAAAAAAAAAAAAAAAAGAAAATATAATGGACAAAAGATCCCATTTGTAATGGCAAAAGCCAAAAGATAATAATGACAGATAAACTATAAAAATGTGTGGTACTTTTGAAAATATAATGGAAAAATTCTATTTTCAATAGTAAAAAAAAAAGAAAGAAAAGAAAGAAAGAAAGAAAAAGAGAAAGAAAGAAAAGAAAGAAAGGGAACGAAAGAGAAGAAAGAAAGGGAAGGAAAGGAAGAAAAGAAAGAAAGGGAAGGAAAGGAAGGAAGAAAGAATCCAGTCTGAGCAATATGGCAAGACCCAGTCTCTACAAAAAAAAATTTAAATTAGCTGGGTATGGTGGTGCATGCCTGTGGTTCCAGCTACTCAGGAGGCTGAGGTGAAAGAATTGCTTGATCCCAGGAGGTTGAGGCTGCAGCGAGCCACAATTATGCCACTGCCCTCCAGCCTGGGCAACAGAGCAAGACGCTGTCTTAAAAAAAAAAAAAAGGCTGGGTGCGGTGGATCATGCCTGTAATGCCAACTCTTTGGGAGGCCAAAGCAGGCAGATCAGCTGAGGTCAGGAATTCAAGACCAGCCTGGATAACATGGTGAAACCCCGTCTCTACTAAAAATACAAAAATTAGCCGGACATGGTAGTGCACACCTGTAATCCCAGCTACTCAGGAGGCTGAGGCAGGAGAATCGCTTGAATCTGGGAGGCAGAGGTTGCAATGAGCTGAGATCATGCCATTGCACCACAGCCTGGGTGACAAGAGCAAAACTCTATTAAAAAAAAAAACCCACCAAAAATAAAAAAGAAAATGTCAAACACCTAGGAATAAACTTGTATGGTACTTTTATGAATGTACTACAAAAACCAAAAGATGTAGATTTGAATAATGAGAGGACATAGCAGATGGAAAACATGATATTATGAAGATATCAGTGCTCTCCACATTTACACATTTAATGCAGTTTCAAGCCAAAATAAATTCCAAGTGGACCGAGGAGATATACGAAAAACAAAAACAGATAAAAGAAGTATAAAAGAAAAAAAATGGCAAGGAAAAATTTTCTAGGCATAATCCCAAAAGTAGGACCATTAAGAAAATGATAGCTAGATAAGATTCTGAACAAACCTGATTCCTAGAGCCCAAGGCCTAGAGCTCAGAGCTTTGCAATATCCTCCTCAGTCCATGAATTTGTGATAAGAACATTGCAATTTTTCCTTCCACGATATTTCTGCCCTGTACAGATGAATATTAGCTCAAGATATTTCTGTGCCCTTTATAGATGAGTCATCTGTAAGTATTCATCAAAGATATTCACATTCTCACTGTGGGTGAATCCACACTATAGAACCTCAGATTCTACAACCACTCTCAAGGCCTTATGATATAGCAAGCCCTCAGCTCTGGCGGAGAAATAGGATCAAGAGCAAAGATCATGCCATTCATATCTGGCACCAACAAGCCAAAAGCCAAAATTCCACACCATGAGTGTGCTTGGGACTGGGGTTGCTCTGGCCCTAGAAGTAGGTGAAACACACCCCACTTAACTAAAAGCAGTGACCAAAAGCCAGGAGGTAATAGGAGCAATTATCTGTATTAAGGAGAATATGCAAATGTTCTCCAGCTTACTTCTTTGACATGCTTTTTTAGAAAATTGTGCTCTACATTGGTTCTCAAACTTTAGCATACATCAGAATCACTGAAGGACTTGTTAAAAAGACTACTGGGGCCCACCCTAAATCACTCTGAATTTCTGAAACAATTGGCCTGGATCTGAACCAAGTCTGCATTTCTGACAAATTCCCAGTTGGTGCTGATTCTGCTGGTCTGGGGACCACACTTTAAGAACCACTGCACTACAATTGTGATATTGGGTGTGGACCTGAAAGAAAGGCAAAAAGGAAGCTCTTGATTCTGTTTGCTTTTGACGAAGAAGTCCTTGGAGAGAAGCATCTGGAGACTGAGACTACCCAGAGGGGTCAGACAGTCTTCCAGGGGCTATGCAACGGAATTCCTTTCTTATAAATATCCCTCCCTAAACCTTAGTAAAGTTACTAAATTCAGAACATGCTTAGTTTGAGTTTGTGTGTGTGTGTGTGGGTGTGTGTGTGTGTGTGTGTGTGTAAAACTGCTGCATAGGATCAAACCAACAATAAAAAAACAAGAAGAGGAAATAGAACCATGGGGTAGCAATGTCAGGAATTCACTGAGCAGGGGAAAGAGTTTCAACTGTACAAAGTAGGATACAGGAGAAATTTACTAAAATCTCTAAGGGCAGGAAGATTAGTGAATGTTCCAGTCTCCTGATGCTTTACCTTAATTTGCATATATCTTTTCTGAGCATTCAGTTGCCGACATATTTATCCCCAACATTAATTCTTAATTCGTTCTGATTCTAAACACTTTACCCGGCTGGGCGTGATGGTTCACACCTGTAATCCCAACACTTTCGGAGGCTGGGCCAGATGGATCATCTGAGGTCAAGAGTTGGAGACCATCCTGGCCA
The DNA here is from genome assembly GCF_000001405.40 of Homo sapiens. Lineage (NCBI taxonomy): Eukaryota > Metazoa > Chordata > Mammalia > Primates > Hominidae > Homo > Homo sapiens. Next base: position 34,503,462 of record NC_000014.9, read on the forward strand.
ACATGGTGAAACCCCGTCTCTGCTAAAACTACAAAAACAAAATTAGCCAGGCGTGGTGGCGCATGCGTGTAAATCCCAGCTACTCAGGAGGCTGAGGCAGGGGAATCACTTAAACCCAGGAGGTGGAGGTTGCAGTGAGCCAAGATCATGCCATTACACTCCAGTATGGGTGATGAGCAAAAACTCCATCTCAAAAAATAAATACATAAACACTAAAAATTCATAATTTGTAAAGAAATGTAAGTGCAGAAGATTGCTCTCAAACTTAAAATAATTAAAACTCTCCTGCATTTAAAATACCATTCTTAATTTACCTGTTTCATACATTTAAAAAAAATCTTTTTGGGTTTTTTTTTTTTGTTTTTTGTTTTTTGTTTTTTTTTGAGGTGGAGTTTTGTTCTTGCTGCCCAGGCTGGAGTGAAATGGCGCGATCTTGGCTCACCGCAACCTTCGCCTCCCGGGCTCAAGTGATTCTCCTGCCTTAGTCTCCCGAGTAGCTGGGATTACAGGCATGAGCCACCATGCCCGGCTAATTTTGTATTTTTAGTAGAGACTGGGTTTCTCCATGTTGGTCAGGTTGGTCTCGAACTCCTGACCTTACATAATCCGCCCGACTCGGCCTCCCAAAGTGTTGAGATTACAGGAGTGAGCCACTGAGCATGGCCGGGTTTTTTTGTTTGTTTTGTTTTGTTTTTCTGTTTTTTGTTTTTTTGAGACGGAGTTTCACTCTGGTTGCCCAGGCTGGAGTGCAATGATGCAATCTTGGCTTACTGCAACCTCCTCTTACCGAGTTCAAGCAATTCTCCTGCCTCAGCCTCCCAAGCAGCTGGGATTACAGGCATACACCAGCACGCCCAGCTAATTTTTTGTATTTAGTAGAGACAGGGGTTTCACCATGTTGGTCAGGCTGGTCTCGAACTCCTGACCTTAAGTGATCCACCCACCTCAGCTTCCCAAAGTGCTGGGATTACAGGTGTGAGCCACCGCACCCGGCCTGTTTCATACATTTGATATTCTGTAGAGATTTCACAAGGCGGCATATGTCTCTGAAACCCCTTCATGATGATTATAAACTGTGGCCTCTTTAAAGACAGAGCTGGCCGGGCGCGGTGGCTCAAGCCTGTAATCCCAGCACTTTGGGAGGCCGAGGTGGACAGATCAGGAGGTCAGGAGATCGAGACCATCCTGGCTAACACGGTGAAACCCTGTCTCTACTAAACATACAAAAAAAAAAATTAGCCGGGCGTGGTGGCGGGCGCCTGTAGTCCCACCTACTCGGGAGGCTGAGGCAGGAGAATGTCGTGAACCCAGGAGACGGAGCTTGCAGTGAGCCGAGATCGCGCCACTGCACTCCAGCCTGGGCCACAGAGCGAGACTCCGTCTCAAAGAAAAAAAAAAAAAAAGACCATCCTGGCTAACACGGTGAAACCCTGTCTCTACTAAAAATACAAAAAATTAGCCGGCCATGCTGGCGGGCGTCTGTAGTCCCAGCTACTCGGGAAGCTGAGGCAGGAGAACAGCGTGAAATCGGGAGGCGGAGCTTGCAATGAGCCGAGACTGCGCCACTGCACTCCAGCCTGGGCGACAAAGCAAGACTCCATCTCAAAAAACAAAAAACAAAAAAGACATAGAGCCAACAGATCTACTGCTTGATACCCTATGTATTAGACTAAAGTAAAATCCTGTCAAGGACTATTTCTGCACCGTGGAACTGAAGAATGACTTTGTTAAATTTCAACCAATTTAAAAAAATAAAACAGGGCTGGGCATGGTGGCTCACACCTGTAATCCTAGCACTTTGGGAGGCTGAGGCAGGTGGATCACCTGAGGTGAGGAGTTCAATACCAGCCTGGCCAGCATGTTGAAACCCCATCTCTACTAAAATACAAAAGTTAGTCGGGGGTGGTGGCATGGTAATCCCAGCTACTTGGGAGGCTGAGGCAAGAGAATTGCTTGAACCCGGGAGGTGGAGGTTGCAGTGATCTTAGATCCCGCCATTGCACTCCAGCCTGGGCGACAAGAGTGAAACTCCGTATCAACAACAACAACAAAAACAACAAAGGTCGGGCACAGTGGCTCACGTCTGTAATCCCAGCACTTTGGAGGCCAAGGTGCGCAGAACACGAGGTCAGGAGTTCAAGAACAGCCTGGCCAACATGGTGAAACCCCGTCTCTACTAAAAATACAAAAATTAGCTGGGTATGGTACACATGCCTGTAATCCCAGCTACTCAAGAGGCTGTGGCAGGAGAATCACTTAACGGGGACCTGGGAGCCAGAGGTTACAGTGAGCTGAGATCACACCACTGCACTCCAGCCTGGGCTACAGAGCGTGACTCTGTCTCAAAACAAAACAAAACAAACAAACAAAAAGATAAACTTCAACCCATTTTTAAATGGTCTTTCTAATTATATGAGTTTCAGATGGACTTTGAACATAGGAGAAATGGAAGAGTCCTCATACAGTGAACAAACATCAGCGTATCACATTCCCAAGGTAGGGGATAAGTTAAACCCTTTTAGATAAGGTTTACAAGAGTCATTACAACTTTCCATTGAGATAAGCTGGAAGGTTATTGTGGTAGCCAGTCACCAAATGGCCCCAGTGATCCTTGCTTCCTGGAATTCACTTACTAGTTTACACACCTTCCCACTTGGAATCATGTGGGAAGGTGTGTAACATGGAATCATGTTGTACTCTATGTCCAACAGAATGAGGCAGAAGTAACAGTGTGTTGTTTCCAAGGCTAGATCATAAAAGATATTGCAGTTTGTACCTTCGTCTTGGTCTTAGATCACTGACTCCAGGGGAAGCCTGCAGTGAGGACACTCAGCAGTCCTATGGGTGGGGAGTCAATCACAGTCCTGAAAGGCACAGTCCTGAATGCCATCATCCTGAATGTTGAAATTCTAAAAGATCAAAATCCTACAAATATAATTCTGGAAAAAATCATTTAAAAGTCTTTAAGGGGGATTTATTGAGAAATATATAAAAACACAACAGAAGGCTTCATAAACCTCTTACACAATAAAACAGACAATAATAACATTCACTTTTTTACAAGTATAAACACTCAGATATGCTAACAACAGCTGTATGGGCATAACAGTTATGAGCAGACAAGCCATATTCATAAAGAAATAGGTCGAAATGGGAAACATATAAACACACATCACTGTAGTTGGTAATTGTGTGCACCCAGCTTTATAACTGCAGGTATCTGAAATACCATGACAAACAAGCTAAGTCTTTGATGAGATCAATCAAAAAACTTGATGGGTCACCATCACATATTCGGTCACCCAAACAGCCAAGATTTGGAGACTTTTTTTTTTTTTTGAGACGGAGTTTCGCTCTTGTCGCCCAGGCTGGAGTGGTGCAATGGTGCTATCTCGGCTCACCACAACCTCTGCCTCCTAGGTTCAAGTAGTTCTCCTGCCTCAGCCTCCTGAGTAGCTGGGATTACAGGCATGCAACACCACGCCTGGCTAATTTTGTATTTTTAGTAGAGACGAGTTTTCTCCATGTTGGTCAGGCTGGTCTCGAACTCCCGACCTCAGGTGATCAGCCCGCCTCGGCCTCCCAAAGTGCTGGGACTACAGGCATGAGCCACCGTGCCTGGTGATCTGGAGAAATGTTATCACAAATGCAGATGTACGAAAAGAACATCTCGCCGGGCGCAGTGGTTCATGCCTGTAATCCCAGCACTTTGGGAGGCCGAGGCGGGAGATTCACCTGAGGTCAGGAGTTCGAGACCAGCCTGGCCAACATGGTAAAACCCCATCTCTACTAAAAATACAAAAATTAGCTGGGCTTGTGGCAGGCACCTGTAAATCCCAGCTACTCAGGAGGCTGAGGCAAGAGAATCGCTTGAACCCAGGAGGCAGAGGTTGCAGTGAGACAAGATCGTGCCATTGCACTCTAGCCTGGGCAACAAGGGTAAAATTCCATCTCAAAAAAAAAAAAAAAAAAAAAAAAAAAAGAACGTCTCTTCTTTTTTCTTTTTCTTTTTTTGTTTTTTTGAGAGAGATCTCGCTCTGTCACAACACAGGCTGAAGTGCAGTGGCACCATCTCGGCTCACAGCAGCCTCCAGCCCAGGCTGGAGTGCAGTGCAGCAGGCTGGTCTCGAACTCCTGACCTCAGGTGATCTGCCTTCCTCGGCCTCCCAAAGTACTAGGATTACAGGCGTTAGCCAGTGCACCTGGCTCTCCCCTCCTTTATTGAGGAAGTTTCAACGTTGTCACATACATGCACACTGCTTACTCACACAAAGTCAACATTGTGGCGGGCTCAGGAGTTCGACACTAGCCTGGCCAACATGGTGAAACTCCATCTCTACTAAAAAAAAAAATACAAAAATTAGCCGGGCATGGTGGCAGGTGCCTGTAATCCCAGCTACTCGGGAGGCTGAGGCATGAGAATCGCTTGAACCCAGCAGGCGGAGATTGCAGTGAGCCGAGATAGTACCACTGCACTCCAGCTTAGGCGACAGAGTGAGACTCTATCCAAAAAAAAAAAAAAAAAAAAAAAAGTCAACATTGTGATAATACACATTCATGCAGTCAAGTTTCTGATGTCCACGGCAACAGAAGAAAAGTCTGTCCCAGCTCTCAGAGAGACCAAATTGTCTTCTGTATTTGTTCTTTCTGGGCCGATCGGATGGTGCCCACCAACACTGAGGGCAGATCTTCCCAACCCAGTGCACTAGGAATCACACAGTAATCTGCTCTGGAAACATCTTTAAGCATCAAACCTTAAAGAAGGTAATACTTGTTAAGATTTCATGTAGGCCGGGCGCGGTGGCTCACGCCTGTAATCCCAGCACTTTGGGAGGCCGAGGCGGGTGGATCATGAGGTCAGGAGATCAAGACCATCCTGGCTAACAAGGTGAAACCCCGTCTCTACTAAAAATACAAAAAATTAGCCGGGCGCGGTGGCGGGCGCCTGTAGTCCCAGCTACTGGGGAGGCTGAGGCAGGAGAATGGCGTGAACCCGGGAAGCGGAGCTTGCAGTGAGCCGAGATTGCGCCACTGCAGTCCGCAGTCCGGCCTGGGCGACAGAGCGAGACTCCGTCTCAAAAAAAAAAAAAAAAAAAAAAAAAAAAAGATTTCATGTAGTACCAAAGAAGAATATCAACAATTATCTGGCTGGGTGCAGTGGCTCACGCCCGTAATCCCAGCACTTTGAGAAGCCAAGGCAGGTGGATCACCTGAGGTCAGGAGTTCAAGACCAGCTTGGCCAACATGGTAAAACCCTGTCTCTACTAAAATACAAAAATTAGCCAGGACTGGTGGTGGGCACCTATAATCCCAGCTACTTGGGAGGCTAAGGCAGGAGAATCACTTGAACCAGGAAGGCAGAGGTTGCAGTGAGCCGAGATAATACCACTGCACTCCAGCCTGGGTGACAGAACAAGATTCCATCTCAAAAACAAATTAATTAATTATTAATTAAATGGGGGTATTAAAGCAAAAAATATTCAGAACTAGATAATAAAAGAAAGTCTCAAAAAATTTCAAATAAGTTATAGCATACTAACAATGGTCTCTATTCAAAACAATTAAATAATCTATCAACTAGAGCCTCGAACTTCTGGGTTCAAGTAGTTCTCCTGCCTCAGTCTTCTAAATACTTGGGACTATAGGCACATGCCACCGCACCTGGCAAAAGATAGATACATTTTAAAAGTCCTATATATGTTTAGAAATTATAAAAGAAGGCCAGGCGTCATGGCTCACACCTGTAATCCCAGCATTTTGGGAGGCTGAAGCAGGAGGATCATGAGGTCAGGAGTTTAAGACCAGCCTGGCCAACATAGTGAAACCCCGTCTCTACTAAAAATACAAAAAATTAGCTGGGGTTGGTGGTGGGCACCTGTAATCCCAGCTACTTGGGAGGCTGAGGCAGGAGAATCCCTTGAAATCCATGAGGCAGAGGTTGCAGTGAGCTGAGATCGCGCCACTGCACTCCAGCCTGGGCGACAGTGCAAGACTGTCTCAAAAAAAAAAAAAAAATGCTGGGCGTGGTGGTTCACGCCTGTAATCCCAGCACTTTGGGAGGCCGACGGGGGTGGATCACGAGGTCAGGGGATCGAGACCATCCTGGCTAATAGGGTGAAACCCCGTCTCTACTAAAAATACAAAACAAAATTAGCCAGGCATTGTGGCAGCTGCCTGTAATCCCAGCTACTCAGGAGGCTGAGACAGGGGAATTGCTTGAACCCGGGAGGCAGAGGTTGCACAGTGAGCGGAGATCATGCCACTGCGCCACTGTACTCCAGCCTGGGCAACAGAGCGAGACTCTGTCTCAAAAAAAAAAAAAATTGTAAAAATACTTCTCAATAACTAATGACTTTTAAAATCATAATTGAAAAATAACAATAATTGAAACTGAACAAAAAGACTATATATACAACACGTGGGATGCAATGAAAGGAGAGAAAACCTATAGCCCTAAATGTTTACATTAAAAAAGAGAAAGTCTGAAAATGAGCTAAGCATCCACCTTAAGAAGATAGGAAGAGGCCAGGTGCGGTGGCTCACACCTATAATCCCAGCAGTTTGGGAGGTCAAAGTAGGCAATCACCTGAGGTCAGGAGTTCGAGACCAGCCTGGCCAAGATGGTGAAACCACGTCTTTACTAAAAAAACAAAAATTAGCTGTGCCTGGTGGCGAGCGCCTGTAATCCCAGCTACTTGGGAGGTTGAGGCCGGAGAATCGCTTGAACCCACAAGGCAGAGGCTGCAGTGAGGTGAGATTGCACCACTGCACTCCAGCCTGGGCAACAAGAGCGAGACTTTGTCTCAAGAAAAAAAAAAAGAAGAAGAAGATTGGAAAAGAACAACAGAATAAATGCAAGTTGACTAGAATGAAGGAGATGATACAGATAAGATTAAAAATTAATGAAATAAGACTGAAATTCGATCAAGGAAAAAAGAGAAAACATAAATATTAGAAATGGAAAACGGAGGCACAACTACATATCCAGCAGATATTAAAGATAATGAGAGAAAGGTATGAACGACTTTATTCAATAAATTTGAAAACATAGAAAAAATGAACAAATTCCTTTAAAATCCCGATGAATTGGCTAGGCGCGATGGCTCACGCCTGTAATCCCAGCACTTTGGGAGGCTGAGGCAGGCAGATCACTTGAGGTCAGGAGTTCGAGACCAGCCTGGCCAACATGATGAAACCCTGTCTCTACCAAAAAACACAAAAAAATAGCCGGGCATGGTGGCACATGCCTGTGGTCCCAGCTCCTCGGGAGGCTGAGGCAGGAGAATCGTTTGAACCTGGGAAGCAGAGGTTACAGTGAGCCGAGACGTTGCCACTGCACTCCAGCCGGGGCAACAGAATGAGACTCTGTCTCAAAAAAATTAATTAATTAATTACATAAAATCCTGATAAATCATCCTGATAAATGGTCATTTATCAAAATGAATTCAGAAAGAAAATCTTTTTTTTTTTTTTTTTTTTGAGACAGCTCTCGCTCTGTCACCCAAGCTGGAGTGCAGTGGCCCAATCGCAGCTCAGTGCAATTTCTGCCTCCTGGGTTCAAGCGATTCTCCTACCTCAAGCAATTCCCTCCTGCCTTGGCTTCCTAAAGTGCTGGGATTACAGGTGTGAGCCATCATGCTTGGTGTATGCTTGTTTATTTTTATTTTCATTTTATTTTTTAAATTTTCTCATAGAGACAGGGTTTCACCATGTTGGTCAGGCTGGTCCCGAACTCCTGACCTCAAGTGATCTGCCCGCCTCGACCTCCCAAAGTGCTGGGATTACAGGTGTGAGCCACCGTGCCTGGTCATCATATTAAATTTATAACAAACTATCTTCAATCAATAAAAACTGAGCTTAGGCTGGGAGAAGTGGCTCACGCCTGTAATACCAGTACTTTGGGAGGCCGAGGCGGATGGATTGCCTTAGGTCGGGAGTTCAAGACCAGCCTGACTGACATGGAGAAACCCCGTCTCTACTAAAAATACAAAATTAGCTGGGGTGGTGGCACATGCCTGTAATCCCAGCTACTCGAGAGGCTGAGGCAGGAGAATCACTTGAGCCGGGGAGGGGGAGGTTGTGGTGAGCTGAGATCGCGCCATTGCACACCAGCCCGAGCAACAAGAGTGAAACTCCGTCTCAAAAAAAAAAAAAATCAACTGAGCTTAAATAGCATATAAAACCCTGTTCCTATATAGCTATCTCCCTCTCCTTTATGTTGTGATGATCACAAATTATATCTTTATACACTGTGATTTGCTGCCTTTTTTTTTTTTTTTTTTTTTTTGAGATGGGCTCTGTTGCCCAGGCTGGAGTGCAGTGGTATGATCTCAGCTCATGGCAACCTCTACCTCCCGGGTTCAAGCGATTCTCCTGCCTCAGCCTCCCTGAGTAGCTGGGACTACAGGCACCTGCCAACACGCCCGACTAAGTTTTGTTGTTGTTGTTGTTTTTCTGAGATGGAGGCTTCCTCTGCTGCCCAGGCTGGAGTGTAGTGGTATGATCTCAGCTCACTGCAACCTCCACCTCCCGGGTTCAAGTGATTCTCCTGCCTCAGCCTCCTGAGTAGCTGGGATTATAGGCACGTGCCACTATGGCCAGCTAATTTTTGTATTTTAGTAGAGATAAGGTTTCCCCATGTTGGTCAGGCTGGTCTCGAACTCCTGACCTCAGGTAATCCACCTGCCTTGGCCTTCCAAAGTGCTGGGATTACAGGAGTGAGCCACTGCACGTGGTCTGCTCCAGGTGATTTTTTTTTTTTTTTTTTTTGAGACGGAGTCTCGCTCTGTCGCCCAGGCTGGAGTGCAGTGGAGCAATCTTGGCTCACTGCACGCTCTGCCTCCCAGGTTCACGCCATTCTCCTGCCTCAGCCTCCTGAGCAGCTGGGACTACAGGCACCCACTACCATGCCTGGCTAAATTTTTGTATTTTTAGTAAAGACTGGGTTTCACCGTATTAGCCAGGATGGTCTCTATCTCCTGACCTCGTGATCTGCCCGCCTCAGCCTCCCAAAGTGCTGGGATTACAGGCGTGAGCCACCATGCCCGGCCCAGGTGATTTTTTATTTGTGTTTGTATTATATAGAGATAGGGTCTCCCTGTTGCCCAGGCTGGCCTCAAACTCCTGGGCTCAAGGGGTCCTCCTGCCTCAGCCTCCCAAAGTGCTACGATTATAGGCATGAGCCACTGTGCTGGTCCAAAGTGATGTTTATGGGTAAAATCACTGAGAACTTTCCAGTAGAAGTGGGATGAGGGTCCGATGGAGGAGTGGTTGTTGGTTGGGGGGGACCTGGAAAGGAAGTAAGGTTTGCAATGACAGTAATACAGAAGATCTTGCAAAGTACGACATGGCAAACACAGATTACAAGTAATAGACTGGTAGTGCTATTCTGCAGTGTATTACCTGGCTATAAATGGAAACATTTAAAGAATGTATAAAAAATAAAAATGGGCCGGACAAGGTGGCTCATGCCTGTAATCCCAGCATTTTTGGAGGCCAAGGCAGGTGAATCACCTGAGGTCAGAAGTTGCAGACCAGCCTGGCCAACATGGTGAAACCCCATCTCTACTAAAAATACAAAATTAGCTCGGTGAGGTAGTGCATGCCTGTAATCTCAGCTACTTGAGAGGCTGAGGCAGGAGAATCGCTTGAATCCAGGAGGCGGAGGTTGCAGTGAGCCGAAATCATGCCATTGCACTCCAGCCTGGGCCACAAGAGCAAAACTCTGTCTCAAAAAATATAGATAAATAAAAAATAAAGTAAAAAAATAAAAATAGAAGCCGGGTGCCGTCACGCCTGTAATCTCAGCACTTTGGGAGGCCGAGGCAGGTGGATCACTTGGGGCCAGGAGTTCAAGACCAGCCTGGCCAACATGGTGAAACCCCATCTCTACTAAAAATACAAAAATTAGCCAGGTGTCCCAGCTACCCAGGAGGTGGAGGTTGCAGTGAGCTGAGAGCTGAGATCACGCCACTGCACTCCAGCCTGGGCGACAGATCAAGATTCTGTCAAAAAAAGAAAAAGAAAAGGGCCAGGTGCAGTGGCTCATGCCTGTAATCCCAGCACTTTGGGAGGCCGAGGCGGGCAGATCACGAGGTCAGGAGATCGAGACTATCCTGGCTAACACGGTGAAACCCCATCTCTACTAAAAATACAAAAATTAGCTGGATGTGGTGGCACATGCCTGTAGTACCAGCTGTTTGGGAGGCTGAGGCAGGAGAATCACTTGAACCTGGGAGGCAGAGGTTGCAGTGAGCCGAGATCATGCCACTGCACTCCAGCCTGGCAACAGAGCGAGACTCCATCTCAAAAAAAAAATTAATTAAATAAAATAAAAAATAAAAATGAAAAAATAAAGTATATATATTGCTTCCAATCAAATAGATATCAGTATATTATAAAAATTATGAAGTACAATAGCCATTTTTTTTTTTCTGAGACAGAGACTCGCTCTGTCGTCCAGGCTGGAGTGTAGTGGCGCAATCTAAGCTCACTGCAAGCTCCGCCTCCTGGGTTCAAGCAATTCTCCTGCCTCAGCCTCCCAAGTAGCTGGGATTACAGGCACGTGCCACCAAACCCAGCTAATTTTTGTATATTTAGCAGAGACGGGGTTTCACCATGTTGGCCAGGCTGGTCTCGAACTCCTGACCTCAGGTGATCCACCAACTTCGGCCTCCCAAAGTGCTGGGATTACAGGCATGAGCCACCATGCCTGGCAGAAGTATAATAGGTATAAGACATTGGAGATTCCTTAGAAATTATCAGTTTTCTGTCCCCACCTCATTCATACAAACACTCCGTAACTGGTTCCAGCTCTCTTTACACATAGCTTGTAGAAAACATAGAAGGGTAGGAGGTGAGGAAAGCATCTTTTCTCTTATGGAATATGCAGAGGTCCCCCTCAAGCTTTGTTGACACCTGATCTCTGTAGGAGACTACTGCTCTTGTCTAGTATTTTCATTTTATAGATGAGAAAACTGGGCCTCAAAGGAACAGACTTGTCCAAGATTAGCATAGCAGAGCCTGAGTTAAAACACATTTTCTGGCTGGGCGCGGTGGCTCATGCCTATAATCCCAGCACTTTGGGACGCCAAGGCGGGCGGATCACCTGAGGTTGGGAGAAACAACCCAAATCATATCATTCTTTCATTTTTAAGAGAGGGCCTCAATCTGTTACCCAGGCTAGAATGCAGTGGCATGATCAAAGCTCAGTTCAGCCTTGGTCTGCCAAGCTCAAGTGATCCTCCCACCTCAGCCTCCCAAGTAGCTGGGACTATAGGCACACACCACCACGTTCAGCTAATTTTTAATTTTTTTTTTTTTTTTTTTGTAGAGACAGGGCCTTGCTATGTTGCCCAGGCTGGTCTTGAACTCCTGGTCTCAAGCGATCCTCCCTCCTCAGCCTCCCAAAGTGCTGGAATTATAGTCATGAGCCACTGCATTCAGCCATATCATTCTTTTAAAGACTGAAAATACACAGATGCCTACAATGCAATTTCCCCTCAAGCTGCCACTGGTTTTTATATTAATACCCCAAAAAATTATATCTTGGTTGTTTGCAACAGAAGTAATAAATAGCAGGCACAAGAGGTGGCAGCAGAATTTTTTTTTTTCTTTTTTCTTTGAGACAGGGTCTTGCTCTGTCACCCAGGTGGGAGTGGAGTGGCAAGATCTCGGCTCACTGCAACCTCCACCTCCCAGGTTCAAGTGATTCTCCTGCCTCAGCTTCCTAAGTAGCTAGGATTACAGGCGCCCACCACCAGGCCTGGCTAATTTTTGTATATTTAGTAGAAATGGGGTTTCACCATGTTAGCCAGGCTGCCCTGGAACTCCTGACCTCAAGTGATCAGCCCAGCTAGGTCTCCCAAAGTGCTGGAATTACAGGGGTGAGCCACCACACCCGGCCAGAATTTTTAAGTCTAGTCAGAAGGGGAGGTTGCTTTCCCTCACCATAAATTTATATTTTAAAATGTGCATTCATTAAGTTTAGAATACTGGTAAGTGTACTCCTTTTCAGAAAAGGACCTTTATTACTTAAAGCATCTGACAGTACCTACTCCATGCAATTGTTTGTTTCTTTGTTGTTTGTTTTGAGACAAAGTCTTACTCTCACCCAGGCTGGAGTACAGTGATATGATCTCAGCTCACTGCAACCTCAGCCTCCCAGGTTCAAGCAATTCTCCTGCCTCAGCCTCCCGAGTAGCTGGAATTACAGGTGCACACCACCACGCCCAGTTGATTTTTCTATTTTTAGTAGAGACAGACAGCGTTTCACCATGTTGGTCAGGCTGGTCTCAAACTCCTAAACTCCTGAACTCCTGATCCACCCGCCTTGACCTCCCAAAGTGCTGGGATTACAGGCAGGAGCCAAAGCTACCAGCCTATTCCACGCAATTGTAACAGTTACTAAATACTGTCATTCATCATGTGGGGTGGGGGTGAATAAAGATACATCTTAGCAAAAACAATACAGACAATTCAGGAAAGAGTTTCCAGTTTAATTACATCAAAGCTATATCCAAAATAAAAATAACACTCAGAAACAAAGATTGCTTATAATTCCAGAACATTTTAATTCTACAGAGCTTTAATAAAAAGCCCGACAGTTTCCAAATGTTCATCAAAAACAGAATGAATATCAGTCCCATCAATAAGGGGGAAAATCAAAGAAAAAAAAAAGGAGAGGGTGAGAGATGTAAGAGATGAATGAAGGTTGACAACTATTCTCCTTTAAAAAGAGAAACACTGCTTCCTCAATGTCACTGAAGGATATGAACAGGCAAGAGGAAAGTAACTGTCCATATTTGCCTTATATACAGTATTGGGTAATTAAATGCCAGTTGGGCTGTTTAGGAATGGCTTGCTAAAACATTGAAAAAATGAAAGACTTCATCCTTGTCGTAGACTGCCACTTCAGTGGAACATTCAGTGCACATGACTGGGTGATAGATTTCTTCCACATCTGTCTCTGCCTTCTCGGCAGCATCTTCCCGGTTAGACCTCATCTTCTTATGGACCCGCCTTTTCTTCCTGTTCTCTGAGGCTTTATATCTTAGAACCTCCTCTTTGTTAATAGAACAATTCATTACAAACATTGCTCTATATTGAGTTTTGTATGATTCATGCCTAAGAGAAAAATGAAATGGAGAATTGGGGTTTATGTTCTATGTTAATAGTTTATCCATTTAGATAAAATTTGAGAATACCAAAAACTTACTGAAATACCAACCAAAGACAAGACACAGGAACAAAACAGCAAGTTTAAAGAAATTTTAAACAGTTGTTTTAAGAATAATTAAAACTTGTGAACACAGCTCACTGCAGCCTTGAACTCTTAGCCTCAAGTGATCCTCCTGCCTCAGCCTCCCTGGTAGCTGGGATTACAGGCACAAGCCACTGCACCAGGCAGAAGAAACATTTTAGTATGTAACAGTGTAAGGAAGAAATGTATCCTCTTTCCTTCTGCTTTTTGAAAGTAACTTTTTTTTTTTTTTTGAGATGGAGTCTCGCTCTGTCGCCCAGGCTGGAGTGCAGTGGCGCGATCTCGGCTCACTGCAAGCTCCGTCTCCTGGGTTCACGCCATTCTCCTGCCTCAGCCTCCCGAGTAGCTGGGACTACAGGCGCCCGCCACCATGCCTGGCTAATTTTTTTGTATTTTTAGTAGAGATGGGGTTTCATTGTGTTAGCCAGGATGGTCTCGATCTTCTGACCTTGTGATCTGCCCGCCTCGGCCTCCCAAAGTGCTGGGATTTCAGGCGTGAGCCACCGCACCCAGACGATTCTATTTCTTTTTTTTTTTTTTTTTGAGATGGGGTTTCACTCTTGTTGTCCAGGCTGGAGTGCAATGGCGTGATCTCAGCTCACCACAACCTCTGCCCCCCGGGTTCAAGTGATTCTCCTGCCTCAGCCTCCCAAGTAGCTGGGATTACAGGAATGCACCACCACACCTGGCTAATTTTGTATTTTTTAGTAGAGACAGGGTTTCACTATGTTGGTCAGTTTCATCTTGAACTCCTGACCTCAGGTAATCTGTCCACCTCGGCCTCCTAAAGTGCTGGGATTACAGGCATGAGCCACCGTGCCTAGCCTGATTCCTTGTATTTCTGTGGTCTCAGTTGTTATGCCTTCTTTTCTATTTCTAATTTATTTGGGCCTTCTCTCTTTTTTTCTAAGAGGTTTGTCAATTGTATCTTTTAAAATTATCAACTTTTAATTTCATTAATCTTCTGGCTTGTTTGTTTGGGTTTTTTGGGGTCTCAATTTCATTCATTCCTGCCTTGATCTTTATTATTTCTTTCCTTTTATTTTATTTAATAAATTAATTTTTTTTTTGAGATGGAGTCTCGCTCTGTCACCCAGGCTGGAGTGCAATGGTGTGATCTCGGCTCACTGCAACCTCTGCCTCCCGGGTTCAAGCGATTCTCCTGCCTCAGCCTCCTGAGTAGCTGGGATTAAAGGTGTACGCCACCACACTTGGCTCATTTTTGTATTTTTAGTAGAGACAGGGTTTCACCAGGTTGGTCAGGCTGGTCTCAAACTCCTGACCTCGTGATCTGCCTGCTTTAGCCTCCCAAAGTGCTGGGATTACAGGTGTGAGCCACCATGCCCAGCCTCTTTCCTTCTATTAATGTTGGATTTGGTCTGTCCTTGCTTTTCTAGTTCCTTGAGGTGTATCATTAGATTATTTGGGTGAAATGTTCTGTAAATGTCAGTTAGGCTTCTTTGGTCTACTGTGTAGTTTAACTCTGATGTTTCTTTATGGTTTTCTATCTGGATGATCTGTCCATTACTGAGAGTGGAGTGTTGAAGTCCCCTACTATTATTGTATTGCAATACTAATACTGTATTGTATCTCTCCCTTTAGATTTTTTTTTTTTTTTTTTTTTTTTTTTGAGATGGAGTCTCACTCTGTCACCCAGGCTGCAGTGCAATAGCACGATCTTGGCTCACTGCAACCTTCACCTCCCAGCTTCAAGTGATTCTCCCACCTCAGCCTCCTGAGTAGCTAGATTACAGGCACCCGCCATCATGCCCAGCTAATTTTGGTATTTTTGTGGAGATGGGGTTTCACCATGTTGGCCAGGCTGGTCTCAATCTCCTGACGTTGTGATCCACCAACCTCGGCCTCCTGAAGTGTTGGGATTACAGGCGTGAGCCACTGCGCCCAGCCCCTTTGGATCTATTAATGTTTATATACCTGGGAGTTCCAATGTTGGCTGCATAGATATTTATACTGTTATATAAATTCCTCTTGCTGAATTGACCCCTTTATATAGTAAACTTCTTTGTTTCCTTTTTACAGTCCTTGATTGTAGTCTGTTTTAAGGACAGCTATTCCTATACTGGTTTCCAGCTGCATGAAATATCTTTTCCCATTCATGTTCAGTCCATGTGTCCTTACAAGTGAAGCAAGTTTCTTCTAGGCAGCATATAGTTGAGTCTTGTTTGTTGATCCATTCAGCCACTGTCTGCCTTTAAATTGGAGAAGTGAGTCCATTTACATTGTGTTAGTACTGATAAGTAAGGATTTGCTACTGATGTGGCTTGGGTCTGTGTCCCTGCCCCAATCTCATGTCAAATTGTAATCTCCAATGTTGGAGGTGGGACCTGGTGGGAGGTGACTAGATCTTGGGGGCAGACTTCCCCCTCGTGCTGCTCTTGTGATAGTGAGTACTCACAAGATTTGATTGTTTAAAAGTATGTGGCACCTCCCCTCTCTCTCTTCCTCTTGCTCTGGCCATGTAAGATGTGCCTGCTTCCCCTTTGCCTTCTGCCATCATTAAAAGTTTCCTGGCCAGGTGCACTGGCTCAAGCCTGTAATCCCAGCACTTTGGGAGGTCAAGGCGGGTGGATCACCTGAGGTCAGGAGTTCAAGACCAGCCTGACCGATATGGTGAAACCCCACCTCTACTAAAAATACAAAAATTAGCCAGGAGTGGTGGTGTGTGCCTGTAGTCCCAGCTACTTGGGAGACTGAGACAGGAGAATTGCGTGAACCTGGGTGGTGGAGGTTGCAGTGAGCCAAGATCGTGCCACTGCACTCCAGCCTGGGTGACAAGCAAGACTCCCTCTCAAAAAAAAAAAAAAAGTTTCCTGAGACCTCCCCAGCCATGCTTCCTATACAGCCTGTGGAATTATGAGCCAATTAAACTTCTTTCTTTATAAATTATCCAGTCTCGGGTATTTCCTTATAGCAGTGCAAGAGCAGACTAATACAACTACTGGCATTTTGCTGCTTTTTTTCTGGTTGTTTTGTAACTCTTCCCTTCCTTACTGTCTTCCTTCGTGATTAAGTGATTTTCTCTGGTAGTATGTTTTAATCCATTGCTTTTTGATTTTGGTGAATCTATTATAGGTTTTTGCATTATGGTTATCATGAAATCACAAAAAAAAAACTTACAGTTATAACAAGGTTCTTTCTTTTCTTTTTTTTTTTTTTTTGAAACAGAGTTTCGCCCTTGTTGCCCAGGCTGAAGTGCAGTGGCGCAATCTTGGCTCACTGCAACCTCCACCTCCCTGGTTCAAGTGATTCTCCTGCCTCAGGCTGCTGAGTAAGCTTGGATTACAGGTGTCCGCCACGACTTCCGGCTAATTTTTTATATTTTTAGTAGAGATGGGGTTTCACCATGTTGGCCAGGCTGGTCTCGAACTCCTGACCACAGGTGATCCACCTGCCTCAGCCTCCCAAAGTGCTAGGATTACAGGCATGAGCCACCATGCCTGGCCCAGTTCTTTCTTTTCTCTCTTTATTTTTTTCTTCTTTTTTTGAGACAGAGTCTCACTCTGTCACTCAGGCTGGAGTGAAGTGGTGTGATCTTGGCTCACTGCAACCTCCACCTCCTTGGTTCAAGCAATTCTCCTGCCTCAGCCTCCCCAGTAGCTGGGATTACAGGCACGCGCCAACACGCCCAGCTAATTTTTGTATTTTTAATAGAGACAGAGTTTCACCATGTTGGCCAGGCTGGCCTTGAACTCCTGACCTCAGGTGATCCACCCTCCCCTGCCTCCCAAAGTGCTAGGATTACAGGCATGAGCCACCACACCTAGCCCTTTATTTCTGAGACAGAGTCTCACTCTGTCCCCCAGGCTGGAATGCAGTGGTGCAATCTCAGCTCACTGCAACCTGTGCCTCCCAGGTCCAAACAATTCTCGTGCCTCAGCCTCCCAAAAAACTGGGATTATAGGCAAATGCCACCATGCTCAGCTAATTTTTTAATATTTTTAGTACAGAGGGGTTTCACCGTGTTGGCCAGGCTTGTCTCAAACTCCCTGCCTCAAGTGATCCACCCGCTTCCGCCTCCCAAAGTGCTGGGATTACAGGATAAACCACCACACCCAGCCTGGCATTTTTTTTTTTCATTCCACTCCCTCCTGATCTGTATGCTTTCCACTGAGAAATCTGTTGCCAGATGAACTGTAGCTACTTTATATGCTATTTGCTTCATTTATCTTGCTCCTTTCAAGATCCTCTCTTTGTCCATAACCTTTGGACAGTTTTACTGTTTTATTGTTATATGCCTGGGGGTGGTTTTATTTGAGTCAAATGTGTTTGGTGTTCTCTGGCCATAAATATCTCCTTCTCAAGTTTTGGAACATTTTCTGCTATTATTATAATTATTATTTTTGAGACCAAGTTTTGCTCTTGTTGCCCAGGCTGTAGTGCAATGGTGTGATCTCAGCTCACTGCAACCTCCGCCTCCTGGGTACAAGCGATTCTCCTGCCTCAGCCTCCCGAGTAGCTTGGATTACAGGCATGCACCACCACGCCCAGCTAATTTGATTACATTTTTAGTAGAGACAGGGTTTCACCATGTTGGCCAGGCTGGTCTCGAACTGCTGACCTCAGGTGATCCACCCACCTCCGCCTCCCAGAGTGCTGGGATTACAAGTGTCAGCCACCATCCCCAGCTACTGCTATTAATTTTTTGAATAAGCTTTCTACTCCTTGCTTTTGCTCTACTCCCTCCTGAGTACCAATTCTTAGATTTAATCTTTTGAGATAATATTTTATATCTTGTAGACCTTCATACCTTTTCTTTCTCCTCTGATTGTGCATTTTCAAACAGTCTATCTTTAAGCTCACTGATTCTTTCTTTTGCTGATCCCTTCTGCTGTTGAGAGCCTCTAATGAATTTTTTAGTTCAGCAAATATATTTCTCAGAGTTCCCAGATTTCTTTTTTTTTTTTTTTTTTAGATGGAGTCTCGCTCCATTGCGCAGGCTGGAATGCAGTGGCATGATCTCGGCTCACTGCAACCTCTGCCTCCTGGGTTCAAGCGATTCTCCTGCCTCAGCCTCCCGAGTAGCTGGGACTATAGGCACATGCCACCACGCCCAGCTAATTTTTTGTATTTTTAGTAGAGACGGGGTTTCACCATGTTAGCCAGGATGGTCTCGATCTCCTGACCTCGTGATCAGCCCTCCTCAGTCTCCCAAAGTGCTGGGATTACAGGCGTGAGCCACTGTGCCCGGCTGAGTTCCCAGATTTCTGTTTTATTTTATTTTGTTCTTCTTTTAGAGACAGAGTCTGACTCTGCCACCCATTCTGGAGTACAGTGGCACAATCATGGCTCACTGCAGCCTCGACTTCCAGGGCTCAAGTGATCTTCCCACCTCAGCCTCCAAAGTAGCTGGGTCTATAAGCGTATGCCAAGACACCAACTAAGTTTTTTTCGTTTTCTGTAGAGACAGAGTCTTACTATGTTGCCCAGACTGGTCTCAAACTCCTGGCCTCAAGCCATCCTCCCAGCTTGGCCTCCCAAAGTAGTGGGATTACAGGTATGAGCCACTGTGCCCATAATTTTTTTAATTATTTCGATCTCTGTTAAATTTATCTGATAAATTTCTGAATTGCCTGGGCTGTCTTGGAGATCACTCAGTTTTCTTAAAACTGCTATTTTGAATTCTTGGTCAGAGAGTTCACATATCACAGTATTGTGATATGTGATATGTGATAAGGGTTCACTTGATTCCTTGTTTTGTCCATTTGAAGAGGTCATGGTTCCATTTGCTACTGTGTCTTGTGGATGTAAATGTACATCTTTGTATTGAAGGATTAGTTATTTGTTCCAGTCTTCTCTGCTTTGCTTTTTTTTGGTTATTAGATATGTTTGCCTAGAGATTCTTTGTAATTTGCAATTTGCATGTTGATATTCTTTCTTTTTCCTTTCTTCCCACTACGTCATTGCTTCCTTTTTGGCACCAGATGGCACTTTAAGCCTCAGTTCTAGTAAACACTGAGCGTGCTGCCTGTTCCAAATGAAGTGGGGGGTGGGTCCCAAAGAGGATAGGGATATCCCAGTAGGATGGGAATGCTGGCTAGGGGTTCACACTTGGGACCTGGCTTTGTCTCTGGCTATCCTTCTTTGTCTCTGGCTATCCTCAGGGATATTTTTTCCTTCAGGCACTCTCAGTGCTTCCTATGAGTTGAGGCAGGGACAGATCTCTTACCAGAGAACTCAAAAAGGTAAAGAAGCTGGTTGTACACTTCCATCTTACTTTTTCTAATGTAAAAATCATGAGCTCAGGGGAATTTTTCTGCTCACTTGGTGCCAGGCAGATTGTGGAGAAGGATAAGCAGATATGGAAGAACAATTCTCTTACTGTCTGCTTTAAGTTTTTTTTACTTCTCTGTGGCCCTAGAAACTGTCTCCTCCTTATATTGAGATCTGGGATACTGGTGGTGATAGCTTCAGTGCTGTATATTTGGTTTTGGTATTCTGCAGGGGGAAGGAGAGCCAGTTTGCTTCTATGCTGCTATTTTGCACTAGAAAAGATACCTTTTTTTTTTTTTTTTGAGACGGAGTCTCGCTCTGTTGCCCAGGCTGGAGTGCAGCGGCGTGACCTCGGCTCACTGTAAGCTCCGCCTCCTGGGTTCACGCCATTCTCCTGCCTCAGCCTCCGGAGTAGCTGGGACTACAGGCGCCCGCCACCATGCCCGGCTAATTTTTTGTATTTTTAATAGAGACAGGGTTTCACCGTGGTCTCGATCTCCTGACCTCGTGATCCGCCCACCTCGGTCTCCCAAAGTGCTGGGATTACAGGCGTGAGCCACCACGCCCAGCCCGTTTTTTTTTTTTTTTTGGAGAGAGAGATGGGGATCTCACCTTTGTTTTGTTGCCCAGGCTGGAGTGCAGTGGTGGTCACAGCCCACTGCAGTCTTGAATTCTTGAGCTCAAGCCATCCTCTCACCTCAGCCTATCGAGTAGCTGGGTCTACACGCATACATCACTATACTCAGCTAATTTTTTATTTTTTTATTTTTTGTAGAGATGAGGTATCACTATGTTGCCTAGGCTGGTCTCAAACTCCTAGGCTCAAGTGATCGCCTTAGCCTCCCATAGCACTGGGATTACAGGCATGAGTCACTGTGCCCAACTTTAAAAGTATAAAAGCTACATTTAATATAACTATATATAATCAAAATTAATTGTATAAAGATTAGTCACACAGCACCAAGAATCTAAGTACAGAACTTTATCAGAATTCCTGAGTACCTCAAAAGTCTGTTTCTGGGCTGGGCACAGTGGCTCACGCATGTAATCCCAGCACTTTGGGAGGCCGAGGTGGGCAGATCACTTGAGGTCAGGAGTTCAAGACCAACCTGGCCAACATGGTGTGACCCTGTCTCTACTAAAAATATAAAAATAAGGCCGGGCGTGGTAGCTCACAGCTGTAATCCCAGCACTTTGGGAGGCCAACGCAAGTGGATCACAAGGTCAGGAGTTCAAGATCAGCCTGGCCAAGATGGTGAAACCCTGTCTGTACTAAAACTACAAAAATTAGCCGGGTGTGGTGGCAGGCACCTGTAATCCCAGCCACTTGGAGGCTGAGGCAGAAGAATCACTTGAACCTGGGCAGCAGAGGTTGCAGCGAGCCAAGATTGCACCACTATACTCCAGCTTGTACGACAGAGTGAGACTTCATCTCAACAAAACAAAACAAAACTATATCTATCTATCTATCTATCTATCTAGATCTAGATCTAGATCTAGATACACACAAAAACTAGCCAGGCATGGTGGTGGCCGCTTGTAATCCCAGCTACCTGGGAGGCTGAGGCAGGAGACTCGCTTGAACCCACGGGGCGGAGGTTGCAGTGAGGCGAGATTGTGCCACTGCACTCCAGCCTGGGCAACAGAGTAAGACTCTGACTTCAAAAAAAAAAAAGTCTGTTTCTAATTTAAACAAAATATGTATGTGTGTGTGTGTGTGTGTGTGTGTCCTTCATCCATTACCTTTGGCAATCAAGGCAAAGTGTGGTCATGCAGGCAGGACAATTCAAGACAGCATCACTATTTGGAACAGGCTGTTGTTGACGTGATCTCTGTGGTCCCAAACCATGGTAACTAGAACAGAAGAAGAAAGTGGGGAGAAAAACATATTAAAACCAGATCTTGGTTTCTAGTGTCATTTTCCAATAAAAAGAACCAGTACTATTCAGAGAAATGGCTAATTCTAGGAATAAGGAACACAAGATGAACCTGGAGCATCTTTTAGTGCCAGAAAAGAAGGAAGTAATCAAGAAAACAAAAACAAAACAGTGAGGTGGTTATGACAAAGGGAAACAGGAGCCAACTGAACAAGTCACCAACTGCCAAAGCTGAAACTGAGCAACAAAATAAAGTAGGACTGGATTACAACCCAAAGTATAAATACCCACGAATCCACGCTAATATAAATGTACTGAATAAATAAATAAATGGAGGAGAACAGACAAATCCCCACACAGAATTCTAAATAATCTATAAAGATGCTCTTCCCTCACAGTGGTGGAGTATAACTCCCTAGTCCTTAAGTCTGGGTTGGACACAGTGACTTCCTTCCAAAGAGTACGGTATGGTAAGGCGGGGTAAAAGACTAACTTTACAGTAGAGAAAGTTAACACTGGTCAGCAAGGTGATCGAGGTCAATACCAACACACAAAACTCAGGTTGGTAGTATGTACTCTTGATATAATGTGAGGAAAATGGCTCTCTACTTCTATGTTCTTACTTATAAAAATCCATAATCCCATCCTAATTATGAGAAAAAACAACAGACAAATTCCAACAGAGGGGCCTCCTACATAGACCTGATTAGTGCTCCTCAAAGTAATTAAGGGCACTGAAAACAAGGAAAGTCTAAGAAACTGACAGAGTCAAGAAGAGCCCAGGGAGACATGACAACTAAAAGTGATGTACTATCCTACACGGGGTCCTCAAACAGAAAAAGAACAGTACATAAAAACTAAGGAAATGTTTTAAAATTATGGACTTTGATTAATAATAATGTATCAAGGCCGGGCTCGGTGGCTCACGCCTGTAATCCCAGCACTTTGGGAGGCCGAGGCGGGCGGATCACGAAGTCAAGAGATCAAGACCATCCTGGCCAACATGGTGAAACCCCATCTCTACTAAAAAAATACAAAAATTAGCTGGGCGTGGTGGCACATGCCTGTAGTCCCAGCTACTCAGGAGGTTGAGGCAGGAGAATCGGTTGAACCCAGGAGACGGAGCTTGCAGTGAGCCGAGATCACGCCACTGCACTCCAGCCTGGGCGACAGAGCGAGACTCTGTCTCCAAAAAAATAAAAAATAAAAAAAATAATAATGTATCAATATTAGTCCATTAATTGTGACAAGTGTACCAAAAATAAAAGTCCATGAATTTTTTAAAAACAGTAAAGCTACATTAAAAAACAAGCACACAGGCTGGGCATGGTGGCTCACGCCTGTAATCCCAGCACTTTGGGAGGCTGAGGTGGGTGGATCACAAGGTCAGGAGTTCAAGACCAGCCTGGCTAACATGGTGAAACCCCGTCTCTACTAAAAATACAAAAATTAGCTAGGCATGGTGGCGGGTACCTATAATCTCAGCTACTTGGGAGGCTGAGGCAGAGAACTGCTTGAACCCAGGAGGTGGAGGTCACAGTGAGCCGAAATTGCGATACTGCACTCCAGCCTGGGCAACAGAGCGAGACTCTGTCCCAAAAAAACAAAAACAAAAACAAGCATAGAGCCAGGCTGGAATTACACCTGTAATCCCAGGCCAAGGTGGGCAGATCACTTGAGCCTAGGAGTTTGAGACCAGCCTGGGCAACATGGTGAAACCCTGTCTCTATAAGAAAATAAAAAAAAAAATGAAAATAAAAATAAACAAGCATAAACCGGGCATGGTGGCTCACACCTTTAATCCCAGCACTTAAGGAGGCCAAGGTAGGAGGGGATTGCTTGAGCCCAGGAGTTTAAGATCAGCCTGGGCAACATAGCAAGACCTTGTGTCTATTAAAAATTAAATTAGAAACAAAAAAAACAAGCATGGACTCAGGAGGCTGAGGCAGGGGGATCATTTGAGCCCAGGAGTTCAGGGCTACATTGAGGTATGATAGCATCAGTGCACTACAGTCTGGGCAACACAGCAAGACCCTGTCTTTAAATTAAAAAAAAAATGACCGGGTGCGGTGGCTCATGCCTGTAACCCCAACACTTTGGGAGGCCGAGGCAGGTGGATCATCTGAGGTCAGGAGTTCGAGACCAGCCTGACCAACATGGAGAAACCCCATCTCTACTAAAAATACAAAATTAGCCAGGTGCAGTGGCACATGCCTGTAATCCCAGCTACTCAGGAGGCTGAGACAGAAGAATCGCTTGAACCTGGGAGGAGGAGGTTGCGGTGAGCCAAGATCACATTTGCACTCCAGCCTGGGCAACAAGAGCAAAACTCCGTCTCAAAAAAAAAAAAAAAAAAATGGCCTGGCACAATGGCTCACACCTGTAATGCCAGCACAGGAGGTGAAGACAGGAGGATCACCTGGGGCCAGGAGTTCAAGATCACCTTGGGCAACACAGCTAGACCTCTCTATTAAAAAAATTTTTTTAATTAGCCAGGTGGTGTGTGCCTATAGTCCCAGCTACTCAGAAGGCTGAGGTGGGAGGAGTGCTTGAACCCGGGAGGCGGTGTGTGCCTACAGTCACAGCTACTCAGGAAGCTGAACCAGGAGGAGTGCTTGAGCCCAGAAGTTTGAGGATACTGTGAGCTATAACTGCACCACTGCACTCCAGCCCAGGCATCTCTTAAAAAAAGGTGGGGGCAGAGGGTGTGGAAACAACACAAACATCCATCCCTCAGTGGATGAAAGGATAAACAAATTGTGGTATACACATACAATGGGATACTATTCAGTCATAAAAAGTAGAGAAGTACTGACATGTGCTAAAATGTAGATGAACTTCAAAAGCACTATGCCCAGTGAAAGAAGCCAGATATAAAAGGTCACATACTGTATAATATCCCATTCATAAGAAATATCTAAAATAAGCAAATCCACAGAGACAGTGCACAGATCAGTGGCTGCCAAGGGGCTGAGGGGAAGGGTAGGGAAACTACCTAACAGTACAGCGTTTCCTTTTGGGATGATGAAAATGGTTGAAACTACATAAAAGTGGTGGCTGTGCAACATTGTGAATGGTATTAAATGCCACTAAATTGTTCACTTTTAAAGTGGGTACTTTTGTTATGTGAATTTTATCTCAAAAAAAATTTTTAACTGCTCCTTGCAGAGCAGGGCTACTCCATAAGCAGTGTACCTAGAGTAGCCTCATCTCAATTTTTTTTTTTTTTTTGAGACAGTCTCATTCAGTCGACCAGGCTGGAGTACAGTGGTACAATATCAGCTCACTGCAACCTCCACCTCCTGGGATCAAGCGATTCTTGTGCCTCCAGAGTAGCTGTGATTACAGGCACACACCACCATGCCAAGGTAATTTTTGTATTTTTAGTAGAGATGGGGTTTCGCCATGTTGGCCAGGCTGGTCTTGAACTCCTGACTTCAAGTGATCCGCCCGCCTTGGCCTCCCAAAGTGCTGGGATTACAGGTGTGAGCCATCATGCCCAGCCTCATCTCAATTTTTAAAAATCAAATTTGTAAGTAGTTAAAAAGAACAATTTGCTAAATCCACTCTTCATCCACAAAACCCTTTTTTTTTTTTTTTTTTTTTTTTGAGATAGGGTCTCATTCTGTCGTCCAGGCTGGAGTGGAGTGGCGTGATCTCAGCTCACTGCAACCTCCACCTCCCAGGTTTGGGCAATTCTCCCGCCTCAGCCTCCTGAGTAGCTGGAATTACAGGTGTGCGCCACTATGGCCCCACTAATTTTTGTATTAGTAGAGACAGAGTTTCACTATGTTCGCCAGGCTGGTCTCAAACTCCCGACCTCAGGTGATCCACCTGCCTCGGCCTCCCAAAGTTGCTGGGATTACAGGTATAAGCCACCACCCTGGCCCATCCACATAAACTCTTAATCTCAAAGTAATTTAAAACAGCATCTGAAAAAAAAAGTCAGTTTTTCTTGAGGGAGAGATTGACTAACGCAGCCTAAATTCAACAAGTTTAAAAAAAAACAAAAAAACAATTGTCGGGCTGGATGCAGTGGCTCAAGCCTGTAATCCCAGCACTTTGGGAGGCCGAGACAGGTGAATCACGAGGTCAGGGGTTCGAGACCAGCCTGGCCAACATGGTGAAACCCGGTCTCTACTAAAAATACAAAAAATTAGCTGTGTGTGGTGGCAGGCGCCTGTAATCCCAACTACTCGGGAAGCTGAGGCAGGAGAATCTCTTGAACGCAGGAGGCGGAGGTTGCAGTGAGCCAAGATCGCGCCACTGCACTCCAGCCCAGGCGACAGTGCAAGACTCTGTCTCAAAAATAATAATAAAAATTTAAAAAATTTTAAAAAAAAGTCTCACTAAAATTTGCTGGTTATTTTCAAAATAAACTACTGAGCAGTTTTTTCCTCTAACTTTTTTGTTTGTGTGTGTGTGTTTGTGTAAACATATACACATATATTCAAAATGTGAATGTAGTAAAAATCATCTTTCAATCTTTTTTTCTAAAGATTCTAAATATTAACTTTAAGTTCTTACCCCCTTCTCTGTGCATCAACCCAGGCCTGATCTCTGTTATCTTTTTCAGGATCATACAGTAATTCGTCATTTGTTGGAATCTTGTGTTGTTTCTTCTTTTTTTTCTTGGTCACCTGTACTAATTTTGAAAATATTAGGATATGGCTAAGAATCATGTGTCAAGTTCACACTTCTTTAAATGAAGAGTCTCATTTCCCAAGCTACACATTTATTTATATTTTCCCTAAAAAGTTAAAAAAGGGACGGGCGCAGTGGCTCACACCTGTAATCCTAGCACTTTGGGAGGCCAAGGTGGGTGGATCACCTGACGTCAGGAGATCGAGACCAGCCTGGACAACATGGCGAAACCCCGTCTCTACTAAAAATACAAAATTAGGGCCAGGTGCGGTGGCTCACGCCTGTAATCCCAGCACTTTGGGAGACCAAGGTGGGCAGATCACCTGAGGTCAGGAGTTCGAGACCAGCCTGGCCAACATGGTGAAACCGCCTCTCTACTAAAAATATAAAAATTAGCTGGGCATGGTAGTAGGCACCTGTAATCCCAGCTACTTGGGGGCCTGAGGCAGAAAAACTGCTTGAACCCAGGAGGCAGAGGTTGCAGTGAGCCGAAATCGTGCCACTGCACTCCAGCCTGGGTGATGAGAGCGAGACTCCGTTTCAAAGAAAAAGAAAATAATAAAATAAAATACAAAATTAGCCAGGCGTGGTGGCAGGCACCTACAATCCCAGCTACCTGGGAGGCTGAGGCAGGAGAATCACTTGAACCCAGGCGGTGGAGGGTGTGGTGAGCCGAGATCACGCCATTGCACTCCAGCCTGGGCAACAAGAGCAAAACTCCGTCTCAAAAAAAAAAAGTTAAAAAAAACCCTTCATCTAAACAAGTGCTTGTCCAGGTAGGGTGCGGTAGCTCACAACCTATAATCCTAGAGCTTTGAGGGGCTGAGACAAGAGGATCGCTTGAGGCCAGGAGTTCAAGACCAGCCTGGCCAGCATAATGAGACCCCATCTCTACAAAAATAAAAATTAAAAATTAGCCAGGCACACCTGTAGTCCTAGCTACTAGGGAAGCTGAGCTGGGAGGATGGCTTGAGCCTAGGAGTCTGAGGATGTAGTGAGCTATAATTGCACCACTGCACTGCTGGAGACTGGGTAAGAGTGAGACCTATCTCTAAAAAAGTAAAAAATTTAACAAAAATTTAAAAAATAAAGTTCTTCTCCAACTAATAAGGCATTAAAATGACAGAGGAGGCAAAAATTGTTTATTTACCCAAAACTGGTATCTCAAGGACTAAGTTCAAACAATGAGAATTCAGAGACTCAAAAGAGCCACTCAAAACAAGCCAAGAATAGAAATTATTTATGATGTATGAATATATATATAAAATGCTACTAAAATTAGAACAAAAATATTTCAAAAGTGAATTAAAAAAAACAGTATGAGGTCAGATACAGTGGCTCACATCTGTAATACCAGCACTTTGGGAGGATTGCTTGAAGCCAGGAATTTGACACCAGCCTAAGCAACAAAGCAAGACCCAATCTTTACCAAAAAAAAAAAAAAAAAAAAAAGAAAGAAAGAAAGGAAGAGGAAAAAAACAAAAAAAAAGAGAAAAAAAAAAACTATGGCCATCTACATACACTAGACTTTTTGAATGTATTCTAGCAGGCAGGGAGTGGTGGCTCATGCCTGTAATCCCAGAACTTTGGGAGGCCAAAGTGGGCAGACAACCTGAGATCAGGAGTTTCAAACCAGCATGACCAACATGGCGAAATCCTGTCTCTTCTAAAAATACAAAAAGTAACCGGGTATGGTAGCTTGTGCCTGTAGTCCCAACTACCAGGAAGGCTGAGGCACCAGAATCGCTTGAACCCAGGAGGCAGAGGCTACAGTGAGCCAAGACTGTGTCACCGCACTCCAGCCTGGGTGACAGAGTGGGACTCTGCCTAAAAAATAAATAAACAAGGCTGGGCGCGGTGGCTCATGCCTGTAATCCCAGCATTTTGGAAGCCTGAGGCGGGCGGATCACGAGGTCAGGAGATCGAGACCATCCTGGCTAACACAGTGAAACCCCATCTCTACTAAGAATGCAAAAATTTAGCCGGGCGTGGTGACGGGCACCTGTAGTCCCAGCTACTCAGCAGGCTGAGGCAGGAGAATGGTGTGAACCCAGGAGGCAGAGCTTGCAGTGAGCTGAGATGACGCCACTGCACTCCAGCCTGGGCGATAGAGCGAGACTTTGTCTCAAAATAAATAAATAAATAAACAAACACATACATTCTAACAGGTCAATATTTAAGTAACAATGCATAAAAGTATAATATTGTTCTTTACCACAGAAATTTGCTATTTGAATATTTCATTGTAATTACTGAAATAATTAGTTTTAGCTCTTGTTATGTTCAACTTTGCTCAAATTTTATAAAAATTCAATTTTCAGGCCGGGCACAGTAGCTCACGCCTGTAATCCCAACACTTTGGGAGGCCGAGGTGGGTGGATCACAAGGTCAGGAGATCAAGACCATCCTGGCTAACACAGTGAAACCCCTTCTCTACTAAAAATACAAAAAATTAGCCGGGTGTGGTGGCGGGCGCCTGTAGTCCCAGCTACTCGGGAGGCTGAGGCAGGAGGATGGCGTGAACCCAGGAGGCAGAGCTTGCAGTGAGCTGAGATTGCGCCACTGCACTCCAGCCTGGGTGACAGAGCGAGACTCCGTCTCAAAAAAAAAAAAAAAGAAAGAAAGAAAGAAAGAAAAATTCAATTTTGAACATAGAGGCTGATTAAAAATCAACGCATTAAGAAAAATTCTGCAGGAGGAGGCCAGGCCGCGGTGGCTCACACCAGTAATCCCGGCACTTTGGGAGGCTGAGGCGGGTGGATCACCTGAGGTCAGGAGTTCAAGACCAGCCTGGCTAACATGGTGAAACCCCGTTTCTCCTAAAAAAACAAAAAATTAGCCAGGCATGGCGACAGGCGTCTGTAAACCCAGCTACTCAAGAGGCTGAGGCAGGAAAATTGCTTGAACCCGGGAGGCACAGGTTGCAGTGAACCAAGATGGTGGTGCCATCGCACTCCAGCTTGGGCAACAAGAGCGAAACTCCATCTCAAAAAAAAAAAAATTCTGCAGGAGGATTAAAACATAGAAACTATTTTCAGGCATGAAAACAAATATTGCTACTATAGGAAACCTAAAGGAAGAGGGGGGAAAAGCCCTGAGGAGGGGAGGTATTGAGTTGGGACACACTCTCTCTCACTCCCTAGGTACATCCAAGCAGCACCACTGTTGGTGCCATGTCCTCACATGCCTGTGTCCCCAGCTTTTTTTTTTTTTTTTTTGAGACGGAGTCTCACTCTGTTGCCCAGGCTGGAGTGCAATGATGCGATCTCAGCTCACTGCAACCTCTACCTCCCTGGTTCAAGCAACTTCCCTGTCTCATCCTCCTGAGTAGCCGGGATTACAGGTGCATGGCACCAAGCCTGGCTAATTTTTTTGTATTTTTAATAGACATGGGGTTTCACCATGTTGGCAAGACTGGTCTAGAACTCCTGACCTCAGGCAATCTGCCCACCTCTGCCTCCCAAAGTGCTGGGATTACAAGCGTGAGCCACCATGCCCAGCCCCCAGTTTTTCTTATTAATCAATCCTGCTTTTGTTTTCACATCAATGGCATCCACTTTATTTATTTATTTATTTATTTGAGACAGTCTCACTCTGTCGCCCAGGCTGGAGTGCAATGGTGCAATCTCAGCTCACTGCAACCTCCGCCTCCTGGGTTCAACTGATTCTCTTGCCTCAGCCTCCCAAGTAGCTGGGACTACAGGCGTGCACCACCATGCCCGGCTTATTTTTGTATTTTTAGTACAGATGGGGTTTCACCAAGTTGGTCAGGCTGGTCTTAAACTCCCAACCTCAGGTGATCTGCCTGCATCAGCCTCCCAAAGTGCTGCCATTACAGGTGTGAGCCACCATGCCTAGCTGTAATTTCTTAAAAGACCAAACTCAGAGGGAAATCCTAACATCTAATAATTGTTAGGTAAACCTTTTTTATAAAATATAACTGCTAAACCTGGTAAATAGGTTACTTACCTGCTCTGTCTTCATCCTCGGAATCAGAATCAAAATATATATCATCGTAGTACCTTGTCGGAGCTGTTGCAACTTTTCCATTTCCTGAGGAAGATCCTATTCAAACCAGAAGTAAAGTTTACAGACTAAATCATACATAATTCACAAGGCAAAAAACTCCATATATTCTTCCATCACCTCAAAACAATATCAACTCATTCACAAACTCATTTGATGGTGAAATATTTTCACATCAGTGAATTACTCGATGTCTATGCCCTATACAGTTACAGAGAACTGGCCCTCCTTAAAATGTTCCAAATCTTGAGAAAATTCTTCTCTCTCCCTTCCCACAAATCTCATTAAATAAAATAGCGATATTTTCAGGTTGCCAGCACACATATCTCTACCTTTCAGTCATACAGTATACCATGCAGAACATAGAACAAACATTTTGTTCTAAGAAACATTAGGAGAAAAAGGGTAAGAACCCTATAGGAAGGCAGGAGGAATGAGTCAAGGACACATTCTTCTCCTCAGTTGTGCCCAGGACCATGACATTACCTATACTTATGTCATCATATGCCCATATCCCTAATTCCTCTTAGTTAGCATCTGCTTTAGTTTTTATTATATTTTTATATGCTTTCAGATTTTTCCAGCTAATACATAGCATATCAGGGTGGAAATCAATGCTGAAGAGTCCTACTTCCTTTTTTTTTTTTTTTGAGACTGAGTCTCACTCTGTTGCCCAGGCTGGAGTGCAATAGCACAATCTCGGCTCACTGCAACCTCTGCCACCTGGGTTCAGGTGATTCCCCTGCCTGACCTTCCCGAGTAGCTGGAATTATAGGCAACTGCCGTCACTCCCAGCTAATTTTTTGTGTTTTTAGTAGAGACAGGGTTTCACCATGTTGGCCAGGCTGGTCTTGAGCTCCTGACCTCATGATCCACCCACCTCAGCCTCCCAAAGTGCTGGGATTACAGGCGTGAGCCACTGCACCCGGCAGAAGAGTCCTACTTTCACAAACCAGTTTTCAGGTCAGGTACATTTTACATAAAGACCAAGTATCAAAATGAACTATGTTTCATTACTCACTAAAGTGAAACAGAAATTTGTGATGATACATAATTAAATCTGCCACATTTTAGTGCCATCTAACCCTAAAAATACTTTTGTAAGTTTGTGTGTCTTTTTTTTTTAACTCGAGTAAAAACTGCAAAATAAAATTATGCAAGTAAACAGTATTAACTAATCTCTTTCCAAGAACACAAGACAGTCATCAAACAAACTCCAAGCCAGGCACAATAGTTTATACCTATAATCCCAGCACTTTGGGAGGCCAATGCAGGAAGATCACTTGAGCCAGGAGTTTAAGACCAGCCTGGGCAACATAGTGAGACCCTGTCTCCACAAATTTTTTTTTTTTTTTTTGAGACGGAGTCTAGCTCTGTCACCCAGGCTGGAGTGCAATGGCACAATCTCGGCTCACTGCAACCTCTGCCTCCCGGGTTTAAGCGATTCTCCTGCCTGGCCTCCTGAGTAGCTCGGACTGCAGGCACGTGCCACCAAGCCCAGCTAATTTTTGTATTTTTAGTAGAGATGGGGTTTCACTGTATTGGCCAGGCTGGTCTCAAACTCCTGACCTCGTGATCCACTGCCTCGGCCTCCCAAAGTGCTGGGATTACAAGCATGAGCCACCACGCCTGGCCTTTTTTTTTTTTGAGACGGAGTCTCACTCTGTTGCCCTGGCTGGGGTGCAGTGCCGCGATCTCAGCTCACTGCAACCTCCGCCTTCCGGGTTCAAGCAATTCTCCTGCCTCGGCCTCCCAAGTAGCTGGGACTGCAGGCACGTGCCACCACACCCAACTAATTTTTGTATTTTTAGTAGAGACGGGGTTTCGCCATGGTGGCCAGACTGGTCTCGAACTCCTGACCTCAGGTGATCCACCCACCTCGGCCTCCCAAAGTGCTAGGATTACAGGTGTGAGCCACTGCACCCGGTCGCTACAGATTTTTTTTTTTTTTAGATGGAGTCTCGCTCTGTCGCTCAGGCTGGAGTGCAGTGGCGTGATCTCAGCTCACTGCAAGCTCCGTCTCCTGGGTTCATGCCATTCTCCTGCCTCAGCCTCCCGAGTAGCTGGGACTACAGGCGCCTGCCACCACGCCCGGCTAATTTTTTGTATTTTTAGTAGACACAGGGTTTCACCGTGTTAGCCAGGATGGTCTCAATCTCCTGACCTCGTGATCCGCCCGCCTCGGCCTCCCAAAGTGCTAGGATTACAGTCGTGAGCCACCGTGCCCGGCCCAAATTTTTTTTTTAATTATCTGGGCACAGTGGTACATGCCTGTAATCTCAGTTATTCAAGAAACGGAGGTGGGAAGATCATTTGAGCCCAGGAGTTTTAGGCTACAGTGAGCTATGATCATGCCACTGCACTCCAGCCTGGGTAACAGAATGAGACATTGAATCTAAAGTAATAAATAAATAACTTTTTTAAATGAGAAAAGGAAGACTCTAGCTCAGACTGCCAAATACATTCACTCCTTCATTCAATAAATATTTATTGAGCACCTACTGAAAGTGCTGGGAACATAGAAGAGCACAAATAAGGTTCCTGCCCTTACAGAGCTTACAAAAATATATATAAAATTGAACCAAAAGTTTACCAGTTCCCAGAGAGGATAACTTGTCCTCCATTGTTTTCATGGTAGAATTTAATTCAGCTTCCATCTCCTTTTCAAATTCATCTTCACTAGATGATTCACTTTCTCCGGTAAGACATTCTCTGATGAGTTTTCGTTTTTGGTCAGGAGTTCCATGTAAAAGCACATCCACTTCATCCTCAGAGCTAGCATACATTTAAATCAAAAAGAATATGAATATTTAAAAATTAAAATAATTTTAAACTCCCAGCATCTCACTGTCCAACAACAATTTTAAGTATTACATGGTTACATTTGATGTACTTATACATTACATATAGCTATTCTCACTTAATAAGCCAGTTCTGCATATTTCCAATCTTCTTTAATTTTTTTTTTTTTTTTTTTTTTTTGAGATGGCATCTCAGTCTGTGACCCAACCTGGAGTGCAGTGGCATGATCTCAGCTCACTGCAACCTCCACCTCCCCAGTTCAAGCAATCCTCCCACCTCGGGTTCCCCAGTAGCTGGAACTACAGGCACATACCACCATTCCCAGCTGTTTTTTTGTTTTGTTTTGTTTTGTTTAATTTTTGTCGAAATGGGGTTTCGCCATGTTGCCCAGGATGGTTTTTTTGTTTGTTTGTTTGTTTGTTTCTTTTGAAACAGAGTCTCGCTCTTGTCGCCCAGGCTGTAGTACAGTGGCATGATTTCTGCTCACCGCAACCTCCACCTCCTGGGCTCAAGCGATTCTCCTGCCTCAGTCTCCCAAGTAGCTGGGATTACAGGATTCAGAATCCGTCTCAAAAAATACATAGATAGATATATAGATAGATAGATATCCTGGTTGTGATACTGCACTATAGTTTTGTAGTATGTTAACACTGGAGGAAACTGGGGAAAGAGTACACAGGATCTCTCTGTATTATTTCTTTTTTTTTTATTATTTTTTATTTTTTGAGATGGGGGTCTCCCTGTGTTGCCCAGGCTGGAGTGCAATGGTGCCATCTTGGCTCACTGAAACTTCCGCCTCCCAGGCTCAAGCCAACCAACCGCCTCACCCTCCTGAGTAGCTGGGACCACAGATATGCACCACCATACCAGCTAATTTTTTGTATTTTCAGTAAAGACATGATTTCATCATGTTGCTCAGGCTGGTCTTGAACTCTTGAGCTCAAGTGATTCTCCTGCCTTGGCCTTCCAAAGTGCTGGGATTACAGATGTGAGCCACTGCACCAGACCTGTATTATTTCTTATAACTGAATGTGAATCTACGAAAACTTCAAAATAAAATGTTTAATTTTTAAAAACTGAATCACAAAGTGAGAGCTATTTTTTCTACAAATTTTCTTCAATCCTTGTCATTATCTCAACCAAAGTCTCAGTTTTCAGCACTGCTGAGAAAGGCAGTCATACATCATGGACCCTAGATATGCAAGTTAAGTATGCCAAGAATGCAAGGTTCTGACCACTGTTCACTCCAGCCATTTCTCAGGATTGTGTTTGCAGCGAACAACAACCTTGAGGAATGAGATAATGTCTCCTTCCAGGACAAAGAGCAGATGTATTTACTGTCTTCTATGAAAGAGGTGGATTCTCCAAGCTCAAGTAGTCTTTAGCCACGATGCCAACCCACTGAATGTGCAGCATTCTTCTAGGACCCTCAGCGTAATACCTGTAGGGTTGACAAGCAAGAGCAAGCCACACAAACATGATGCTCATGCTGCTTGCTGTGCTATGTGTAGTCTTATCTTTGACCCAGGAGTCTCATGTCTTCGGTCAGCTACCGTGAAACAGTTAACAGGCTACAATGTATTAGTTTATAAACAGTGTAAAATTAAATACTGACAGACACCTCTCTAACACTAATCTCCCTTTTTAAAATAATAACCATTTGGCTCAGAGCCTACAACAGGCAATACTGTCTGATAACATTGTTTTGTTTTTATAATATTTATCTTTACAGTTACCTTACCAGTGGCAACTGTCACAGAATTATAAAGCTTCCTTAAAAAAATGATACAACAGTCCTGGCTCCGTGGCTCAGGCCTGTAATCCTAGCACTTTGGGAGCCCGACGCAGGCAGATTGCCTAAGGTCAGGAGTTCAAGACCAGCCTGGCCAACGTGGTGAAAACCCATCTCTACGAAAAATACAAAAAATAAGCCAGGTGTGGTAGCGCATGCCTGTAATCCCAGCTACCCAGGAGGCTGAGGCAGGAGAATTGCTGGAACCCAGGAGGTGGAGGCTACAGTGAGCCAAGATTGCACCAGTGCACTCCAGCCTGGCTGACAGAGTGAGACTCTGTCTCAAAATAAATAAATAAATAAATAAATAATTGAGACATACATATATACATACCTCCTTTCACAGACAGGACCCATTAACTGAAACTCTTTTTCACAGGGAATCCTGGTATCTATCCTCACTCCCAACAAAAGAAATCTTAACAGCAGTCTGATTTCCCATGCATCCAATGTCTCCCCATGACAATATGAGGAAACATTGTTCTTTTGATTTTTTTTTTTTTTAAGAAATGAGGTCTCACTATGTTGCCCAGGCTGTTCCTTTACTACCAGGCTTAAGAGATTCTCTCGCCTCAGACTCCCAAAGTCCTGGGATTACAGGCATGGGCCACCACACCCAGCCAAAGTTGTTAATGAAAGCATGGCTTTACAGAAAGCTTCTTTAGGCAGAATGAATGTTTTAAAGTTTAAGAATAGGATCTGCTGACAGCTTAAGAAATAACTAAATTTGTGTGGAAATATCTCGGCAAAACAGCTTCAAGTTTCCCTGGTAGAATAAAGCCCACCCTTCTGGAAATCCCACGAACCTTCTTCTGTGCCTATCTCAGGTCAATATTCTCTACAATGCTCTGCCAAGAAATATATACTTTATCTTATTACCCTTATTATACTATAAGCCTCTGGAAGACAAGGACCTTATGATTTATCTCTGTAGCTCAGAGCGAGCATACAACAGTCCCTGTCAAAAAATAAAAATAAAAAAGGCTGTTCAATATTCCCTTATTTCTGTTTATGGCAGTTTAGTCTTCAAGATGGACACTTCACATTAAGTCCTGTGAGCCTCACAACAAACATAGTGTGTTATACTATGTTATATAGGTTATACAATTATGTTATTATAGTTCAATTTTACAGGTGAGTAATCGAGGATAACTGACTTGCCTTCCGTCACTCTGCTACTAAGGTGTAGAGACAGGTTTCGATCTCATTGCTTTTGAAGATTTACACGCGGTCCCCCGTGATTCCGGAATATCCCTCTTCCTAC
This sequence comes from Homo sapiens, assembly GCF_000001405.40. Taxonomy (NCBI): domain Eukaryota; kingdom Metazoa; phylum Chordata; class Mammalia; order Primates; family Hominidae; genus Homo; species Homo sapiens. The sequence goes on from NC_000014.9 coordinate 34,539,359, forward strand.
AGGCGACATCGGCACCGCCTCCCCCCGGGACTGCGCGACCCCATCAGGAAAGCCCTTTGGCTTCGCACAAGTAACAGGCACGACAGGCTCCCGAGCCGCTAGGGTCTGCGTAGGCTCGGCAGGCGCAACGAATGGAGGCGACCAAAGCCAGGCCTCGACCCAAATCCTCGGGGGCCAGGGTGGGGCGGGAGCCCACCTGCTCAAAGCCGGCTCCTCGTCGCTAGGCTCTTCAACCGCGTAGGGGTCGTAGTCATCCGGAAGCCGGTTCATGGTGGCCTGCAGCGGCCTACACCGTCCACAAGCAATTTGCAGCGTCTCTGTTTACACTGCAAGTCCAGTCCCTAAAGCGCCCCTGACGCCACTTCCGCCTGAACGTCCCAGTCCCCCTTGCGCGCCCGCGCAGACCGACAGCACCGAGGGAGGCAGGTAGAAGGCGGGGAAGGGGCGGAGCAGGAGCGAAAAGGGGCGGGGACGGGACGGGGGCGGGTCTTAATCCCACCATTTTTGTTTTGTTTTGTTTTTTGGAGACGGAGTTTCGCTCTTGTTGCCCAGGCTGGAGTGCAATGGCGCGATCTCGGCTCACCGCAACCTCCGCCTCCCAGGTTCAAGCAATTCTCCTACCGCAGCCTCCCGAGTAGCTGGGATTACAGGCATACACCACCACGCCCGGCTAATTTTGTATTTTTAGTAGAGACGGGGGTTTCTCCATGTTGAGGCTGGTCTCGAACTCCGGACCTCAGGTGATCCGCCCACCTCGACCTTCCAAAATGCTGGGATTACAGGCGTGAGCCACCGCTCCCGGCCAATCCCACCATTTTCTTCCGCAGCTTCTGCTTACAGGAAAATAGCAGCTACCTTGTCACCAAAAATAATAATGATGGGCACCCTCATAAGTGACAGTCTCTGAGGTGAACATGCTACATGCAGCGTCTCATCACCTACGAAGCAGGAATCTAGACGCTGAGGGACACACAGCCCGAAATCCAATAAGTCCTCAGACACCAGCACCCACATCCCTCCAACCTCGCCTCTAACCCTTATGCCTTCCACACCATGAGGCTCTCAACCTCTCCTTCACACTGTTCACTCCTCAGTCTGACTGCGGCCTCAACAATCTACGAAAAGTTATCTTTTCTCGTCATCTTCCCAGTCCCCACTTTTGCTCAGCCCTCAACTGATCCCACTCGATACCTGAGGAGAACAGGCAGATGACAGCCACTTGAGCTCCATCGGGAGACTGTTTCTAACCCTGTTTCTGAACCAGGAACTCGGGTTCCTGCCTCCTACCGAGACACTGTGGCACTCTCTAAAATGTGGAGTAGCTGTAATAAATCTACTCCTGTATTATGCTTTACAGTGCAGGTCTTAGTTTTTCTTTTTTCTCATTTCTTTTGAAATGGCATCTCGAACAAAGTCCACCAATCCCTTTACAAAAGAATGAACTGCTCCTCTGTGTGTACTTCATAGAAGGTGGAATCGGACAGAAGCAGGTTAGTGACAGTTATTCCTGAAATACAGGAGCAGAGTACAGTCTGTTGTGGTTTCCCGGATTCCGCGCCTAGCTCAGCCAATTAAGCATGAGACATAGGCCATTGAGCCACTTAGTAGTTATGCGAGTGGATAGATTGGTATGTAGAGGGAAAGAGGTCTGCTGTAAAGAACAACACTTGTTTGTCTGTGGGGAAAGAAAAGCAGAATACTTGAGATGAAAGTTGGCATACAAATAGGATACTATCGCCAGTAGTTATATTACAAACATTATCGGCCTTTCTAGTGTGAATGAACATTAGACACATTATTGTCATTCCTAGTTTAAAGTTAAGGTTGCGTGGTTGGATTTTTCCACTATCTTTTTCTAATTTTTCTACCATTTGGAGACCGTAGGCATTTGGGCCTGTCACCCCTTGGATGGGTTCCTAGTTTGTTTACATTTTCCTGAACCCTCCTGAGCGCCCGTTCTTGGTCTAATCCCCAGTCGTGATGATTCCACACTTCCTCAGCCGCATGTTGTCTTGCCTCATTCATGAGCTGGTCAGCGTTTCGTCTCTTTAACTGACATGTTCCCCAGTGCTGTTTGAACTGTTGAGTTTCCGTTGCTGGCTGAGTGCGTTTTGTCCTTCACGTAACCTTCGCTGGTAAAAATAAGCCCATGTGATGTCCACCAGTGGATGAATGCTGGACCGAGAGCCCTAGCTTCTGGATCCAGGTCTAGGCCCTTCATCTGCTGCTCTGTGGCCCAGGGCAGGTTTGCTTGACCTCTGCCTCAGTTCTCGACTCTAAAGGACATACTGACCTACCTCACAGGGGTGTTGTGAGGATTAATAAATGTTGGTACTCTGCTTTGGAAATGTGAAAATGCTGTGTAAATGTTAAGAAATACTAAGTATAGGGCCAGAAGCTATACAGTGTTTCACTTAACCGTTTGCCATTCTGTATTTACCAAGGTGGTCTTTTCTGGGGAAGGAAGTAGAGTGGAAGGTGCATCCCTTGGCCCCTGGTTTACATTATTAGGGTGCTTATTGTAGGAATGCACTCTAAAAAGTGGGCGTAGAATGAAAGCAGCCGTCCAGTGGTCCTCCCTTTTCTGTAGTTTCACTTTTCTTGCTTCAAGTTACAGCAGTCACCTGAAATCTGAAAATACTAAATGAAAAACTCCAGAAACAATTTATGTCTTAAATGTTGTGCTGTTCTGAGTAGCGTGATGAAATCTGTTGCCGTCCTACCTGGAACATTGAGTCATGCCTCTGTCCAGTGTGTCCATGCTGTATACACTGTCCACCCATCAACCAACCACTAAGTAGCTGTCTTGGTTGTCAACATAACAGATCACAAGAAGATTGAGGTTGGGTGTGGTGGCTTACCCCTGTAATCCCAGCACTGTGGGGGTCCAAAGTGGGAAGATTGCTTGAGCCCAGGAGTTCAAGACCAGCCTGGGCAACTAAGCGAGATCCTATCTCTCGAAAAAATTTTAAAACAACTTTTTGGCTGGGCGTGGTGGCTCACGCCTGTGATCCCAGCACCTTGGGAGGCCAAGGCGGGCGGATCACGAGGTCAGGAGATCAAGACCGTCCTGGCTAACACGGTGAAACCCCGTCTCTACTAAAAATACAAAAAATTAGCCAGGCGCAGTGGCGGGCACCTGTAGTCCCAGCTACTCGGGAGGCTGAGGCAGGAGGATGGCGTGAACCCGGGAGGTGGAGCTTGCAGTGAGCTGAGATTGCGCCACTGCACTCCAACCTGGACGACAGAGCGAGACTCCGGCTCAAAAAAAAAAAAAGAATTAGCTGGGCGTGGTGGCGGGTGCGTGTAATCCCAGCTACTCGGGAGGCTGAGGCAGGAGAATCACTTGAACCTGGGAGGCAGAGGCTGTAGTGAGCCAAGATCGCGCCATTGCATTCCAGGCTGGGCAACAAGAGCGAAACTCTGTCTCTAAATAAATAAAATAAAATAAAATAAAATAAAATAAAATAAAATAAAAAATGGCATGTAATATAAAAATGAGGGGAGAACCCTTTTAGGCAGGATTTAACTTTGGCTACAGGTAACTAAAACAATGAGCAGCTTAGACAGGACTTATTTTTCTCACCTACCCAGAATTTAAGGGGTAGCAGTTTGGGGCTGTTGGCCAGGCTATTCACCAGGCGGCCCCTCCTCCGTCTGCTCTACCATGCCAGGTGTAAGGTCTCCCGGCCATGATTGTTGCTTCCAGGTACCAAGGCGGCCGCTACACTCCAGGCCTGAGTCTGACTTCCAGGTAGAAAAAGGGGGTAGGGACAAAGACTTTCTTCAAAAAGTGGCTTGGCCTTTTTATTCTCCTGGAGATGCCCTTTCCGGGGACGTGTGTCTAACTGGCCAGAACTGTGTTGTGTGATGAGGAAGTTGAGCTGTTTTAGCTGGGTGTGTTGATCCTGTGGACAAAATCAGGGTCTGTTAGTAAGACAGGAGTGGCCACTGCAGGATACCCTGCCAACAGCACAGAACGAGTCTGGACCTGAGAAACAGTAAAACTGACCTGTGATTAGAGGTTTCGTTTGTTGTTGTTGTTGTTTGTTTTTTATGTGTTTTTTTTGGTTCTTGTTTTGTTTTTTGTTTTTTGTGACGGAGTCTCACTCTGTCGTCCAGGCTGGAGTGCAATGTCGCGATCTCGGCTCATTACAACCTCCGCCTCCTGGGTTCAAGTTTTTCTCCCGCCTCAGCCTCCGGAGTAGCTGGGATTACAGGAACCCGCCATCATGCCCAGCTAATTTTTGTATTTTTTAGTAGAGACGGGGTTTCACCATGTTGGCCAGGCTGGTCTTGAGCTCCTGACCTCAGGTTATCCGCCCGCCTTGGCCTCCCAAAGTGCTGGGATTACAGGCGTCAGCCACCGCGCCCGGCCCAGAATTTTTTTTTTTTTAATTATTTTACATGAGAGGCCGGGTGCGGTGGCTCACACCTGTAATCCCAGCACTTTGGGAGGCCGAGGAGGGCAAATCACGAGGTCAGGAGATGGAGACCATCCTGGCCAATATGGTGAAACCCCCGTCTCTACTGAAAACACAAAAATTAGCCAGGCGTGGTGGCGAGCACCTGTAGTCCCAGCTACTTGGGAGGCTGAGGCGGGAGAATCACTTGAACCCGGGAGACGGAGGTTGCAGTGAGCCGAGATTGCGCCACCGCTCTCCAGCCTGCTGACAGAGTGAGACGCCGTCTCAAAAAAAAAAAATACATATATATATGTGTGTGTGTGTGTGTGTGTGTGTGTGTGTGTGTGTGTGTGTATAAAACATTAGAAGAAAATCAAATGAGTCCAGAGAGTTTGTTGTGGCCCTAGGACTTGTAACAGGACACGTAAATTCTGGGGCTGAGGCTGCCATTGTGGGGTGGCCTTTGGGGGTTCTATGCGCTATGCGCTGATGCTGAGCAAGCAAAGAGAAGCAAGAGTTTGGAGCAAACAGAGAGAAGCAGGGAGGCTTTCCGTGACCCCCTTGTCTAATATGTTAAGCCCTCAACCCCAGCCTTTTCTCTCCATGCCCTCTTCTCTATCCCTTGGTCCACGTTTTTCCCCCTTCTGCTTCGTATTATTGCTTGTCTGCTCACTGTCCGTCTCCCCGTTCCGTTTCTCTATTGCTTCACGAAAAGACCACCCTCAAAACGTAAGGGCTTTGCAACAACAGTGATCATTCATTTGTATCCCAAGTCCGCAGTTTTGATGTTCTGCTCCCTGATGCCTAGGGTCTCGGCTGGGGACTGAAACCGTTTCCATGCATTTCTCTCCACAAAGCCTCGGGCTTCCTCACGACACGGCAGCCTGCGTAGTCAGCCTTCTTCCATGGCGGCGCAAACCTCCAAGACGATTCCGGTAGACCCAGATGGGAGCTGTAAGGATGCCTCCGACCCAGCCTCGGGAGACCCTGGACATCACTTCTGCCACATGCCGTTGTGCAAGGTAGTCACTAAGGCCAAACCAGATCCAAGGAGAGGGGAATTGGACTCTACTTCTCGATGGGAGAAGTAGTAAAGATAAGAAACTTCTCAGGCTACTGTCCAAAAAAATCGGCTGGGCGCGGTTGCTCTCACGCCTGTAACCCTAGCACTTTGGGAGGCCGAGGCGGGCGGATCACCTGAGGTCAGAAGTTCAAGACCAGCCTGGTCCACTAAAATACAAAAATTAGCCGGGCATGATGGCGGATGCCTGTAATCCCAGCTACTCGGGAGGCTGAGACGGGAGAATCGCTTGAACCCGGGAGACGGTGGTTGCAGTGAGCCGAGATCACGCCACTGCACTCCAGCCTGGGCGGCTGAGCGAGATTCCGTCTCAGAAAAAAAAAAAAAATCGAGGACGACTCACCATCTAAGCATAAAACGAAGGTTGAACAGATTACATAGAATATCTCAGATCGTGTGAGTTGACTATAAAACATAACAGTGGCTGGACGTGGTGCTTCACGCCTGTAATCCCAACACTTTGAGAGGCTGAGGTGGGCAGATCACCTGAGGTCGGGAGTTCGAGACCAGCCTGACCAACATGGAGAAATCCCGTGTCTACTAAAAATACAAAATTAGCCGGGCGTGGTGGCGCATGCCCGTAATCCCAGCTACTCGGGAGGCTGAGGCAAGAGAATCGCTTGAACCCGGGAGGCGGAGGTTGCGGTGAGCCGAGATCGCGCCATTGCACTCCAGCCTGGACAACAAGAGCGAAACTCCGTCTCACATAAGAAGAAGAAGAAGAAGAAGAAGAAGAAGAAGAAGAAGAAGAAGAAGAAGAATACAATAATAATAATAGTGTATTTACAGATTTTCCCAAGTGTTCAAAAATGGTTTGTTGTCCAGCGTTATACACTTAACTCGACCGGTGCACGGTTTGCATAGTGGACAACTTTGTACTTTGTCCTGATTTTTTTTTCCCTCAAAGTAAGAGGCTTGATTCCCCCCCGACTCCACCCGGCCCCCCTCCTTTAGGTTTTCCTAGGTTTCGTCGCCGCCTATGTTAGTTACAGCCGTTTCTGACAGGCCTACCAGGGAAGATGCTCAAGGAAAACGATGTTCTGTCAAGCTGCTTGGGGAAATCTTAGTGCTTAATGTTTAACCGGGGGGAGGAGGCGAACCTCATAATAGTTGTGCCCTGTGGGGAAGACTTCTGTTGGGCTGGCGAGAAGAGAAGGGGCCGAAACTTGCTTTTTGCTGAAAGGAAGGTGAGCCCAAACCCGAGCCCTGCCCGGCCCAGACGCTAGATCCCTTGGGGACTGGGCGGTGGGGCCGCAAACTCTCTTTCGCTCGCTCGCTCGCTCGCTCGCTCTCTCTCCCCCTCTTTTCTTCCTTCTCTCTCTCTCTATCTTCCCTCTGTCACTGTCTCTCTCTCTCTCTCTCTCTCTCTGTCTTCTCTCTCCCCTCTCTCCTGTCTCTCTCTCTCTCTTCTCTCTGTCACTGTCTTTCTGTCTCTCTCTTCTCTCTGTCACTGTCTCTCTCTCTCTCTCTGGCACTCTCTCGTCCTCTCAGGCCTCCCTTTCAGGTCCCAGACTCCCGGCCGCGCGCCCACTTGCGCCCAACCAGCCCCGGAGACACCCAGGCCTGTCCCACGCCGTCGGTAGGTCCCCGGTCCGGGAGCGGGAGAGACCGGAGCGCCGGGGACGACCCCGGCAAGGGCGTGGCGTATGCAGATGAGCACGGCGCGCGGAGGCTGCCGGTCACGCTCGGCCTGGGACCCCATGTCCCGCGCGCGATATCCGAGTGCTGTCGGGGTGTCTTCCCCTAGCGGCAACGGTGGAGCGAGGGGGCTGGAGAGGGTGAGGGGGCTGGGGCCGCACGAGAGAAGTGACCGTGTGTTGAGAGTGTGGTGGGCGCGAGGGTATGAGAGGAAGCCGCACGGCCAGTCCATACTTACCTGGCAGGGGAGATACCATGATCACGAAGGTGGTTTTCCCAGGGCGAGGCTTATCCATTGCACTCCGGATGTGCTGACCCCTGCGATTTCCCCAAATGTGGGAAACTCGACTGCATAATTTGTGGTAGTGGGGGACTGCGTTCGCGCTTTCCCCTGCCTTACTGGAAGTTGAAAGGTAGCTGTTATTATGATCGGCGCTGGGTCTGGATGTGTGGTGTTCAAAACACGGGCTGCTGGGCAGTTCGCTTTCGTTTTCACGTTTTTGTGGGGGTAGGGCGATTGCTGCTTTTTTCTCACCCCGCGGGGGATCCTTTAGTAACGCGCCAATTATACTGTGGGTTTATGTTCTCCAGGGTATTGTCGTGAAAACGTCACGATCTCGTGCTTTCTCCAGGCCAAAGCCGCGTTTTTCCTGCAAGTTTGGGGTGTGTAGAGGAAAAAGCCAGAACTGCTTTCTCTTCCCTGGGGAAAATATCCCAGGGTCTTGGTAACCGCTGGCAGAAACGACAGAATACGTACGGGGCGGGCAATTAATCCTGGTCCAGGGAAGTATCCGGCTTAGAGGTTTAGGAAGGACCTGTCGGGGTTGAGTTCCCCACCCAGGGGGAGATCGAGTCCGCGGGAGCTGCTGATCCCACCCAGGCAGCTGCTGGGCTTGTTGGCAGCAGCGTCTTCTGGAAGGACTAGAACGGAGTCATCCCACTCCCAGAGAAGCAGGCGTGTCATGCATGACAGTGAAGGCCGGACTACAAGGCCCTCAAGAACAGGAGACTTTGGGTCCTCGCTAACGGCCTTGGGAGACCACGCAAGACTGGTCAGAAAAGCCAGGTAGAAAGGCTTTTCATGGGCCGCGCGCGGTGGCTCACGCCTGTAATCCCAGCACTTTGAGAGGGCGAGGCGAGCGGATCACTTGAGGTCAGGAAGTTCGAGACCAACCTGGGCAACATGGTGAAACCCCCGTCTCTACTAAAAATACAAAAATTAGCCAGGCGGCGTGGCGCGTGCCTGTAATTCCACCTGCTCCAGAGGCTGAGCCATGAGAATTGCTTGAACCCGGGAGGCGGAGGTTGCGGTGAGCCGAGATCGCGCCATTGCACTCCAGCCTGGGCAACAGAGCAAGACTCCGTCTCAAAAAAAAAAAAAAAAGAAAGAAAGAAAGAAGGAAAGAAAAAGGCTTTTCATGAATGCTTTTAGGAGAGTCTCGTGACAGCCTCTGTACATGTCCCCAGGAGGAAACAAGAGACTCTGATGTTCAGGGCCACCATCCTGACATGGACCTTTCCTCCAGTTATAATGTTGCCATTTTGCTGTCTTAAGACCCTTATGTCCAAGCCTTCCCAGACCTCAGCACCCCCGGGATATGTGTAATAGAAGGGTAAATACACGCCAGGCGCGGTGGCTCACGCCTGTAATCCCAGCGCCTTGGGAGGCCGAGGTGGGCGGATCACCTGAGGTCAGGAGTTTGAGACCAGCTTGACCAACGTGGCGAAATCCTGTCTCTACTAAAAATACAAAAATTAGCCGGGCATGGTGGTGTGTGTCTGTAATCCCAGCTACTCGGGAGGCTGAGGCAGGAGAATCGCTTGAACCCAGGAGGCGGAGAGGTTGCAGTGAGCTGAGATCATGCCACTTGTACCACTCCAGCCAGCCTGGGCAACAGAGCGAGACTCTGTCTCAAAAAAAAAAAAAAAAAGTAAATAATACAAAACTGGTAGAAGGAAAGAAAAATGTTGGCCAGGCACGGTGGCTCACGCCTGTAATCCTAGCGCTTTGGGAGGCTGAGGCGAGAGGATCACTTGAGCCCAGGAGTTGGAGACCAGCTTGGGCAACACAGCAAGAGACCTCGTCTCTAAATTAAAACAAAACAAACCAAAACAAAACAGAAGGCAGGAGGAGGCTGCAGTGAGCGGTGATGGCGCCACTGCACTCCCACCCGAGTGACAAGAGCCTGCCTCAAAAAAGAAAAAACAAAAACATGTGCCCCTGGTGCCATAAGGAAAAGAGACTTTCCCCTTCCTTTGAGGCGTGAGTCTCTGCTTTTTGAGACAGGGTCTCTCTCTGTCACCCAGGCTGGGGTGCAGTGGCGTTATCCTAGCTTACTCACTGCAGCCTCGAACTCCTGGGTTCAAGCGGTCCTCCGGCCTCAGCCTTCCTCCTTAGCTGGAACCACAGGTTTGCGTTACCACACATGGCTAACTGGCTAATTTTATTTTATTTATTTTTTTTTTTTTGTAGAGACGGTGTCTTCCTATGTTGCCCAGGCTGGGCTTGAACTCCTGGGCTCAAGCGATCCTTCTGCCTCGGCCCCCCAAAATGCTGAAATTACGGGTGTCAGCCACCACGCCTGGCCTACGTGAGTCATATTAACAGCTAAATAAGCCTCTTGCCAGTTTTACAACCTAGGAAGGTTTTCCCTTGAGGGCCTTGAAGCCACCAACTCAAAAGGTAAATATCAAGGAAGATAGTGTCCCCCTGTCTCCTTTCTGTCTCTGGGAATTTACTTATGTATTGATTGATTTATATTTATTTACTTTTTTGTTTTTCTTTTTTGAGACAGTCTTGCTCTATTGCCCAGGCTGGAGTGCAGTGGTGCAGTCTCGGCTCACTGCAACCTCCACCTCCAGGGTTCAAGCGATTCTCCTGCCTCAGCCTCTCAAGTAGCTGGGATTACAGGCGCGTGCCACCACATCCAGCTAATTTTTGTATTTTTAGTACAGACGAGGTTTCACCATGTTGGCCAGGCTGGTCTCAAACTCTTGGTAATCCGCCCGCCTCGGCCTCCCAGAGTGTTGGGATTACAGGCGTGAGCCACTGCGCCCGGCCTCTATCTCTGGGAATTTAGCCTAGGTGGCTGGCTCCAAGTTATCACTACCTCCTTGTCATGGAGGTATCAGAGGCTTTATTTTCCCTTTGGGTAAAGGCAATTAATAACACAGCTGACCGCTGCAATTACCAGTTGAACTGAGGATGAACTGTGTGTAGCAAACAGTGCTAGGTTTCTTTCTTGAGGACAAATCCTTGACAACATGTATTTTAGGGCTTGCATCTGCCTACCTATGTAAAGGGGTGACCTTTCTTGGGGCTATAAACGGAACTGTCGGCCGGGCGCGGTGGCTCACACCTTCAATCCCATCCCTTTGGGAAGCCAAGGCGGGGGGGTCACTTGAGCCCGGGAGTTTGAGGCCAATCTGGGCAACATATGGAGACTTCCTGTCTACTTAAAAAAGAAGAAAAAAAGAAAAATTGAAGTTGTGTACCCAGAAGTCCCAGAGTCTCCCATTGATTTCCTCAGCAGTTTGTTGAGGCTTTCTCAGAATTTACTGGCATAGATCCAGGAGCAGACCAAAATTCTGCCCAGGTGTTAGCCCATCTTTGTCTGGGCTCTCTTACTGACTATCCAAACTCAAGTTAGGCAAAAAGTGGTAGGGTAGGCCGGGCCCGGTGGCTCACGCCTGTAATCCCAGCACTTTGGGAGGCCAAGGCGGGCAGATCACCTGAAGTCAGGAGTTTGAGACCAGCCTGGCCAACGTGGCGAAACCCCGTCTCTACTAAAAATACAAAAATTAGCTGGGCATGGTGGTGTGTGCCTGTAATCCCAGCTATTTGGGAGGCTGAGGCGCGAGAATCGCTTGAACCCAGGAGGTGGAGATCTCCCTGCAGTGAGCCGAGATCGCACCACTGCACTCCAGCCTGAGCAATACAGCGAGACTCTACTAAGATTTGGGGACAGTCTAGAGAAAGAAGAAATGAGGAAAGGCTAAACTGCTGTGCTAGCTGCTCACAACTAAGGGGAATCAGTTCCTACTCTGGACCCCCTATGAAAGGAGCAAAGGAAACGGGAAAACCTTTTAAGTCATTATTGCAAGGGCCAGGAGGGCAGAAGGGGGATTGTAGAAAGAGATTCCAGAGGGCTGGGCGCGGTGGCTCACACCTGTAATCCCAGCACTTTGGGAGGCTGAGGCGGGCGGATCATGAGGTCAGGAGATCGAGACCATCCTGGCCAACATAGTGAAACCCCACCTCTACTAAAAATACAAACATTAGCTGGGCGCAGTGGCATGCGCCGGTAGTCCCAGCTACTCGGGAGGCTGAGGCAGGAGAATGGCATGAACCCGAGAGGCGGAGATCTCCCTGCAGTGAGCCGAGATCACACCACTGCACTCCAGCCTGGGCAACAGACTGAGACTCCGTCACAAAAAAAAAAAAAAAAAAAAAAAAAAAAAAGAAAGAAAGAAAAAAAAAAAAAAAGGAAAGAGGCACCAGAGAATGCAGAAGTTGCAGGGACCAGGGAATCAGGAGAGCCCAGAAGGACAAAACTCTCAGCTGAAAAATAATTGTTAAATATCGCAAAATTGACAGATTGGGGGAGTCTCGGCAGGGGAAACAGGAGAACCAACCCAATGTGTCAATAACTTCTTCAGCCCAAAAAATAGCCTTACCTTCTCTGATAGATACTGGTGCTACTTCCCCCCGCCTCCCCCTCCGAGACAGAGTCTTGCTCTGTCACCCAGGCTACAGTGCAGTGGCATGATCTCGGCTCACTGCACCCTCCGCCTCTCGGGTTCAGGCGATTCTCCTGCCTCAGCCTCCCGAGTAGCTGGGATTACAGGCGCCCACGACCAGGCCTGGCTGATTTTTGTAATTTTAGTAGAGACGGGGTTTCACCATGTTGGCCAGGCTGGTCTCAAACTCCTGACCTCAAGTGATCCGCCCGCCTCCACCTCCCCAAGTGTTGGGATTATAGGCGTGAGCCACTGCCCCCGGCCCTTTGGTGCTACTTATGCTTCAAGTTCCTCTGAAATTTCCCAATTTTCATCTGGTGATAGATCAATGCAGGTTGTTGATTTTCCGGGTAAACTTTCTACTTGTTACTTTTCGCTGGCAGTTCCCATACAGATAGGCCCTCTGACTGAGGAACATGTGTTCTTTCATTCTCTTGATTCTCCCGTAAACCTACTGGGAAGACACCTGTGTAAATTAAAGACTACCTACCATCATCTGCACTCTGGATGGAATATTTTGTGGAGCTCCTTGGAGAAAGAGACACCTAGTTGGTACTTGTATGCCTTCTGAAAGAAAAGGGGTATGGCAGAGAGTGAGTTTCACAGTGGACTGGAAAAGCATCCGGGCTGAAACAAATTGGCACATGTATGACGTTGGACCTTAGGGAATAATGATGCTATTTGGAGAGAGAGAACCAATAACTCACCAAAAGGATAAACCATGGTCAGGTATAAAATGATATCCTTTGTAGAGAACTCAATTTGATGGAATAAAACCGGTTATACAACAATTAAACAACAAAACCAACAACAAAAAAATAGGAGCTTATTTAAAAAGGGCACTTGTGGCCGGGTGCGGTGGCTCAAGCCTGTAATCCCAGCAACTTTGGGAGGCTGAGGCAGGAGGACCACTTGAAACCAGGAGTTTGAGATTAGCCTGGGCAACATAGGGAAACCTGTCTCTATTTTAAAAAAAATAATAGTAATCGAAGAAGAGGAGAAAGAAAAATTAAGGCCGGGGGTGCTGGCTCATGCCTGTAATCCCAGCACTTTGGGAGGCCGAGACAGGTGGATCACTTGAGGTCAGGAGTTCGAGACCAGCCTGTCCAACACGGTGAAACCCCATCTCTACTAAAAATACAAAAATTAGCTGGGCATGGTGCCGCGTGCCTGTAATCCCAGCTACTCGGGAGGCTGAGGCAGGAGAATCGCTTCAATCGGGGAGGCGGAGGCCGCAGTGAGCCGAGATCGCGCCACTGCACTCCAGCCTGGGCGACAGAGTAAAAACTCCGTCTCAAAAAGAAAAAAAAGAAGAAAAAGAAAAGAAAAGAAAAGAAAACTGAGGCTGCGAGTTTTCGCCCACTGACGTTAAGTGCGAAACCACCTCAGTAAGAAATCGTGGTAACTTTTGTTTGTCGTGTCTTCCTGAGTAAAAGTGACATGAACCACCTCAGAATATCTATCTAGTAGCCGAATGTAGTGACGCTGGAAGGAAAACTCAAGAGTCTTGAGTTTGAAGAAAGGAAGCCGGGTCCTCTTCAGTGGCAGCCACGCGGCGCCCCTCCCGGGAGCCCCAGAGTAGGGATCAGACGCCGTTCAGCCTTCTCCCCGCGGCACTGGAGCTTCCCCTCCCCGCCCCCGCACACAGGGTGGCCCCACAAAGTACCCTCTGGTCATTTCTGACTTGGACTCAAGAAATTGCCCGTTTTGTGATCAAAGAGGATAACCCGATAGGGGGCGGTGGCTCACGCCTGTCATCCCAGCACTTTGGAAGGCCAAGGTGGGCGGATCGCTTGAGCCCAGGAGTTCCAGACCAGCCTGGCCAACATGGCGAGACCCCTTCTCTACAAAAAATACAAAAATTAGCCGGGCGTTGGTGGCGCGCGCCCCTGTTGTTCCAGCTACTCGGGAGGCTGAGGCGGGAGGATCGCTTGAACCCCGGAGGCGGAGGTTGCAGTGAGCCGAGATGGCGGCGCCGCATTCCAGCCTGGGCGACAGAGCGAGTCAAAAAGCAACAACAAAAAAAGATAACCCTGCACCGCGCCCTGGGTGAACCCTGGCTCCTGGCTCCTTTCTAAATATTCTGATTTCCTCTTGGATGACATTAAGAATTAGTCCATTCAGACCGGGCGCGGTGGCTCACGCCTGTAATCCCAGCACTTTGGGAGGCCGAGTCGGTTGGATCACTTGAGGTCAGGAGTTCGAGACCAGCCTGGCCAACATGGCGAAACCCCGTGTCTACTAAAAATACAAAAAATTAGCCGGGCGTGGTGGCGCGCACGCCTGTTGTCCCAGCTACTCGGGAGGCTGAGGCAGGAGAATCCCTTGAACCCGGGAGGCGGAGGTTGCAGTGAGCCGAGATCGCGCCACCGCACTCCAGCTTGGGTGACAGCGAGACTTAGTTTCAATAAAAATAAATAAATAAATAAATAAATAAGGCCGGGCGCGGTGGCTCACGCCTGTAATCCCAGCACTTTGGGAGGCTGAGGCGGGCAGATCACGAGGTCAGGAGATCGAGACCATCCTGGATGACACGGTGAAACCCTGTGTCTCCTAAGAACACAAAAAAATTAGCCGGGCGTGGTGGCAGGCGCCTGTAGTCCCAGCTACTCGGGAGGCTGAGGCAGGAGAATGGCGTGAACCCGGGAGGCGGAGCTTGCAGTGAGCCGAGATCGCGCCACTGCACTTCAGCCTGGGCGACAGAGCGAGACTCCGTCTCAAATAAATAATAAATAAATAAATACTTAATAACAATAAAGAAGAATTCGTCCATTCAACAACCGTTCACTGAGCGCATAGCCTGTGCCCAGACACTGTTCCAGGCCTCTGGGAGCAAAAAGGCCTCGGTGCCCGTATTCTAGTTAGACAACGAGAAGCGCGGGGAGGTGGGGGGCGGGGGTGGGAGAGAGAAAATCTACACCGGGCTGCATAGGTAAATTCGTAGGTTAGGTGCTAAGTGCTTTGAAAAAGCAAACAAACACAGGGAAAGTGAGATAAGGAGTTGCGGCAAGGGGCAGGTGGCTGTGTTAAATCGAGTGGTTGGAAGAAGCTGCTATGAGAAGGTACCGTATGAGCAAAGGACTTGAAGCAGGTGAAGGGAGTTGGTCACGGGGCATCCCCAGCACAAACATCAGCTACAGCAAAGGCCCAGGTAGGACTGGGTTTGGCGAACAGCAAGGAGGCCCTGTGTCGGGAGCAAAATTAAAGAGAGTTGTATGAAATGTCAGTCACAGAGGTGACTGGGTGGGGGTAAGATCATGAGGGTCTTGTAGACACCACAGTAAAGCTTTAAATCTGGGTGAACCAGGTTTTGAGCAGAGGTGTGGCATGTTCTGATAAAAAAATGAAATGAAGTGAAAAGCAGGGAGACCAATCAGGAGACTTGCCAATCCAGGCAAGATGATGTTGGCTCAAACCAGGTTAAACCACTGGGTAAATACAAGGGGCAGGGGTGTGAGAAAAATAAGGTGCTTACCCCCAACTTGCCTTTTTCTGATGCCTGTAACAACGATCACATTCTCCTCAAGCGAGAAGGGGCTGAAGAGGCTGACAGAGGTCGAGGGTGTGGACTAGTGGATCCTCCCACTGGGCTCAGGGACTAGTTTTGTAGCTCTCACCCAGGAGCTCGAGCAAATGGTATTAAGTGCTGATGAAGCTGAGCAGGGAGGATTTGCAACTCTGTGATTTCTCTGTAGGAAAGACACAGTATTAATCTCCCCTGGGCTCAGAGCTAGAACCTGGGCACCTGATGTCAATAGATTAATCCAACAAATATATTGAAAGCCAGGCAGCTTTCTAGTCACCTGTGGATGGAAGCAGTCAACAAAATAGGCAAGAATCGCTGACCTGGAGCTTACATTCCAAGTGGGTGACGTTAGATAGAAAACTAAAACATACAGCACGTTCGATCAGTGCTTCTTAAACTTCACTGTGGACAGAATGCACATTCGGACTCAGCAGATACAGCAAAGGTGGGGCCTAAGAGTCTGCACTCTTTAATTAATTAATTTATTTATTTATTTATTTTTGAGACGGAGTCTTGCTCTGTTGCCCAGGCTGGAGTGCAATGGCGCGATCTCGGCTCACCGCAACCTCCGCCTCCCGGGTTCAAGCAATTCTCATGGCTCAGCCTCTGGAGCAGGTGGAATTACAGGCACGCGCCACGCCGCCTGGCTAATTTTTGTATTTTTAGTAGAGACGGGGGTTTCACCATGTTGCCCAGGTTGGTCTCGAACTTCCTGACCTCAAGTGATCCGCTCGCCTCGCCCTCTCAAAGTGCTGGGATTACAGGCGTGAGCCACCGCGCGCGGCCCATGAAAAGCCTTTCTACCTGGCTTTTCTGACCAGTCTTGCGTGGTCTCCCAAGGCCGTTAGCGAGGACCCAAAGTCTCCTGTTCTTGAGGGCCTTGTAGTCCGGCCTTCACTGTCATGCATGACACGCCTGCTTCTCTGGGAGTGGGATGACTCCGTTCTAGTCCTTCCAGAAGACGCTGCTGCCAACAAGCCCAGCAGCTGCCTGGGTGGGATCAGCAGCTCCCGCGGACTCGATCTCCCCCTGGGTGGGGAACTCAACCCCGACAGGTCCTTCCTAAACCTCTAAGCCGGATACTTCCCTGGACCAGGATTAATTGCCCGCCCCGTACGTATTCTGTCGTTTCTGCCAGCGGTTACCAAGACCCTGGGATATTTTCCCCAGGGAAGAGAAAGCAGTTCTGGCTTTTTCCTCTACACACCCCAAACTTGCAGGAAAAACGCGGCTTTGGCCTGGAGAAAGCACGAGATCGTGACGTTTTCACGACAATACCCTGGAGAACATAAACCCACAGTATAATTGGCGCGTTACTAAAGGATCCCCCGCGGGGTGAGAAAAAAGCAGCAATCGCCCTACCCCCACAAAAACGTGAAAACGAAAGCGAACTGCCCAGCAGCCCGTGTTTTGAACACCACACATCCAGACCCAGCGCCGATCATAATAACAGCTACCTTTCAACTTCCAGTAAGGCAGGGGAAAGCGCGAACGCAGTCCCCCACTACCACAAATTATGCAGTCGAGTTTCCCACATTTGGGGAAATCGCAGGGGTCAGCACATCCGGAGTGCAATGGATAAGCCTCGCCCTGGGAAAACCACCTTCGTGATCATGGTATCTCCCCTGCCAGGTAAGTATGGACTGGCCGTGCGGCTTCCTCTCATACCCTCGCGCCCACCACACTCTCAACACACGGTCACTTCTCTCGTGCGGCCCCAGCCCCCTCACCCTCTCCAGCCCCCTCGCTCCACCGTTGCCGCTAGGGGAAGACACCCCGACAGCACTCGGATATCGCGCGCGGGACATGGGGTCCCAGGCCGAGCGTGACCGGCAGCCTCCGCGCGCCGTGCTCATCTGCATACGCCACGCCCTTGCCGGGGTCGTCCCCGGCGCTCCGGTCTCTCCCGCTCCCGGACCGGGGACCTACCGACGGCGTGGGACAGGCCTGGGTGTCTCCGGGGCTGGTTGGGCGCAAGTGGGCGCGCGGCCGGGAGTCTGGGACCTGAAAGGGAGGCCTGAGAGGACGAGAGAGTGCCAGAGAGAGAGAGAGAGACAGTGACAGAGAGAAGAGAGAGACAGAAAGACAGTGACAGAGAGAAGAGAGAGAGAGAGACAGGAGAGAGGGGAGAGAGAAGACAGAGAGAGAGAGAGAGAGAGAGAGACAGTGACAGAGGGAAGATAGAGAGAGAGAGAAGGAAGAAAAGAGGGGGAGAGAGAGCGAGCGAGCGAGCGAGCGAGCGAAAGAGAGTTTGCGGCCCCACCGCCCAGTCCCCAAGGGATCTAGCGTCTGGGCCGGGCAGGGCTCGGGTTTGGGCTCACCTTCCTTTCAGCAAAAAGCAAGTTTCGGCCCCTTCTCTTCTCGCCAGCCCAACAGAAGTCTTCCCCACAGGGCACAACTATTATGAGGTTCGCCTCCTCCCCCCGGTTAAACATTAAGCACTAAGATTTCCCCAAGCAGCTTGACAGAACATCGTTTTCCTTGAGCATCTTCCCTGGTAGGCCTGTCAGAAACGGCTGTAACTAACATAGGCGGCGACGAAACCTAGGAAAACCTAAAGGAGGGGGGCCGGGTGGAGTCGGGGGGGAATCAAGCCTCTTACTTTGAGGGAAAAAAAAATCAGGACAAAGTACAAAGTTGTCCACTATGCAAACCGTGCACCGGTCGAGTTAAGTGTATAACGCTGGACAACAAACCATTTTTGAACACTTGGGAAAATCTGTAAATACACTATTATTATTATTGTATTCTTCTTCTTCTTCTTCTTCTTCTTCTTCTTCTTCTTCTTCTTCTTCTTCTTCTTCTTATGTGAGACGGAGTTTCGCTCTTGTTGTCCAGGCTGGAGTGCAATGGCGCGATCTCGGCTCACCGCAACCTCCGCCTCCCGGGTTCAAGCGATTCTCTTGCCTCAGCCTCCCGAGTAGCTGGGATTACGGGCATGCGCCACCACGCCCGGCTAATTTTGTATTTTTAGTAGACACGGGATTTCTCCATGTTGGTCAGGCTGGTCTCGAACTCCCGACCTCAGGTGATCTGCCCACCTCAGCCTCTCAAAGTGTTGGGATTACAGGCGTGAAGCACCACGTCCAGCCACTGTTATGTTTTATAGTCAACTCACACGATCTGAGATATTCTATGTAATCTGTTCAACCTTCGTTTTATGCTTAGATGGTGAGTCGTCCTCGATTTTTTTTTTTTTTCTGAGACGGAATCTCGCTCAGCCGCCCAGGCTGGAGTGCAGTGGCGTGATCTCGGCTCACTGCAACCACCGTCTCCCGGGTTCAAGCGATTCTCCCGTCTCAGCCTCCCGAGTAGCTGGGATTACAGGCATCCGCCATCATGCCCGGCTAATTTTTGTATTTTAGTGGACCAGGCTGGTCTTGAACTTCTGACCTCAGGTGATCCGCCCGCCTCGGCCTCCCAAAGTGCTAGGGTTACAGGCGTGAGAGCAACCGCGCCCAGCCGATTTTTTTGGACAGTAGCCTGAGAAGTTTCTTATCTTTACTACTTCTCCCATCGAGAAGTAGAGTCCAATTCCCCTCTCCTTGGATCTGGTTTGGCCTTAGTGACTACCTTGCACAACGGCATGTGGCAGAAGTGATGTCCAGGGTCTCCCGAGGCTGGGTCGGAGGCATCCTTACAGCTCCCATCTGGGTCTACCGGAATCGTCTTGGAGGTTTGCGCCGCCATGGAAGAAGGCTGACTACGCAGGCTGCCGTGTCGTGAGGAAGCCCGAGGCTTTGTGGAGAGAAATGCATGGAAACGGTTTCAGTCCCCAGCCGAGACCCTAGGCATCAGGGAGCAGAACATCAAAACTGCGGACTTGGGATACAAATGAATGATCACTGTTGTTGCAAAGCCCTTACGTTTTGAGGGTGGTCTTTTCGTGAAGCAATAGAGAAACGGAACGGGGAGACGGACAGTGAGCAGACAAGCAATAATACGAAGCAGAAGGGGGAAAAACGTGGACCAAGGGATAGAGAAGAGGGCATGGAGAGAAAAGGCTGGGGTTGAGGGCTTAACATATTAGACAAGGGGGTCACGGAAAGCCTCCCTGCTTCTCTCTGTTTGCTCCAAACTCTTGCTTCTCTTTGCTTGCTCAGCATCAGCGCATAGCGCATAGAACCCCCAAAGGCCACCCCACAATGGCAGCCTCAGCCCCAGAATTTACGTGTCCTGTTACAAGTCCTAGGGCCACAACAAACTCTCTGGACTCATTTGATTTTCTTCTAATGTTTTATACACACACACACACACACACACACACACACACACACACACACACACACATATATATATGTATTTTTTTTTTTTGAGACGGCGTCTCACTCTGTCAGCAGGCTGGAGAGCGGTGGCGCAATCTCGGCTCACTGCAACCTCCGTCTCCCGGGTTCAAGTGATTCTCCCGCCTCAGCCTCCCAAGTAGCTGGGACTACAGGTGCTCGCCACCACGCCTGGCTAATTTTTGTGTTTTCAGTAGAGACGGGGGTTTCACCATATTGGCCAGGATGGTCTCCATCTCCTGACCTCGTGATTTGCCCTCCTCGGCCTCCCAAAGTGCTGGGATTACAGGTGTGAGCCACCGCACCCGGCCTCTCATGTAAAATAATTAAAAAAAAAAAAATTCTGGGCCGGGCGCGGTGGCTGACGCCTGTAATCCCAGCACTTTGGGAGGCCAAGGCGGGCGGATAACCTGAGGTCAGGAGCTCAAGACCAGCCTGGCCAACATGGTGAAACCCCGTCTCTACTAAAAAATACAAAAATTAGCTGGGCATGATGGCGGGTTCCTGTAATCCCAGCTACTCCGGAGGCTGAGGCGGGAGAAAAACTTGAACCCAGGAGGCGGAGGTTGTAATGAGCCGAGATCGCGACATTGCACTCCAGCCTGGACGACAGAGTGAGACTCCGTCACAAAAAACAAAAAACAAAACAAGAACCAAAAAAAACACATAAAAAACAAACAACAACAACAACAAACGAAACCTCTAATCACAGGTCAGTTTTACTGTTTCTCAGGTCCAGACTCGTTCTGTGCTGTTGGCAGGGTATCCTGCAGTGGCCACTCCTGTCTTACTAACAGACCCTGATTTTGTCCACAGGATCAACACACCCAGCTAAAACAGCTCAACTTCCTCATCACACAACACAGTTCTGGCCAGTTAGACACACGTCCCCGGAAAGGGCATCTCCAGGAGAATAAAAAGGCCAAGCCACTTTTTGAAGAAAGTCTTTGTCCCTACCCCCTTTTTCTACCTGGAAGTCAGACTCAGGCCTGGAGTGTAGCGGCCGCCTTGGTACCTGGAAGCAACAATCATGGCCGGGAGACCTTACACCTGGCATGGTAGAGCAGACGGAGGAGGGGCCGCCTGGTGAATAGCCTGGCCAACAGCCCCAAACTGCTACCCCTTAAATTCTGGGTAGGTGAGAAAAATAAGTCCTGTCTAAGCTGCTCATTGTTTTAGTTACCTGTAGCCAAAGTTAAATCCTGCCTAAAAGGGTTCTCCCCTCATTTTTATATTACATGCCATTTTTTATTTTATTTTATTTTATTTTATTTTATTTTATTTTATTTATTTAGAGACAGAGTTTCGCTCTTGTTGCCCAGCCTGGAATGCAATGGCGCGATCTTGGCTCACTACAGCCTCTGCCTCCCAGGTTCAAGTGATTCTCCTGCCTCAGCCTCCCGAGTAGCTGGGATTACACGCACCCGCCACCACGCCCAGCTAATTCTTTTTTTTTTTTTGAGCCGGAGTCTCGCTCTGTCGTCCAGGTTGGAGTGCAGTGGCGCAATCTCAGCTCACTGCAAGCTCCACCTCCCGGGTTCACGCCATCCTCCTGCCTCAGCCTCCCGAGTAGCTGGGACTACAGGTGCCCGCCACTGCGCCTGGCTAATTTTTTGTATTTTTAGTAGAGACGGGGTTTCACCGTGTTAGCCAGGACGGTCTTGATCTCCTGACCTCGTGATCCGCCCGCCTTGGCCTCCCAAGGTGCTGGGATCACAGGCGTGAGCCACCACGCCCAGCCAAAAAGTTGTTTTAAAATTTTTTCGAGAGATAGGATCTCGCTTAGTTGCCCAGGCTGGTCTTGAACTCCTGGGCTCAAGCAATCTTCCCACTTTGGACCCCCACAGTGCTGGGATTACAGGGGTAAGCCACCACACCCAACCTCAATCTTCTTGTGATCTGTTATGTTGACAACCAAGACAGCTACTTAGTGGTTGGTTGATGGGTGGACAGTGTATACAGCATGGACACACTGGACAGAGGCATGACTCAATGTTCCAGGTAGGACGGCAACAGATTTCATCACGCTACTCAGAACAGCACAACATTTAAGACATAAATTGTTTCTGGAGTTTTTCATTTAGTATTTTCAGATTTCAGGTGACTGCTGTAACTTGAAGCAAGAAAAGTGAAACTACAGAAAAGGGAGGACCACTGGACGGCTGCTTTCATTCTACGCCCACTTTTTAGAGTGCATTCCTACAATAAGCACCCTAATAATGTAAACCAGGGGCCAAGGGATGCACCTTCCACTCTACTTCCTTCCCCAGAAAAGACCACCTTGGTAAATACAGAATGGCAAACGGTTAAGTGAAACACTGTATAGCTTCTGGCCCTATACTTAGTATTTCTTAACATTTACACAGCATTTTCACATTTCCAAAGCAGAGTACCAACATTTATTAATCCTCACAACACCCCTGTGAGGTAGGTCAGTATGTCCTTTAGAGTCGAGAACTGAGGCAGAGGTCAAGCAAACCTGCCCTGGGCCACAGAGCAGCAGATGAAGGGCCTAGACCTGGATCCAGAAGCTAGGGCTCTCGGTCCAGCATTCATCCACTGGTGGACATCACATGGGCTTATTTTTACCAGCGAAGGTTACGTGAAGGACAAAACGCACTCAGCCAGCAACGGAAACTCAACAGTTCAAACAGCACTGGGGAACATGTCAGTTAAAGAGACGAAACGCTGACCAGCTCATGAATGAGGCAAGACAACATGCGGCTGAGGAAGTGTGGAATCATCACGACTGG
This sequence comes from Homo sapiens, assembly GCF_000001405.40. NCBI lineage: Eukaryota > Metazoa > Chordata > Mammalia > Primates > Hominidae > Homo > Homo sapiens. The sequence goes on from NC_000014.9 coordinate 34,561,786, forward strand.
GGATTAGACCAAGAACGGGCGCTCAGGAGGGTTCAGGAAAATGTAAACAAACTAGGAACCCATCCAAGGGGTGACAGGCCCAAATGCCTACGGTCTCCAAATGGTAGAAAAATTAGAAAAAGATAGTGGAAAAATCCAACCACGCAACCTTAACTTTAAACTAGGAATGACAATAATGTGTCTAATGTTCATTCACACTAGAAAGGCCGATAATGTTTGTAATATAACTACTGGCGATAGTATCCTATTTGTATGCCAACTTTCATCTCAAGTATTCTGCTTTTCTTTCCCCACAGACAAACAAGTGTTGTTCTTTACAGCAGACCTCTTTCCCTCTACATACCAATCTATCCACTCGCATAACTACTAAGTGGCTCAATGGCCTATGTCTCATGCTTAATTGGCTGAGCTAGGCGCGGAATCCGGGAAACCACAACAGACTGTACTCTGCTCCTGTATTTCAGGAATAACTGTCACTAACCTGCCTCTGTCCGATTCCACCTTCTATGAAGTACACACAGAGGAGCAGTTCATTCTTTTGTAAAGGGATTGGTGGACTTTGTTCGAGATGCCATTTCAAAAGAAATGAGAAAAAAGAAAAACTAAGACCTGCACTGTAAAGCATAATACAGGAGTAGATTTATTACAGCTACTCCACATTTTCCAGAGTGATACAATGACCATAGAGTTAAAAACTATCACTGTTATCGCTGTTTATTTTACAATACTTGGTTTAGTCTACAAGTTTAAGGCAAACATACTAATGCATTTGCTTTTCTTCAGAAATCATACTTATAAAGATTACATAAAATCTGTCCCAAAACGTCTAAGAAATATTCAGTAATTAAAAATAAGTCTGATTAAGATGCTTTACCAGGATACATGAATGAACTAAGGTGGTATATGCTTTTAAAAACAAAATTTAAAAAATTCAAAAAAGGCAATCTTTATCTTGTTTCAACAATGCATTCTGAAAAGGTTAAATTTCAGAAATTATTTAAAGGTAAATAAGAGTGGCAGCCATAAGGAATACTATTTATAAAATAAACAGAGTTATAGAGGCTACTTTAAAGAAGAATGAACTTTGGACTTCTGAGTATGACGAGTGCACGATGATGGACCACTGTCATGGGGAACACAGTGCGGCATCACGGCACACAGACTGGCATCGCCTGGGCGTGCGCTGCTCCATGTTTCTCAGAAAAAGAGGAGTTGATGCACTTTTTCAGCTGCTTTTTGTTTGTTTCCAGTGAGCATAAATGCTTAACATCATTAAGAAAACAAAAATAAAATTTGAAGGAAGGCAGCCCTTTTTAACAGGAAGGCGGAGTGTGGCTTATGTGTCTCCATTTAACACTGCCAGGCAGTTCTGCAGCAACTGTAGATTACCCTAAAAAAGGAAGAAAAAATAAATTACAAATTTTATTTCAAACAATTCAGAAGACTCCTACTGAAAATACAGTTAGAAACGACATAAAATATAGTGTTAGAAGCCGGGCGCGGTGGCTCATGCCTGTAATCCCAGCACTCTGGGAGGCCGAGGCGGGTGGATCACGAGGTCAGGAGATCGAGACCATCCTGGCTAACACAGTGAAACCCCATCTCTACTAAAAAATACAAAAAATTAGCCGGGCGTGGTGGTTGGCACCTGTAGTCCCAGCTACTCGGTATGCTGAGGCAAGAGAATGGCATGAACCCGGGAAGCGGAGCTTGCAGTGAGCAGAGATCGCGCCACTGCACTCCACCCTGGGCGAAAGAGTGAGACTGCGTCTCAAAAAAAAAAAAATAAGAAAAAAAAAATATAGTGTTAGAAGTCATATGACTTTATCGATATATTAGAAATTTTAAAACAGCCATTCATTATATACACATAAAGGTTTAAATACATAAAATTACATGATTTGTTTCACATACAATAATACTTTCTACATACCAGATTCTTCAGTAAATTTTTTTTCTTTTTTTTTTTCTGAGATGGAGTATCACTCTGTTGCCCAGACTGGAGTGCAATGGCACCATCTCAGGTCACTGTAACCTCCGCCTCCTGGGTTCAAGTAATTCTCCTGCGTCAGCCTCCCCAGTAGCTGGGATTACAGGTGTCTGCCACCATGCTCAGCTAATTTTTGTATTTTTAGTAGAGACGGGGTTTTGCCATGTTGGCCAGGCTGGTTTTGAACTCCTGATCTCAGGTGATCCGCCTACCTCAGCCTCCCAAAGTGCTGTGATTACAGGCGTGAGCCACTGCGCTGGCCTTTGTTTTGAGACAGAGTCTTGCTTTGTCACCCAGACTAAAGTGCAGTGGCATGATCTTGGCTCAGTGCAACCTCTGCCTCCCGGGTTCAAGCGATCCTTCTGGCTCAGCCTGCTGAGTAGCTGAGATTACAGGCGCGTGCCACCACGCTGGCTAATTTTTTGTATTTTTAGTAGAGACGGGGTTACACTATGTTGGCCAGGCTGGTCTTGAACCCCTGACCTCAGGTGATCTGCCCGCCTTGGCCTCCCAAAGTGCTGGGATTACAGGGGTGAGCCATGGCACCCAGCCTTCACTGTAGGATATTTAACAGCATCCTTGGCCCACCATGTACTGGTAGTAACCATAGAACACCCAGTTGTGATAACCACAAATGTCTCCAGATATTGCAAAATGTCCTCTGGGGGGCAGAATCACCTCTGGTTGAGTACTACTGTTAATAGAACAGTTATCAGAAATCTAAATACAGAGAACTCAGGTCAGAAAGAACTTGAAAAAGTATAGAATCTGGCCAGGCGCGGTGGTTCACGCCTGCAATCCCAGCACTCTGGGAAGCCGAGGTAGGCGGATCACCTGAGGTCAGCAGTTTGAGACCCGCCTGGCCAACATGGTGAAACCCTATCTCTACTAAAAATACAAAAATTAGCTGGGCGTGGTGGTGTGCACCTGTGTCCCAGCTATTCGAGAGGCTGAGGCAGGAGAATTGCTTGAACCCGGGAGGCAGAGGTTGCAGTGAGCTGAGATCACGCCACTGCACTCCAGCCTGGGGCAAAAAGAGTGAAACTAAGTATCAAAAAAAAAAAAAAAAGTATAGAATCTGGAAACTGGACACTGACATCAATCTCTAGAAGGACTCAGCAAACTTTTTGTGTAAAAGGCTAAATAATAAGTATTTTAGGCTGTTTCAACAACTCCATTATGCTACTACATAAAAGCAGCCACAAGCATAAATGAATGAACTTGGCTGCGTTCCAATAAAATTTTACTTACGGATACTTAAATCTGAATTTCATAATTAATACATTTAATACATGTCATGACTTTTTTTTTTTTTTTTTGGAGAAGGAGTCTTGCTCTGTCACCCAGGCTGGACTGCAGTGGCATGATCTCAGCTCGCTGCAAGCTCTGTCTCCCGGGTTCACGCCATTCTCCTGCCTCAGCTTCCCGAGTAGCTGGGACTACAGGCGCCCGCCACCACGCCCGGCTAATTTTTTGTATTTTTAGTAGAGACGGGGTTTCACCGTGGTAGCCAGGATGGTCTCGATCTCCTGACCTCGTGATCTGCCCGCCTTGGCCTCCCAAAGTGCTGGGATTACAGGCGTGAGCCACCGCGCCCGGCTGACATATTCTACCTTAAAGAAAAAAAAAACCCAACCATTTAAAAATGGGAACACCATTCCCTCCTCACAGACTACAAAAGCAGGTGGGCTGTAGTTTACCAACCCCTGATCTACAGCAAAACTTTTGGTAGTTCATGACCTCTTTGTTTTTATTTTTAGACACAGAATCTCACTCTGTCGCCCAAGCTGGAGTGCAGTGGCGCAATCTTGGCTCACGGCAACCTCCGCCTCCCGGGTTCGAGCGATCGTCTCGCCTCAGCCTCCGGAGAAGCTGGGATTACAGGCGTGCACCACTATGCCTGGCTGATTTTTTTTTTTTCTTTTTTATTTTGAGACGGAGTCTCACTCTGTCTCCCAGGCTGGAGTGCAGTGACGCAATCTTGGCTCACTGCAAGCTCCGCCTCCCGGGTTCATGCCATTCTCCTGCCTCAGCCTCCTGAGTAGCTGGGACCACAGGCGCCCGCCACCATGCCTGGTTAATTTTTTGTATTTTTAGTAGAGATGGGGTTCCACCGTGTTAGCCAGGATGGCCTCGATCTCCTGACCTCGTGATCCACCCGCCTCGGCCTCCCAAAGTGCTGGGATTACAGGCGTGAGCCACCACGCCTGGCTGATTTTTGTATTTTTAGTAGAGGACAGGGTTTCACCATGTTGGCTTGCGGTCTCGAACTCCTGACCTCAAGGGCTGGGATTAAAGGCATGAGCCACTGTGCCCAGCCTCTCTTTAAAAAAAAAGAAAAACAATGAACATTAGAAACCAGCTCAGGCTCAGTAAGAGTAATAATGTCAAACTTATCAAAACATTTTGACAGGGTTATTAGACCAAGAAATCAAAAAACAAAAACAGCAAATGTTAAATAAATTTTTCTTTTTGGCATCCAGGCTGCACTGCAGTGGCACAATCTTGGCTCACGCAGCCTCTGCCTCCTGGGTTTAAGCAACTGTCCTGCCTCAGCCTCCCAAGTAGCTGGGATTACAGGCGCCCACCACCACGCCCAGCTAATTTTTATATTTTTAGTAGAGATGAGGTTTCACCATGTTGGCCAGGCTGGTCTTGAACACCTGACCTCAGATAATCCACCCGGTCTTGGCCTCCCAAAGTGTTGGGATTACAGGCGTGAGCCACCGCACCCAGCCTAATTTTTAAATGTTTTTATTAAGAAAGACTTTTTAAAAAACAACTAGTCAAAAAATGATACTGGTTTCCATATTAGGTATTAGATTCTTTCAGAGCTGACCATTGGAGACGTTATAGATATTATTTTTACTTTAATTAAATAATCTTTAAAATCCCTCTCAATTCTAAGATTCTCTATTCTTAAAATTACTATAAGGTTTAGGCCAAACTTTCTATTAACTACAAGAAGAGGCTTAATTCAAAGTAAACAACTAACGTGAAAAAAGACCAGAGGGCCAGGCATGGTGGCATACACCTGTAATCCCAGCTACTCGGGAGGCTGAGGCAGGAGGATTAACTGAGCCCAGGAGTTTGATGCTATCCTGGACAACACAGCAAGACTCCAGCTCTAAAACATAATTAAATAAATACATTTTCAAAAAACCTGGCCGGGCATGGTGGCTGATGCCTGTAATCTCAGCACTACGGGAGGCCGAGGCAGGTGTATCACCTCATGTCAGGAGTTCGAGACCAGTCTGGCTAACATGGTGAAAACCCTGTCTCTACTAAAAATACAAAAATTAGCTGGGTGTGGTGGCACGCACCTGTAGTCCTAGCTACTCGGGAGGCTGAGGCAGAAGAGTTGCTTGAACCTGGGAAGCAGAGGTTGCGGAGGTCTCAAAACAAAACAAAACAAAAAAGCCCCAGACTAGCCGGGTACGGTGGCTCGTGTCTGTAATCTCAGCACTTTGGGAGGCTGAGGCAGGAGGATCATTTGAGGACGGGATTTCGAGATAAGCCTGACCAACATGGTGAAACCCTGTCTCTACTAAAAATACAAAAATTACCCAGGTGTGGTGGCACATACCTGTAATCCCAGCTACTAAGGAGGCTGAGGCGTGAGAATCGCTTGAACCCGGGAAGCAGAGGTTGCAGTGAACTGAGATCATTGCCACTGCACTCCAGCCTGGGCAATAGCGCCAGACTCTGTCTCAAAAAAACAAAACAAAACAAAAAACCCAGACCAACTATTTTGAAGCAGTGAAATAATCTTGGAAAATGTAATTCCAGTTCAGGAATAGTTGTCACAGTATCCCTATGAGAACTGACATTAAAGAATTATCAATGTCATAACTGATTCATTTCTATATTACATGTAACTTAAATTATTAAATCTTTATTACAACACTACCTTTGCATGCTTCAGTTCTAACTCTGCCAGTTCCACTAAATTTTTTCTGAATGCAGCAACTCTTCTTGTCTTAAAATCTATAAGTTCTGTGAAAAAGAAATTAGGATTATTTAATTTACATAATAGTCATAAAGCATATCTTGTGATTAAAGGTTAACGTAACAGTACCTTGTTTTGCAGACTCAGATATTTTTTCAAATTTCTGACAACATAATTGTTGGGAAGTTTCGGCCTGTAGAACATCTTTATTTTTTGCTCTTGCTTTATCCAGTGCTTTATTAGCATTTTCATAATCCACTAGTGACCTAGACCTTCGATACAGGAGATCCTATAAAACAGAATGCTTCACAATAGTATATATACTGCATGTTTCCAGTAGTCACACCCAGCCACCACTGTCACCACCACCACAACCATCAGAGCTAACACATAGTGAATACTACATGCCAGTTACTCCAATTTTTTTTTTTTTTTTTGAGGTGGAGTTTTGCTCTTGTGGCCCAGGCTGGAATGCAATGGCGTGATCTTGGCTCACCGCAACCTCTGAATTTTTTTTTTTTTTTTAAGACGGATTCTCGCTCTGTCACCAGGCTGGAGTGCAGTGGCGCGATCTCAGCTCACTGCAACCTCCACCTCGCAGATTCAAGCAATTCTCCTGCCTCAGTCTCCCGAGTAGCTGAGACTACAGGTGCACGCCACCACGCCTGGCTAATTTTTGTAGTTTTAGTAGAGATGGGGTTTCACCACGTTAGCCAGGATGGTCTCGATCTCTTGACCTCGTGATCCACCCGCCTCGGCCTCCCAAAGTTATTCTAATATTTAAAGATTTTTGTAGAGACGGGGCCTCACTATGTTGCCCAGGCAGGTCTCAAACTCCTGGCCTCAAAGTGATCCCCCTATTTCAGCCTGCTAAAGTGGATTACAAGCGTGAGCCACTGCACTCAGCCTGTTTTTTTTTTTTTTTTAACGAATGAGGCAATTTATTAACCCAGCATGGTTTGTTCTAATGCTTCTTGTTGGCAACTGCCACCTGTCCAGCGATTCTGTCCAGATCTCTCTGTCCCTGACGTGTCAGTTTGCGGCCCCCATCTTGGTCCTTTTCCACCATTTTTAGCCCCTCCAGGGCTTGGAGGACCCGGTGGGCCACATTCTTGGAGCCTCGGCTAAAGTGGCCAGGCATGCCGCCACTTCTCTGACATCCCCCATAGATCTTGGTCATGGAGCCAACCCCAGCGCCACCCCAGAGGTACAGGTGCCACGCTGTGGAAGCAGCTCGCGTGTACAACCAGTTCTCATCGTAGGGAGCAAGCTCTTTGTGCTTGGCCAGCAGCTTGACGGTGTCCACCCATTCGGGGACTTTCAGCTTCCCAGACTTTCTGAGGAAGGCTGCCAGAGCTCTGATGAACTCCTGCTGGTTCACATCTTTTACAGTAACTCCAGGCATCATGCGGCCCGGCCTGTGCACTGCCAGCCAGGGGAAAGGGCTCAGTCCGTTTTTTTAAGTAACAGCTTGATAGTCCATGTACCACATAACTCACAATTTAAAATATGTAATTCAATGGTTTTTAGCAAGCTCACAGAACTGAGGATCACCATAATCGATTTTAGAACACTTTCATCACCCAAAAAGAAACCCCATGCCCATTAACAGCCACTTGCCATTTCCCCATGTGTGCCCATATCCCTAGACGACTGCTAATTTGCTGCCTACTACAGATTTGCCTATTCTGGACATGTTTTTTTTTTTTGTTTTTTGTTTTGAGATGGAGTCTCACTCTGTTGCTTAGGCTGGAGTGCGGTGGTGTGAACTCGGCTCACTACAACCTCCACCTCCCGGTTCAAGTGATTCTCCTGCCTCAGCCTCCTGAGTAGCTGGGACTACAGGCGTGTGCCACCAAGCCTGGCTAATTTTTGTACTTTTAGTAGAGATGGGGATTCACCTATTCTGGACATTTCATAAAAATGGAATAGTGTGATTTTTGTGCCTAGCTTCTGCCACTTAGCATGTTTCAAGTTCATCTATGTTGTAGCACAAATCAATATTTCACTCCTTTCTACTGCTGAGTAGTATTTCACTGTATGGTTATATCACATTAATTCATCAGTTGATAGGCATTTGGTTTATTACCACTTTTTGGATATAATTAATAATGCTGCTGTGAACATTTGCATACAAGTGTTTATGTGGACATGGTTTCATTTCTCACTATTAAGGAATGAAATCACTGAGTCATATGGTAACTCTACATCAAACCTTTGAGTAACTGCCATATGGTTTTCCATAGTGGCTGAACATTTTACATTCCTACCAACACCATATGAGAGTTCAAATTTTGTCACTCACATCCTTGCCAACACTTATTTTGTTTTTTTGGGGTTTTTTTTTTTGTTTCATTTTTGGAGATGGAGTTTCGCTGTTTTTGCCCAGGCTGGAGTGCAATGGCGCGATCTCAGCTCACCGCAACCTCTGCCTCCTGGGTTCAAGCAATTCTCCTGCCTCAGCCTCCAGAGTACCTTGAGATTACAGGCATGTGCCACCACGCCTGGCTAATTTTGTATTTTTAGTAGAGACAGGGTTTCTCCATGGTCATGCTGGTCTTGAACTCCCGACCTCAAGTAATCTGCCCACCTCTGCCTCCCAAAGTGCTGGGATTACAGGTGTGAGCCACTGTGCCTGGTCTTACCAGCTTTTTTTTTTTTTAAATGAAGGCCACCTTGTGGGTATAAAGTGATATCTCACATTTTTTTTTTCCTGAGACTGAGTCGTGCTCTGTCATCCAGGCTGGAGTGCAGTGGTGCGATCTCGGCTCAGGGCAACCTCTGCTTCCCAGATTCAAGCAATTCTCCACCTCAGCCTCCCAAGTAGCTGGGATTACAGGTGCCTGCCACCATACCTGGCTAATTTTTTTGTATTGTTAGTAGAGACAGGGTTTCACCATGTTGGCCAGGCTGGTCTTGAACTCTCAACCTCGTGATCCACCTGCCTCAGCCTCCCAAAATGCTGGGATTACGGGTGTGAGCCACCGCACCTGGCCTTCTCTTTTTTTTTTTTTTTTGAGATGGAGTCTCACTGTGTCGCCCAGGCTGGAGTGCAGTGGTGCAATCTTGGTTCACTGCAAGTTCTGCCTCCCGGGTTCATGCCATTCTCCTGCCTCAGCCTCCCGAGTAGCTGGGACTACAGGCGCCCACCACCACGCCCGGCTAATTTTTTTGTATTTTAGTAGAGATGGGGTTTCACTGTGTTAGCCAGAATGGTCTCGATCTCCTGACCTCGTGATCCGGCCCCCTTGGCTTCCCAAAGTACTGGGATTACAGACGTCAGCCACCGCACCTGGCCCCAGCCTTCTCTTTTTATTAAGAGTTCTTCATATATTCTGAGAATATAAATTGTGTTACATCCAGACAATGGAATATTATTCAGCACTAAGAAGAAATGAGCTATCAAGCCATGAAAAGACATAGAAGAGGCCAGGTGCAGTGGCTCACGTCTGTAATCCCAGCACTTTGGGAGGCTGAGGCAGGTGGATCACGAGGTCAGGAGATCAAGACCATCCTGGCTAAAACGGTGAAACCCCGTCTGTACTAAAAATACAAAAAATTAGCCGGGCGTGGTGGTGGGCGCCTGCAGTGCCAGCTACTTGGGAGGCTGAGGCAGGAGAATGGCGTGAACATGGGAAATGGAGATTACAGTGAGCCGAGATCATGCCACGGCACTCCAGCCTGGGTGACAGAGTGAGACTCCGTCTCAAAAAAAAACAACAACAAAAAACGGAAAGACACAGAAGAAACTTAAGCGCATGTAACTAAATGCAAGAAGCCCACCTGAAAACACTATATACTACATGATTCCAACTATATAACATTCTAGAAAAAGTAAAACTATGGAGACAGTAAAAAGATCAGTGGCTGCCAGGGATTGGGAGAAAGGAGGATGAAGGGAGAGAGCACAGAGGATTTTTAGGACAACAAAAATACTGTGTATAATATTATAATGGTGGGCACATATCATGCATCCACAGCACATTTCTTTTTATTACTGAGTACTATTCCATTGTATGGCTATATAACAATGTGTTTATCTCATCATCCATTGAATATTTGCGTTGTCAATTTTCAGCTGTTACAAATAAAGCTGCTGTGAACACCTGTATGGACATATGCTTTCATTTCTTTCTTTCCTTCTTTTCAATAGAGATAGGATTGGGCTATGTTGCCAGGCTGGTCTTGAATTCCTGGCCTCCAGAAATCCTTCTGGCTTGGCCTCCCAAAGGATAACAGGGGTGAGCCACCACGCCCAGCCCTGCTTTCATTTCTCTTGGGTAAATACCTAGAAGTGAACTGACTGGATCACTGGATAGTATATTTCGCCTTTTAAGAAACTATGAAGTTTTCCAAGGAAGTGCACCACATTCCTTATATTAACAGTATATGATGGTTTAAGTTGGTATGTATCTTTGCCAGAATTTTTCTCATTTTAGCCATTCTAATTAAGGTGTACAGTGATACCTTGTTGTAGTTTTAATTCTGACAACTAAATTTTAATTATTTCTTAAAGTTACTAAGAAATTGTTATCTATTAACGACCACATTTGGCTGGGAACAGTGGCTCACAACTATAATCCCAACACCTTGGGAGGCCGAGGCGGGTGGATAACTTGAGCCCAGGAGTTTGCAACATAGTGAGACACTTGTCTCTGCAAAAAATTAAAACAAAAAACAACCACATTTGATAATTTAAAGTCTTCAAAAGTGAGTATTTTAGCACTGCCCATCCAATGTAAATAGTTTATAAGATATAATTTGATATGAACAGTGTATTTATAAGTACCTAAGAATTCAAAGTTAAAGGGTTATAGATAATTTAATAAAAATTATCAGCATCAGTGATCAGGTGGGAATTTTGTGTACAATATCTCAATTCACAAATTAACATTGAATTTGCATTATCTGATCCACTAAGTTTTCAGTGCTTTTCAGTTATTTGTGTTTTTTTTGTTTTTTTTTGTTTTTTTTGAGATGGAGTCTCGCTCTGTCCCCCAGGCCGGAGTGCCGTGGCGCGATCTCGGCTCACTGCAAGCTCCGCCTCCTGGGTTCATGCCATTCTCCTGCCTCAGCCTCCCGACTAGCTGGGACTACAGGCACCCACCAGCATGCCCGGCTAATTTTTTGTATTTTTTTAGTAGAGACGGGGTTTCACTGTGTTAGCCAGGATGGTCTTGATCTCCTGACCTCGTGATCCACCCGCCTAAGCCTCCCAAAGTGCTGGGATTACAGGTGTGAGCCACCGCACCTGGCCTCGTGTTAACTTTTTTAAAAGACAAGGTCTTACTCTGTTGTCCAGGCAACAGTATACAGTGGCAATCACGGCTCACTGCAGCTTTGAACTCCTGGGCTCAAGCAATCCTCCTGTGTCAGCCTCCCCTGGGACTACGGGAACACACCACCATGGCCTAGCTAATTTTCAAAATATTTTGTAGACATAGAATGTCATTTTGTTGCCTAGGCTGGTCTTGAACTCCTGGCCTCATGTGATTTTCCCACACTGGCCTCCCTAAGTGTTGGGATCACAGGCATAAGTCACAGTACCCAGCCAAAAAAACTTTTTGAGGCCAGGCGGGATGGTTCACGCCTGTAATCCTAGCACATTGGGAGGCTGAGGCTGGTGGATCACTTAAGGTAAGGAGTTCGAGACCAGCTTGGCCAACATGGTGAAACCCCGTATCTACTAAAAATACAAAAATTATCCAGGCATGGTGGCAAGTGCCTGTAGTCCCAGCTACTCAGGACGCGGAGGCAGGAGAATGGCTTGAACCCAGCAGGCAGAGGTTGCCATAACCCAAGATCATGCCACTGCACTCCAGCCTGGGCAACAGGGCGAGACTCTGCCTTAAAAAAAAAACAAATTGTTTTTGGTTAGTGTTTTAGTCTTGCACACAGCTTTTTTTTTTTAATTAATTAATTTATTTTTTTCGAGACGGAGTCTCGCTTTGTCGCCCAGGCTGGAATGCAATGGCGCGGTCTCGGCTCACTGCTACCTACCTCCCTCTCCTGGGTTCAAACAATTCTCCTGCCTCAGCCTCTGGAGTAGCTGTGATTACAGGTGCCTGCTACCATGCCTGGCTAATTTTTGTATTTTTAGTAGAGACGGGGTTTCACTATGTTGGCCAGGCTGCTCTCGAACTGCTGACCTTGTGATCCACCCTCCTCAGCCTCTCAAAGTGCTGGGATTACAGGCATGAGCCACTGCGCCCAGGAGCACATGGCCTTTTAAAAGGAAACATGAGTTGCCTTATAAAAAAGCGTATTTTTGTTTTATGGCACTCTCATGCTCAATGGAGGACTTGCATAGACCAAATAGAAATCCTTTTGCGGCCGGGTGTGGTAGCTCATGCCTGTAATCCCAGCACTTTGGGAGGCCGAGGTGGGGGGATCACGGGGTCAGGAGTTCGAGACCAGCCTGGCCAATATGGTGAAACTCCATCTCTACTAAAAATACAAAAATTAGCCAGGCGCGGTGGCGGGCACCTGTAATCCCAGCTACTTGGGAGGCTGAGGCAGGAGAATCACTTGAAGCCGGGAGGCGGAGGTTGCAGTGAGCTGCAATCATGCCACTGCACTCCAGCTTGGGTAACAGAGCTAGAGTCCACCTCAAAAAAAAAAAAAAGAGAAAAAAAGAAATCCTTTCGCAGTATGTGGCTCATGCCTGTTAATTCCAGCACTTTGGGAGGCCAAGGCATGCAGATCACCTGAGGTCAGGAGTTCGAGACCAGCCTGGCCAACATAGGGAAATCCCGCCTCTACTAAAAATACGAAAACTAGCTGGGTGTGGTGGCACAAGCCTGTAATCCCAGCTACTCAGGAGGCTGAGGCAGGAAAACCGCTTGAACCCAGAAGGAAGAGGTTACAGTTGGGTGACAGAGTGAGACTCCATCTCAAAAAAAAAAAAAAAAAAAAAAAGAAAGAAATCCTTTAGCAATACAACTGTTATTCCAGGGTTTTGTTTTCCAAGACATTTTACCTGAAGAAATATACCAAATTCATTTTTTTTTTAAGACGGAGTTGGGGTTTCTCCATGTTGATCAGGCTGGTCTCGAACTCCCAAACTCAGGTGATCCACCCGCCTCGGCCTCCCAAAGTGCTGGGATTACAGGCGTAAGCCACTGCGCCCGGCCAGCTCCTGCTTTTTTCTTTTTCTTTGTTTTTATTTATTATTATTATTTTTTGAGACAGAGTTTCACTCTTGTTGCCCAGGCTGCAGTGCAATGGCGTGATATCTGCTCACTGCAACCTCCACCTCCTGCGTTCAAGCAATTCTCCTGCCTCAGCCTCCCAAGTAGCTGGGACTACAGGCGCCCACCACCATGCCCGGCTAATTTTTGTATTTTTAGTAGAGATGGGGTTTCACCATGTTGGCCAGGGTGGTCTCGAACTCCTGATCTCAGGTGATCCACCACCTCAGCCTCCCAAAGTGCTGATTAATTAGAGGCATGAGCCACCACCCCTGGCCTCAATTTTTTTTTTTTTTTTTTTGAGACAGAGTTTCGCTCCTGTTGCCCAGGCTGGAGTGCAATGGCACGCGATCTCAGCTCACTGCAACCTCTGCCTCCCGGGTTCAAGTGATTCTCCCACCTCAGCCTCCCAAGTAGCTGGGATTACAGGCACCCGCCACCATGCCAGCTAATTTTTGTATTTTTAGTAGAGACAGGGTTTCATCATGCTAGCCAGGCTGGTCTTGAACTCCTGACGTCAGGTGATCCTCTGGCCTCGGCCTCCCCAAGTGTTGGGATTACAGGCGTGAGCCACCACACCTGACCACAAATTCATTTTTTTAAAGTTCTAGATTATATCAGAAGTATAATAAAGAGGAAACTTTTATGTAGGGTTTCCCACATGAAATATGTACAATTATACACATATATACAATTTCTAAAAGGAGAAATAGAATTCATATTTGAAAATATAATTTAAAATCATATAAAGGAGATAAATCATCATTAACAATCTGAAGTCTAACAAACTCAAGAAATGGCTGTTTGTAAAATGGCTCATTTAAAAAAAGATTAAAATTACCTTAGCAGCTTGAGATTCTCTTAAGTAATATTTTAAAAGATCAGAAAGTTTGAGGTCTTCATCAGCAGACACTCGTGCTTCTATTTTCTGAAAAGAAGGAAAAAATTGAATATTTAATCAACAACTACATTCTCCTCTCAGTGGTTTCCTTCTTTTTGTTGTTGTTGTTTTTTTGTTTTTTTTTTTGAGACGGAGTCTTGCTCTGTCACCCAGGCTGGAGTGCAGTGGCGCTATCTTGGCTCACTGCAAGCTCCGCCTCCTGGGTTCACGCCATTCTCCTGCCTCAGCCTCCCGAGCAGCTGGGACTACAGGCGCCCGCCACCACGCCCGGCTATTTTTTTTGTATTTTTTAGTAGAGACGGGGTTTCACCATGTTAGCCAGGATGGTCTCAATCTCCTGACCTCGTGATCTGCCCGCCTCAGCCTCTCAAAGTGTTGGGATTACAGGCGTGAGCCACCGCGCCCGGCCTCGTTTCCTTCTTAATTACTTAATTTCCTACTTAATTTTAACTATTATTATAGTTTAAAAAATTGAAGTTTTAACTATAGTATCCATTCCTATTTTATTGAGCTTTCCTTCCCTTTTTGCTTCTACCAGCCTGTTACTTTTCTTTGCAACTCTCACATAAAATGAACAGAAAAAAGATCAAATGAGACTCGTGAGTTTATGGAAGGACACCATATATATATATATATATTTTTTTTTTTTTTGAGACAGAGTCTTACTCTGTCACCCAGGCTGGAATGCAGTGGCGCAATCTCGGCTCACTGCAACCTCTGCTTCCCAGGTTCAAGCAATTCTCCTGCCGCAGCCTCCCGAGTAGCTGGAATTACAGGCATGCACTGCCACGCCTGGCTAACTTTTGTATTTTTAGTAGAGGTGGGGTTTCACTATGTTGGCCAGGCTGGTCTCAAACTCCTGACCTCAAATGATCCTCCTGCCTCAGCCTTCCAAAGTGCTGGGATTACAGGTGTGAACCACCATGCCCAGTCAGACTCTATAATGAGTTTCAATATGATCTTTTACCTTCATTAATATTTTCTCAGGCTGGGTATGGTGGCTCATGCCTGTATTCCTGGCACTTTGGGAGGCCGAGGCGGGCGGATCATGAGGTCGGGAGTTCGAGACCAGCCTGACCAACATGGTGAAACCCCGTCTCTACTAAAAATACAAAAATTAGCCAGGCATGGTGGTGCATGCCTGTAATCCCAGCTACTCAGAAGGCTGAGGTTGCAGTGAGCCAAGATTGAGCCACTACATTCCAGCCTGGGTGACAGAGCGAGAGACTGTCTCAAAAAACAAAAAACAAAACAAAAAAAAACTTTCTAGGTATTTCTTTCTTTTCCAGACGAAGTCTTGCTCTGTTGCCAGGCTGGAGTACAGTGGCATGATCTCAGCTCCCTACAACCTCGGCCTCCTGGGTTCAAGCGATTCTCCTGCCTCAGCCTCCCTAGTAGCTGGGATTACAGGTGCACGTCACCAAGCTTGGCTAATTTTTTTGTATTTTTTTTTAGTAGAGACGGGGTTTTGTCTTGTTAGCCAGGCTGGTCTCGAACTCCTGACCTCAGGTGACCCACCCACCTCAGCCTCCCAAAGTGCTGGGATTACAGATGTGAGCCGCTGTGCCCAGCCTCTATTCATTTCAATTGTAATTGATATGTACACACAATTTTAAAGGAATGAAGGCTTGCAATGGTAGACTAGGTAATTCAATCTAATCCTCCTGCTGAAGACAGCTAGAAAATGCAGTCAAAGCTTTAGTAAAATGTGCCTGAAGACACCACAGAGTAATAACCAGAAGTGGTATGTTTGAGGTGAGATGGAAGGGGAAGTAGCCAGGTCAGACTAAAAAGATAGCTCTTCAGTATGACGGGACAGAGGATGAAAAGAAATTTATTATATCAACCAAATGCAATATATGGGACCTTGTTTGTATCCTGACTCAAACAAGCTATACTATAATAAAAAGCCATTTATGAGACAATTGGGAAAATGTACATACTGGATATTTGATGACATTAAGGGAGAATCATTAGTAACAGTATTGACTATATTAAAAATAATTCTTATACTAAAAAAAGAGATAGGTATGCATAAAGGACACAGAATGAAGACAGACTTTTTGGAATGTAAGAACTTTAAGCAATGTAGAAAATGTTAATATTGGCCAGGTGCAGTGGCTCACATCTGTAATCCCAGCACTACGGGAGGACAAGGCAGGTGGATCATTTGAGGTCAGGAGTTCGAGACCAGCCTGGCCAACATGGTGAAACCCCACCCCCCCGTCTCTACATAAAAATTAGCTAGGAGTGGCAGCAATGCCTGTAATCCCAGGTACTTGGGAGGCTGAGGCATGAGACTCACTTGAGCCCAGGAGGCAAAGGTTGCAGTGAGCCAAGATCGTTCCACTGCACTCCAGCTTGGGTGACAGAGCAAGACTCTGTCTCAAAACAAACAAACAAACAAAAATACAAAAGGGAAAATGTTAATATTCAGAAACCTGGATGATGCATTACAGGGATTCTTGTACTATTTTCTGCAACTTTTCTGTAAGTCTGAAATTACCGCCAAAATAAAAAATTAAAGTAAGGCTGGCACCTTAATAAGGCTCATGCCTGTAATCCTAGCATTTTGGGAGGCTGAGGTGGGTGGAATACTTGAGGTCAGGAGTTCGAGGCCAGCCTGGCCAACATGGTGAAACCCATCTCTACTAAAGTACAAAAATTAGTTGGGCATGGTGATGTGTGCCTGTAATCCCAGCTACTTGGGAGGCTGAGGCAGGAGAATCACTTGAACCCGGGATGTGGAGGTTGCAGTGAATCAAGATGATGCCACTGCATTCCAGCCTGGGTGACAGAGTGAGATCTGTCTCAAAAAGAAAAAAAAAAAAAAAAAGTTAAGGGGCCAGGTGCGGTGGCTCATGCCTGTAATCCCAGCACTTTGGGAGGCCAAGGTGAGCGGATCACGAGGTCAAGAGATCAAGACCGCCCTGGCCAACATGGTGAAACCCCATCTCTACTAAAAATACAAAAATTAGCTGGGCATGGAGGCGTGCACCTGTAGTCCCAGCTACTCGGGAGGCTGAGGCAGGCGAATTGCTTGAACCTGGGAGGCGGAGGTTTCAGTGAGCCAAGATCGCGCCACTGCACTCCAGCCTGGCGACAGAGCGAGACTTCATCTCAAAAAAAAAAAAAAAAAAAAAAAAAAAAAGGTTAAACTAAAACAACTATACACCTACCAGAATGACAAAAATTATAAAGGTAAAATACTAAGTTTTAACAAGCTTGTAGAACAACCTAAATGCTCATACTCATTCTTGTGGGCATGCAAATTGGTACAATCATTATGGGAAAGTTTTGCAGTTTCTGCTGAAGCTTTTCACGTGGTTATCATATGATCCATCAATTCCCCTCCTAGTTATATATACCCAACAGAATTGTATACTTGTGTTCAGAAGATAAACAATAATCTTAGCAGTATTGTTATAAAGAAGCCCAAACTAGAAACTATCCAAATGCCTATCAACAGCAGAACAGATAAACAAATTAATAAAATACTATACCGCAAGAAGAATAAAGGAACCAAGCCAGGTGGCTCATGCCTGTAATCCCAATGCTTTGAAGGGTGAGGCAGGAATATCAAAAGAGGCCAGGAGTTCAAGACCAGCCTGAGCAATGTAGTGAGACTCCCTCTCTACAAAAATTAGCCAGGCATGGTAACACACATCTGTAGTCCTAACTACTTGGGAGGCTGAGGCAAGAGGATGCTTGAGCTCAAGAGTTTGAGGCTACAATGAGTTATGATCATGCAACTGCACTCCCGCCTGGCCGACAGAGTGAGACCCCGTCTCTAAAACAAAAAGAATAAAGGAACTACATCTATGTGCAACAACATGGTTTAATCCTATGAATAT
Source organism: Homo sapiens (assembly GCF_000001405.40). Taxonomy (NCBI): domain Eukaryota; kingdom Metazoa; phylum Chordata; class Mammalia; order Primates; family Hominidae; genus Homo; species Homo sapiens. Next base: position 34,579,670 of record NC_000014.9, read on the forward strand.
AATGTTGAGTACAAGAAACAGACATAAAAGAATATAAGCCGGGCTCAGTGGCTCACACCTATAATTCCAGCACTTTGCGAGGCTGAGGCAGAATGACTGCCTGAGGCCAGGAGTTTCAGACCAGCCTGGGCAACATAGCAAGACCCTGTCTCTACCAAAAAAAAAAAAAAGAAAGAAAAATAATACATGTTGCACATGCATTTATATTATATATAAAAATAAAAAAGGGGCTGGGCCGAGCACAGTGGCTCATGCCTGTAATTCCAGCACTTTGGGAGGCCGAGGCAGGCAGATCACTTGACATCAGGACTTTGAGACTAGCCTAGCCAACATGGTGAAACCCCATCTCTACTAAAAATACAAAAATTAGCCTGGCGTGGTGGCACATGCCTGTAATCTCAGCTACTCAGGAGGCAAGAGAATCGCTTGAACCTGGGAGGCGAAGGATGCAATGAGCCGAGATCGTGCCACTGCACTCCAGCCTCCGGCCTGGGTGAAAGAGCAAGACTCCGTCTCAAAAACAAACAAACAAACAAAAAACAAAACAAAAAACCCAAATCTCACTGGCAGTGCCTTGAAAGGCAGCTGAGGAGATGAGGAGGAGACAGGGCATCTGGGTTGCTGGTAATTTTCTATTCATTTTCTTTCTTTCTTTGATACAGGGTCTCTGTCACCCAGGCTGGAGTACACTGGCACAATCATAACTCACTATAACCTTGACCTCCTGGGCTCAAGAATCTTCCTGCCTCAGCCTCCCAAGTAGTTAGGACTACAGTTGTGCGCCACCACGCCTGGCTAATTTTTGGTAACTTTTGTAGAGAGGGAGTCTTGCTACATTGCCCAAGCTGGTCGAACTCCTGGCCTCTACTGATCCTCCCACCTCACCCTTCAATGTATGGCATTATGGGCGTGACCCACCTGGCCTGGTTCCTTTATTCTTATTGGTATATAGTATTTAATTAATTTGTTTATCTGTTCCAGGAGGGATTCCATTTTTTTTTTTTTTTAGAGACAGGGTCTCACTCTGTCACCCAGGATGGAGTGCAGATGCACGGTCACAGCTCACTGCAGCCTCAAACTCCTGAGCTCAAGCATCCTCCTGCCTCAGCCTCCCAAGTAGGACTACAGGTTTGCACCACCACACCTAGCTAATTTTTAAACGTTTTGTAGAGGCAGCGTCTTGCTATGTTTTCCCAGGCTGATCTCAAATTCCTGGACTCAAGAGATCCTCCTGCCTCAGCCTCCCAAAGTGCTGGGATTACAAGCGTTAAGTCACTGCACACAGAAGAATATGAACTTTCATACAAATACTTAAAGGCAATAACAAAAAATGGAATTTCCTGAAAAACTCCCAATGGAATCCAAATCTGTTTCATCATCCTTCTGAAGTACACTCATCTTCCTCAATAGAGTTAAACAGAACCATAGCAAGTTAAATATTACCACATGCAGAGATTTAAATCGCCAAACGGTTAACAGTGATTACTCTTTTTATTTTTCTTTGAGACAGAGTCTTGCTCTCTCGCCAGGCTGGAGTGCAGTGGTGCAATCTTGGCTCACTACAACGTTGGCCTCCCGGGTTCAAGCGATTCTTGTGCCTCAGCCTCCCAAGTAGCTGGGACTATAGGCATGCGTCACCACGCCCAACTAATTTTTGTATTTTTAGTAGAGACAGGGTTTCACTATGTTGGCCAGGATGGTCTTGATCTCGTGACCTCGTGATCCGCCCCACTTGGCCTCCCAAAGTGTTGGGATTACAGGCACGAGCCACGTGCCTGGCCAATAGTGATCACTCTTTTAAAAAAATTTTCTGAATTGTGGTAAAAACCTTTAACATGAGCTCTCTCTGGGCACAATATTATGCAGTATATCTCTATAATTTAGTACTTACTCTTGTTTTATCGAACAGTTCTGAAACTTTGAGAAAAAACCTGGAAAGGAAAATATTTTCATCATATTCTACATTCAAAGTAATTTTCCATTTCAAATGTATGAGAATATGCTCCCAAACCATATTAATAACACCTTGTCTCATTGCAGTTATATTCAATAGCCTTATTAACTGCAGACTTCATTTAGTTTGACAAAAATCTCCCTGTACTTCTACCAATAAAACTGATTACTTGAAATCTGTTTACAGATAGACTATCTGTTCATTTGATTTTTGTTTTTTTTTGCGATGGAGTTTCACGCTTGTTGCGCAGAACGGAGTGCAACTGCGCAATCTCAGCTCACTGTAACCTCTGCCTCCCGAGTTCAAGCGATTCTCCAGCCTCAGCCTCCCGAATAGCTGGGACTACAGGCGCCCGCCACCACGCCTAGCTAATTTTTGTATTTTTAGTAGAGTCGGGGTTTTACCATGTTGGCCAGGATGGTCTTGATCTCTTGACCTCGTGATCCGCCCGCCTCGGCCTCCCAAAGTGCTGGGATTACAGGTGTGAGCCACCACGCCCGGCCCTGATTTTTTTTTTTTTTTTTTTGAGTCAGAGTCTGGCTCTGTTGCACAGGCCAGAGTGCAGCGGTGCAACCTCAGCTCACTGCAACCTCTGCCTCCTGGGTTCAAGTGAGTCTCCTGCCTCAGCCTCCTGAGTAGCTGGGATTACAGGCAGCTGCCCCCATGCCTGGCTAACTTTTGTATTTTTAGTAGAAACAAGTTTTCACCTGGTTAAAAATTAGCCAGGTGTGGTGGTGCACACCTGTAGTCCCAGCTATTCGGGAGGCTAAGGTGAAAGGATGGCTTGAGCCCAGGCTCGTCTTGGACTCCTGATCTCAAGTGATCTGCCCGCAGTGGCCTCCCAAACTGCTGAGATTACAGGTGTGAGCCAGAGTGCTGGGCCCCATTTCAAGATGACAGCCTAAGCCATACATTAAACGTGTTTTTGTTGTTGTTGTTGTTATTGAGACTGAATCTCGCTTTCTTGCCCCAGCCGCAGTGCAGTAGCGCCATCTCACTGCAACCTCCACCTCCTGGGTTCAAACGATTCTCCTGCTTCAGCCTCCTAAGTAGCTGGCATTACAGGTGCTCACCAAGCCTGGCTAATTTTTGTATTTTTAGTAGAAATGGGGTTTCGCCATGTTGGCCAGGCTGGTCTCAAACTCCTGGCCTCAAGTGATCTGCCCACCTTGGCCTCCCAAAGTGCTGGGATTACAGGCATGAGTCACTGTGCCCAGCCAACAAAATTTATCTAGATTCATTGTAGCAAATAGGCTGAGGCAAGCAGCTCACTTGAGGCCAGGAGTTTGAGACTAGTCTGGGCAACACAGTGAAACCCTATCTCTACTAAAAATACAAAAAATTAGTGGGGCACGATGGTGCAATCCTGTAATTAAACTACCCTTTAATAGTCTGGTGTTTGGCTGGGTGCGGTGGCTCATGCCTGTAATCCCAGCACTTTGGGAGGCCGAGGTGGGAGGATCATGAGGTCAGGAGATCGAGACCATCCTGGGTAACATGGTGAAACACTGTCTCTACTAAAAATACAAAACAAAATTAGCCTGGCGTGGTGGCACGCGCCTGTAGTCCCAGCTACTTGGGAGGCTGAGGCAGGAGAATGGTGTGAACCCGGGAGGTGGAGCTTGCAGTGAGCCAAGACTGAGCCACTGCACTCCAGCCTGGGCAACAGAGCGAGACTCCGTCTCAAGAACAACTACAAAAAAAATAGTCTGGTGCTGGGATATTTTTTAGTTGGTATCAGCATTTGACAGATAAACTATTTAGTTAAAAGTGAAAATAAATTCTTAAGTAGAAATTGGTTATTCATTTTTTTCTTTTTTTTTTTTTTGAGATGGGCTATCATTCTGTCACCCCGTTCTGGCACAAACCTATGGTCCCAGCTACCCAGGAGGCTGAAGCAAGAGGATTGCTTGAGCACAGGAGTTCAAGGCTGCAGTGCTCTATGACTGCACCTGCGAATAGCTACTGTATGCCAGCCTGAGCCACACAGCAAGATCCACTCTCAAAAAACAAAAAAGGGCACAGGTTCAAGTATTCTGTAAAATATGTAATTAAAATGACATCATAAATGAATTAGGGCAAATACTACTCAAAGCAAAAACAATTTTACGAACTTTGCTTTCACTCAAAAGAACTTGCTTTGACAGATTTACGTTAGAGAACAGATGGCAAGGTTGACTTTTTTCCTTCTTCCTGATAAGAAGAATTAACTCTTTGGGAAGGTGGCTTTTTTTTTTTTTTAAGACGGAGTTTCTCTCTTGTTGCCAAGGCTAGAGTACAATGGCGCAATCTCGGCTCACTGCAACCTCTGCCTCCCAGGTTCAAGCGATTCTCCTGCCTCAGCCTCCTGAGTAGCTGGGATTACAGGCATGCGCCACCACGCCAGGCTAATTTTGTGTTTTTAGTAGAGATGGGGTTTCTCCATGTTGGTCAGGCTGGTCTCCAACTCCTGACCTCAGGTGATTCACCTGCCTTGGCCTCCCAAAGTGCTGGGATTACAGGTGTGAGCCACTGTGCCCGGCTGGTGGCATTTTAATTAGTGTAAGCTATCATACCTTGCTTTGCCAAAAAGCGTGACTTTTAAATATCTGAGACAGAATACACTAGAGAAAAGGTCAAGGATGTGGTTTAGAGAAAGGCATAGACTATGAAAATAGTTTTCCTGCTTAAAAATATGTTTAATTTTTAGTTTTTTTGAAACCAAGTCTTGCTCTGTCGCCCAGGCTGGGGTGCAGTGGTGTGATCTTGGCTCACTGCAATCTCTGCCTCCCAGGTTCAAGTGATTCTCACGCCTCAGCCTCTCAAGTAGCAGGGATTACAGGTGTACACCACCATGTCTAATTTTTGTGTTTTTAGAGAACACGCCACTGCACTCCAGCCTGGGTGACAGAGCAAGACACCGTCTTCCGGGGGGCGGGTGGCAGAATCAATTTCACCTTCAATGAAATACATAAACACATATACATACATACATACATATATATATATTCTAATTCCCAAATGGCAGTTCTTATTTATAAGCTTTATCAAAACTTAAGAACACTCTAACATAAATTCGGTTCTTCCACTCTCTTACACACAAATCAGCCCATTTTCATAAATAAAACACAGTTGGGGAGGAAGAAAAAAAAATATATATAGAGAGAGAGAGTAAAGTCGATTTTTATTTCTCAGATTTAAAAAATAGGACAGAAAGGGAGAAGAAAAAATATCAACCCAAGTTTTTTCTTTTTTCTTTTTTTTTCTGAGATGGAATTTTGCTCTTGTTGCCCAGGCTGGAGTGCAATGCTGTGATCTCGGCTCAACGCAACCTTCGTCTCCTGGGTTTAAGCGATTCTCCTGCCTCAGCCTCCCAAGTAGCTGGGATTACAGACACCTGCCACCACACTTGGCTAATTTTGTATTTTTAGTGGAGACAGGGTTTCTCCATGTTGGTCAGGCTGGTCTCAAACTCCCGACCTGAGGTGTTCTGCCCGCCTCGGCCTCTCAAAGTGCTGAGATTACTGGCGTGAGCCACCATGCCCAGCCCTCAACCCAAGTTTTTAAAGGAGGTCCTTATTATCAATGTGTTTTGACAAAAATATTCCAAAAGTTTTGTATTAGAAGTATTGTTGGCCGGGAGAAGTGGCTCACAGGCTGTAATCCCAGCACTTTGGGAGGCTGAGTCGGGCAGGCCACTTGAAGTCAAGGGCTTGAGACCAGCCTGGCCAATATGGTGAAACCCCATCTCTACTAAAAATACAAGAATTAGCCAGGCATGGTGGCAGGCACCTGTAATCCCAGCTACTTTGGAAGCTGAGGTGGGAGAACTGCTTGAACGTGGAAGGAGAATGTTGCAGAGAGCCATGATCGTGCCACTGCACTCCAGCCTGGGTGACAGAATAAGACCCTGTTTCAAAACAAAAACTAAAACAAAAACCAAAAGTATTGTGTGCATCCAGGCTGCCAATAGAAAATTTTCTCTGCTTTATTTATATTTCATATATATTTTTTGAGATAGTCTTGCTCTGTCACCAGGCTGGAGTGCAGCAGCATGATCTTGGCTCACTGCAACCTCCGCCTCCCGGGTTCAAGTGATTCTTGTGCCTCAGCCTCCCGAGTAGCTAGCTGGGATTACAGGCACACACCACCGACACCTGGGTAATTTTTGTATTTTTTGGTAGAGATAGGGTTTAGCAATGTTGGCCAGGTTGGTCTTGAACTCCGGACCTCAGGTTTTCCACCTCCCAAAGTGCTGGGATTACAGGCATGAGCCACTGTGCCCAGCTATATTTCATGTTTTATTTATTTATTTTTTTTGAGATGGAGTCTCACTCTGTTGCCCAGGCTGGAGTGCAAAGGTGGAATCTCAGCTCACTGCAACCTCTGCCTCCCAGGTTCAAACAATCCCTGCCTCAGCCTCCTGAGTAGCTGGGATTACAGGTGTGTGTCACCCCGCCTGGCTAATTTTTGTATTTTTAGTAGAGACGGGGTTTCACCGTGTTGGTCAGGCTGGTCTTGAACTCCTGACCTCTTAATCCACCCACCTTCGCCTCCCAAAGTGCTGGGATTACAGGCGTGAGCCACCGCGCCCAGCCTATTTCACGTTTTAAATTAGAACACTTACTTGCATATATCTGTAGAATCCTGAGTTCCTAAAGCATATAATGAAGAACCAATTCTATTGTAATCATCTGCAGCACCTATGGAGAAAGTTTTAAGAATTTAGTATACCTATTCATAGATTTAAAAATACTTACTGAGCAATTACCTCTCAAACAATGTGTAATATGAGACACTCTAGTAAAGAAAATAACGCAAGCAACAGGCATGGTGGCTCATGCCTGTAATCCCAACACTTTGGGAGGCTGGGGCAGGCAGATCACCTGAGGTCAGGAGTTTTGAGACCAGCTGGGCCAACATGGTGAAATCCCATCTCTATCAAAAATAAAAAAATCAGCCAGGTGTGGTTGCACATGCCTGTAATCCCAGCTACTCGGGAGGCTGAGGCAGGAGAATCATCTGAACCCAGGACACAGAGGTTGCAGTGAGCCAAGATCACGCCACCGCACTCCAGCCTGGGTGACAGAGCAAGACTCCGTCTCAAACAAAAAAACAAATTGGAGGTCGGGCGCAGTAGCTCATGCCTGTAATCCCAGCACTTTGGGAGGCCGTGGCAGGTGGATCATGAGGTCAGGAGATTAGGATCATCCTGGCTAACACGGTAAAACCCCGTCTCTACTAAAAATACAAAATATTAGCCGGGCATGGTAGTGGGCACCTGTAGTCCCAGCTACTGGAAAGGCTGAGGCAGGAGAATGGCGTGAACCCGGGAGGCGGAGGTTGCAGTGAGCCGAGATCACACCACTGCACTCCAGCCTGGGCAACAGAGCAAGACTCTGTCTCAAAAAAAAAAAAAAAAAAAAAAAAACAACTGGAAAATAAGAAGTATAACTTTCTTCATTAATAGACGTGACATGATCATCTATGTAAAAATCCTAAGGAATCTACAAAATAATTACTAGAACTAATAAGTGAGTTTATTTAGCAAGGTTGCAGGATATAAGATCAATATTGAAAAAAATATGCTGTGTTTCTATGTATTAGCAAAGAACAATTTGAAATTGAAATTTTAAAAAACATAACATGGCCGGGCACGGTGGCTCATGCCTGTAATCCCAGCACTTTGGGAGGCCAAGGCGGGCAGATCATGAGGTTAGGAGATTGAGACCATCCTGGCTAACACGGTGAAACCCCATCTCTACTAAAAATACAAAAGAATTAGCCGAGTGTGGTGGCAGGCACCTGTAGTCCTAGCTACTCGGGAAGCTGTGGCAGGAGAATGGCGTGAACCCGGGAGGTGGAGGTTGCAGTGAGCCAAGATCGTGCCACTGCACTCCAGCCTGGGCGACAGAGCAAGACTCCATCTCAAAAAAAAAAAAAAAAAAAAAAAAAAAAGGGCATCTAAGATTTTGGAGACAAAAATCCTGGGCGATAGAGCTAGACTCCATCTCAAAACAAACAAACAAACAAAATTTATTTATTTGGAGACAGGGTCTCACTCTGTTGCTCAGGCATGAGCACGGTGGCATGATCACGGCTCACTGCAGTCTCAAGCTCCTGGGCTCAAGTGATTCTCCCACCTCAGCCTCCCAAGTAGCTGGGACCACAGGCACATGCCACCACGGTTGGCTAATTTTTTTTTTTTTTTTTTTTTGGCGGGGGAGGGATAAGGCCTGACTCTGCCACCCAGGCTGGAGTGCAGTGGTGGGGTCTTGGCTCACTGCAACCTCCACCACCCGGGTTCAAGTGATTCTCGTGCCTCAGCCTCTCAAGTAGCTGGGACTACAGGGGCATGCCACCATGCCCAGCTAATTTTTGTATTTTTAGTAGAGATGGGGTTTCTTTTTTTTTTTTCTTTTTGAGACAGAGTCTCACTCTGTCACCCAGGCTGGAGTGCAGTGGCACAATCTCAGCTCACTGCAAGCTCTGCATCCCAGGTTCACATCATTCTCCTGCCTCAGCCTCTTGAGTAGCTGGGATTACAGGCGCCCGCCACCACGCCCAGCTAATTTTTTGTATTTTTAGTAGAGACAGGGTTTCACCGTGCTAGCCAGGATGGTATCGATCTCTTGACCTTGTGATCGGCCCGCCTTAGCTTCCCAAAGTGCTGGGATTACAGGTGTGAGTCACTGCGCCCAGCCAGAGATGTGGTTTCATCATGTGGGCGAGGCTGACCTCGAACTCCTGACTTAATGTGATCCCCTTGCCTCAGCATCCCAAAATGCTGGGATTACAGGCATGAGCCAACATACCCGGCCTATTTTTTGCAAAGATTGGGTTTCACCATGTTGCCCAGGCTGGTCTCGAACTCCTGAGCTCAAGCGATCCACCCACCTCAGCCTCCTAAAGTGCTGGAATTACAGGTTTGAGTCACTGTCTCCAGCCTAATAAAACATAAAACTTATAATAGCATAAAAAACCAAATAATCAGGAACCAATCTGACTAAAGATGTATAAGATCTATACAATGAAAACTACAAAACACTGCTGAGATAAATTAACGAAGACCTGAGTCAGTGGAAATATGCTATATTAATGTATCAGAAGGATCAATATTGTTAAGATGCCAGTTCTCTCCAAATTAATCTATAGAATCTACACAATCCCAATCAAAATCCCAGCAGGCCCTTGTGTTGAAAAAGACAGCTGATTCTAAAATTCATATGAAAATATAAAGATTTTAGGGCTGAGGGCAGTGGTTCACACCTGTAATCGCTCCCTCCTTTGGGAGGCTGAGGCAGGTCGATCACATGAGGTCAAGAGTTCAAGACCAGCCTGGCCAACATGGCAAAACTCTGTCTCTACTAAAAATGCAAAAATTAGCCAGGTGTGGTAGCATGCATCTGTAGTCCCAGCTGCTCGGGAGGCTGAGGCACGAGGATTGCCTGAACCTGTGAGGCGGAGGTTGCAGTGAGCCAAGATCACGTCACTGCACTCCAGCCTCCAGTCTTGGTGACAGAGTGAGATTCTGTATCAATAAAAGGAAAAAGAAAATATAAAGATTCTAGGGCTGAGGGCGGTGGCTCACGCCTGTAATCCCAGCACTTTGGGGGCCGAGGTGGGCAGATCACCTGAGGTCAGGAGTTTGAGACCAGCCTGGCCAACATGGTGAAACCCCATCTCTACTAAAAATACAAAAATTAGCCAGGCTTGGTGGTATGTGCCTGTAATCCCAGCTACTCATGAGGCTGAGGCAGAACTGCTTGAACCCAGCAGGTGCAGGTTGCAGTGAGCTGAGATCACGCCACTCACTCCAGCCTGGGCAACAGAATGAGACTCTGTCTCACAAAAACAAAAACACAAAACAAAACAAAAAACAAAGAAAACATAAAGATTCTAAGAAGGGTCAAAAACAACTGTGATAAATAATAAAGTTGGGATTGGGCACAGTGGCTCACGCCTGTAATCCCAGCACTTTGGGAGGCTGAGGTGGGCGGATCACTTCAAACCTGGAGTTCGAGACCAGCCTGGGCAATATGGCAAAACCCCATCTCTAAAAAAAAATACAAAAGATAGCCAGGCATGGTGACACACACCTGTAATCCTATGGGGAAGGTCGAGGCATGAGAATCACTTGAACCCACGAGACGGGGGTGGGGCAGTGAGCCAAGATTGTGCCACTGCCCTCCAGCCTGGATAGACAGAGAGAGACTCTGTCTAGGGAAAAAAAAAAATGGAGTCTGGTGGCTCATGTCAGCCCTTTGGGAGGCCAAGGTGAGAGGACTGCTTGAGTCCAGGAGTTCAAGACCAACCCAAGCAACATAGCAAGACCCTGTCTCTACCCCCTCAGCAGCAACAACAAAAATTAGCCACGCATGGTGGCGCATGCCTGTGGTCCCAGCTACTTGGCAGGCTGAAGTGGAAGGATCGATTGAGGATGCAGTGAGCCATGTTTGCACCAATACACTCATCCTGGGTGACAGAGCGAGACCCTGTCTCAACAACAACAACAAAAAACAACAACAACAAGAATAAAGCTGGGGCCAGGAGCAGTGGCTCATGCCTGTAATCCCAGCACTTTGGGAGGCTGAGGTGGGCAGATTACGAGGTGAGGAGATTGAAACCATCCTGGCTAACACAGTGAAACCCTGTCACTACTAAAAATACAAAAAATTAGCCGGGCGTGGTGGCGGGCACCTGTAGTCCCAGGTTCTCGGGAGGCTGAGGCAGGAGAATGGCGTAAACCCAGGAGGTGGAGCTTGCAGTGAGCCAAGATTCCGCCACTGCACTCCAGCAGCCTGGGCGACAGAGCAAGACTTCGTCTCAAAAAAAAAAAAAAAGAATAAAGCTGAAGGAAGAAGGACACAAGAAAAGATGTTGAACCTCAACAGTCATTAGGACAATACAAATCTAAACCACACTGAGTTACCACCACTGACCTACTTGAATAAAGTTAAAAAGACTTCAAATTCCACTGGGGAAAAAAAAAAGACTGACTATCCTTGTTGGCAAAGATGTGGAGCAACTGGAACTCTCATGCCCTGCTCGTGGGAATGCAAAATGGTACAACCATTGTGGAAAAAAAAATTGGTAGTTTCTTAAAAAGTTAAATATTCATTTACCACATGACTCAGGCATTCTACTTCTAGGTATTACCCAAGAGAAAGAAAGCATGTCCGTACAAAAAGTTATATAGAAATGGCTCACATAAATTGTATCTGTAATAGCCAAAGCTAGAAATAAATAATTGTTGTATATCCATTCAATGGAACACTACTTAGCAACAAAAAGAAATGAACTATCGATATACACAACAACTTGGATGAATCTCAAAATAGTTTTTTGAGTTTCAAAGCCAGACAATAAAGAATACATACTGTATGATTCAATTTATATAAAATACTAAAAAATACAAACTAATCTATAGTGACAGAAAGCAGATCAGTGGCTGCCTGGGGATAGGGCAGGAGGGAGAGATTTCAAAGGGCCACAAGAAAACTTTGGGGGTGATGTGTGTGTTCATTATTTTGATTGTGGTAAGGATTTCACACATGCCAAAACTTACCAAATTGTACACTTTGATTACTGCAGCTTACTGATATCAATTACACTCAACAAAGCTGTTAAAAAAAAAACCCTCACTGGTCTATTTTGCACTTTGAGTGGTTCTTTTACATATATGATTTTGTAGCATTATGCACTTGGCCGTTTAGAAAACATTGGTCCAATGAATTATGCAGATGTTCTAAGTGGTGACACAATTCAATGTACAATTTTTTAAAAAATCACATTCACTAGTATCATCATCAATCTCTATATGGGTCTTTATTGGTCTATCTAGCCGGGCACGGTGGCAGGCGCCTGTAATCCCAGCTACTTGGGAGGCTGAGGCAGGAGAATTGCTTGAACCTGGCAATGGCAGTGGCAGAGGCTGCAGTGAGACGAGATCGTACCATTGCACTCCAGCCTGGGCAACAGAGACTCCGCCTCAAAAAAAAAAATTGCAAGTGCATGGCAGGAAAGAACATACAGACTACCAGTCCAGTATCTATTGGGAAGTAAGCTCATGGTCAGAGAGATAAAGTTTTCCAAAATTCGAATTATTGCTTGAAGCTTGACTTATCATTGGCAACAAATACTACCTTTGTTTTCCTTGAAATAACTGATGGATTTTTGGCCAGGTTCCTCTAATTTAAATAATTAGTTGATTTTTGAGAAAACATTTGCCAAATATTCATAAACAGTTTATCAGTCATTCTCTAAAGTAAAAGTAGTGTTCTACGAAAAAATTAGCTAGTTCAATCACAACTCTATCACTAAAATGCTTTTCTAGAGAACCATCATACTTGAGTATGTAGCCAAAGTGCTTTATGCATACCTCCTATTTCATCACTCAGAATATTTAAAAATGTATACCCAAGGGTAGAGATTACAATCAATTTTTACTGTTTCATCAAGGGCATTCTTAAGTGAAAGTCACATGTCTTAAAAATTGCAAGTGGCCAGGTGCGGTGGCTCACGCCTGTAATCCCTGCACTTTGGAAGGCCAAGGCGGGTGGATCATGAGGTCAGGAGTTCAAGACCATCCTGGCCAAGACTGTGAAACCCCATCTCTACTAAAAATACAAAAATTAGCCAGGCGCGGTGGCAGGTGCCTGTAATCCCAGCTACTTGGGAGGCTGAGGCAGGAGAACTGCTTGAACTTGGGCGGCTGAGGTTGTTGCAGTGAGCTGAGATTGCACCGCTGCACTCCAGCCTGGGCGATAGAGACTCTGTCTCAAAGAAAAAAAAAAGAGCAAGTGCATGGCCGGAAAGAATATAGAGACTACTCGTCCAGTTTGTTGCCACTGACTTGATTTGTATGTAATTACGCAGCAGCAACTTTATCCATCATCGGTGTAAATGTCAACATGGTGAAAAAGGCAAAAACTATCACAGTATCATTATAAAAATAGTTGTTGTTTTGTTGCTGTCTAGACAGTCTCACTCTGTCACCCAGACTGAAGTATGGTGGTACGATCCATCACAGCTCACTGCAGCCTCAACCTCCCAGGCCCAAGGCATCCTCCCACCTTAGCTTTCCTAGTAGCTGGGACCACAGCCATGCGGCACCACGTCTGGCTAATTTTATTTTTTATATCAGGCTGGTGCAATACAAACAGGATCTTACTCTGTTGCTCAGGCTGGTCTTGAATTCCTGGGCTCAAGTGATATTCCCGCTTCAGCCTCCAAAAGTGTCGTGATCACAGGCGTGAGCCACTGTGCCCAGCTGAAAATAGTTTTGACCTCACAGGCTCACTATAAAAGGGCCATGGAGCCTAGGCTCCAACAGACCAGTTTGAGAACTACTGCTCTATATTAAGACTTTTTCAAACTATAATATGAACTTTATAATTATTCCATTAAAAGATATAAGCTTTAGCCACAGAAAAATCTTACTTTTGTGGGATCTTGTCATTCTATCAGATTTAGCAGATGCATCCTTAACTCGGTTATGATACTCCAAAAGAAATGTTCGTTCGTGCTCAAAGAAATCATCTACATCCTATAAGATCAAAAGAAAATATAAACTTTTTTCACTTATTTGCTTTAGTTTTATATGTAAATAACTATCATTATAAATATAAAAGATCATCAGTAAAATAGCATACCTATCCTCAGTCAGATGTTATTATACTAATTTCACCAACAAGACTTTAATAGACATGCATTTCTATCTATCAAGTAAGAAATCTTCTATGACTTTGCAACTGAAGGCTTAGTGCTCCCCATATAGGTCCAAGTTCACGTGCTGTACTCTTTTTTTTTTTTTGAGATGGAGTCTCACTCTGTCACCTAGGCTGGAGTGCAGTGGCGTGATCTTGGTTCACTGCAACCTCTGCCTCCCGGGTTCAAGCGATTCTCCTGCCTCAGCGTCCCAATAGCTGGGACTACAGGTGCACACCACCACACCCAGCTAATTTCTTTTCTTTTTTTTTTTTTTTTTAGGCAAAGTCTCGCTCTGTCACCAGGCTGGAGTGCAGTGGCGCGATCTTGGCTCACTGCAACCTCAGCCTCCTGGGTTCAAGTGATTCTCCTGCCTCAGCCTCCTGAGTAGCTGAGACTACAGGCAAGCGCCACCACGCCCAGCTAATTTTTTTTTTTTTGTATTTTTAGTAGAGACAGGGTTTCACCACATTGGTCATGCTGGTCTCGAACTCCTCACCTCATGATCCGCCCACCTCGGCCTCCCAAAGTGCTGGAATTACAGATGTGACCCACCACGCCCAGCCTAATTTTTGTATTTTTTTAGTAGAGACAGGGTTTCGCCATGTTGGCCAGGCTGGTCTCAAGTTTCTGACCTCAAGTGATCCGCGCGCCTCGGCCTCCCAACGTGCTAAAGTGCTGGGATTACAGGCATGAGCCACCGCACTTGGCCTCACATATTGTACTCTGAAACATGTTCTTATTTGTGATCTGCCTCTACAATTTTGCTCTTCAATAAACATATTATTGCCAGCAGAAGTGATCAATTCCTTTTAAGGAAAAAGAAAACAGTTCTGGTGGACAGAAGTGAAAATCTATTTTTCTTGGCCTGTTATACATTCTACTGGCCATTCCTGAAGGCTGCCTAGCCTTAGTCATTAAGGCCCTTTCTGACTGCACTGAGGAACCTGACCAAACTATCTGAGAGCAACAATGTGATTAACCACTGTCTTCAACCTTTTTTTTTTTTTTGAAACAAAGCTAGATATACATTAAAAATAAAAATTATTATTATTATCTTCAGACAGAGTCTTGCTTTGTAATCCAGGCTGGACTGCAGTGGTGCAAACATGGCTCACTGCAGCCTCAACCTCCCTGGCTCAAGCAATCCTCCTGATTCAGCATCCCAAGTAGCTGGGACTACAGGCGCATGCCACAACGCCAAGCTAATTTTTGTATTTTTTATAGAGACAGGGTTTTGTCATGTTGTCATGTTGCCCAGGCTGGTCTTAAACTCCTGAGTTCAAGTGACCCACCTGCCTCAGCCTCCCAAAGTGTTAGGATTACAGGAGTGAGCCACTGCACCTGGCACAAAAATAAAATTAATAGTATTTTACCCCCTTCTACATTACCAATCATTAAATGAAAAAGCATCTGCTGACAGGATATAATTGGAGACCCATATCAACAGAACACAAGCAGCAAGAGTCAGTACTGACAAAATGTGACTGAAATCTGTAATTCAGCTGGATACAGTGGCTCACACCTGTAATCCCAGCACTTTGGGGAGGCCGAGGTGGGCAGATCACTTGAGCCCAGGAGTTCAGCCTGGGCAACATGGCAAAACTCTGTCTCTACAAAAAATACAAAAATTAGCTGGGTGTGATGGCACGTACCTATAGTTCCAGCTACTTGGGAGGTTGAAGTGGGAGGATCGCCTGAGCCTGGGAGGCAGAGGTTGCAGTGAGCCGAGATTGGGGCACTGCACAGCAGCCTAAGGCAACAGAGCAAGACCCTGTCTCAAAATGCAAAATAAAATAAAAAATAAATATTAAAATAAAATTCATAATTCATAATATGTAACAGTTCCCTCTCTCTCTTTCGCCCAAGCTGGAGTGCAATGGCACAATCTTGGCTCACTGCAACCTCTGCCTCCGGGGTTCAGGCAATTCTCCTGCCTCAAAAGCCTCCCGAGTAGCTGGGATTACAGCCACGTGCCACCATGCCTGGCTAATTTTGTATTTTTAGTAGAGACAGGGTTTCTCCATGTTGGTCAGGCTGGTCTCAAACTCTTGACCTCAGGTGATCTGCCTGCCTTGGCCTCCCAAAGTGCTAGGATTATAGGCGTGAGCCACTGTGCCCGGCCACAGTTTTCTTAATTGTAAAAATATGGATAAAACTAACTGGCAGGGTTATTAAGATCACACAAGAAAATGTGGGCTACCAATCAACACATTATAAGTGTTCAAAAATGTTATTATTCTATTAATAAAATTATCAAAATTATAATCAACATAGTGGTTTACATTTAATGGCTAAGAAAAATGGTTGATATTAATGCATAAGCAGCATCAAATGGAAGTAAGCTGAGTGCTTCTTGGAAAGCAGCCACAGCACATGCACTGTCAAGTATCCACTGACCTGTCTCTGAAAAATCAGAGTATAAATCAAATAGTACTCTACACACCGATTTTATTATGGATGTGTCTATAAAAACAGGCAATGATGACAAAGCAGCATTCTTTTTTTTCCTAGTATTTGCTTGATAATATAAACATTTTTCTCATATTTTAATGGTAAGAATCTTCAGATAAATCAACTCTTATACCATTTTTAGAACATCATTAAGAAAAGTATAGGTGTTTTCGGCCGGGCGCGGTGGCTCACGCCTGTAATCCCAGCACTTTGGGAGGCCAAGGTGGGCGGATCACGAGGTCAGGAGATGGAGACCATCTTGGCTAACATGGTGAAACCCCATCTGTACTAAAAATACAAAAAAATTAGCTGGGCGTGATGGCGGGCACCTGTAGTCCCAGCTACTCCGGAGGCTGAGGCAGAATGGTGTGAACCCAGGAGGCGGAGTTTGCAGTAGCCCAAGATCGCGCCACCGCACTCCAGCCTGGGCGAAAGAGTGAGATTCTGTCTCCAAAAAAAAAAAAGAAAAAAGAAAAATATAGGTGTTTTCCACACATATTATCTCATTCAATCTTTTTAATAAGTAAGTAAGGTGGGTGGTATTATTAACCCTATTTTGAAAATGGAAAATCTGGCTGGGCGCAGTGGTTCACACCTGTAATCCCAGCACTTTGGGAGGCCGAGGCAGACAGATCACGAGGTCAAGAGTTCGAGACCAGCCTGGCCAACATGGTGAAACCCCGTTTCTACTAAAAATACAAAAATTAGCCAGGCGTGGTGGCATGTGCCTGTAATCCCAGCTACTCAGGAGGCTGAGGCAGGAGAATTGCTTGAACCTGGGAGGCGGAGGTTGCAGTGAGCCGAGATTATGCCACTGCACTCCAGCCTGGGCAACAAAGCAAGACTCTATCTCAGGAAAAAAAAAAAAGAGAGAGAGAGAAAATGGAAAAGCTGAGATCCAGAAAAAGAAAAGAAAGTAACTTTTCCCAAGGACAACAGAGACAGGTTCTCACTGTCGCCCAGGCTGGAGTGCAGTGGCAAAATCTCAGCTCACGGCAACCTCCGCCTCCTAGGTTCCTCAGCCTCCCGAGTAGCTGGGATTACAGGCACGCAGGACTACCACCCAGCTAATTTTTGCATTTTTAGTAGAGACGGGGTTTCACCATGTTGACCAGGTTGGTCTCGAAAACTCCTGACCTCAAATGATCCACCCACCTTGGCCTCCCAAAGTGCTGGGATTACAGGCATGGGCCACCTTGCCCGGCCTCAACTGAGATCTTCTAACTCCAAAGCTGAACCTAGGTCTGCCCCTAACATTTCCAAGGCTAAATGTTAAATGTAAAAACAGAAGCAGTACCTCTTGGTAAACTCTGCAGCTCTGTCTGTCCTGCATCTAGGAGGACTTCATGTGCATGTGGGTGGACATTCCACATTGCACACTGTCCCTCCCCTCCACCCACCTGCCCCATGGTAACCCCTTAACCACTCATGGAATACACGTGAATGGCATGAACTCAGGAAGTTGCCCATATAGGAACTGCAAGGCTTGGGATTTGGGTAGGGAGACAGCGGATTCTAGAAACCTGGAACCTGGTCTGATGTGAAGGGAAGGGGTGTGGGCTTCAGTTGGGCAAATTCCCTTGGCTTAAGACTTCTCATCCGTTGCAGAAGGGAACGCTCTAAAGAGAGGAATCTAGGTCAGGAGGATTCCTCCTGTTCCTAGGACTGAAGATTCTAACCGTCCAAATGTCTTTTACTCTAATTCTGCACATTTGAAATCTCAATCTATCTCCCTTTTAAAAGAAGTCTCAACTAATACCACAGTTAATCAAATAAAATCTTACCTTTACTCCTGAAACGATTACTCCATCTGCTGATTTAACCATGTTTTTAAAGAAGTCTTCAAGTTTCTCTTTTTTATTTTTTCCTCGCACACTCAACTGAAAGAAAGGTAATTTAACATTTTTAAGGTTACAAATGGAAAGCAGTGCCTCCTTTATTCTTTGATATTTAAATGGCAATCTCAAAAGGATCCTAGTTTTTAATCTTAATAAAGTGGAAATTTCATCATGCACATCAATGATTTTCAAATTTTAGGGCATAAAAAAGGAGTTTGGTAATAATATAGATATTCAGGACTCACTCTCAAAGATTCAGGTTCAGCTGGTCTACAAGAAGGCCTAGATATTTCACATTTTATGAGCATATCTGATAATTCTGTTGCAAGCAGCCCTCTCACCATATTTTGTCAAACACTGCTATATAAAATTTTAACAGACAATTAAAATTTTAGCTCGGGAGTTCCTTTAAACATGTGAAATTTATTGGGGCACAATATACCACTGTATGATTCCGCAATAACTCTGAATATATATCCTATACATTTGGAACTCTGAACTCATCCAAGTATCTCATCTGGCTTTTGGGGTCAGCAATTAATAGCACAAGGGACACAAAAAAGATGACTTTGAACAAATGAATGGTTATCCAAGGGCAAAACCAACAAGCAGCAGCTAACTCTTTGACTCCTAGCACTTGCTGTATCAGGGTGCCCCATAAAGGAGCAATTCATCTAATTCCCATGTACTTCCATTGCTTCAATGCTCACCTTTATGTAAATGACTCACAGATCTCTATCACTACCTGCTATGGTCTGAATGTATGTGTCCCCCTAAAGTTCACAGGATGAAAAAAATTTTTTTTGAGACACTGTCTCCCTCTGTCATCCAAGGCTGAAGTGCAGTGGCGTGATCTTGGCTCACTGCAACATCTGCCTTCTGGGTTCAAGTAATTTTCCTGCCTCAGCCTCCCGAGTAGCTGGGACCACAGGCATGTACCATCATGCCCAACTATTTTTAATAGAGATGGGATTTCACTGTGTTGGTCAGAGTGGTCTTGAACTCCTGACCTCAGGTGATCCAACCACCTTGGCCTCCCAAAGTGCTGGGATTACAGGCATGAGCCATCACGACTGGCCCATATCTTGAAGCTTAACCCCCAAGGTAATCATAATTAAGAAGAGGTGGGCCTGAGCCAGGCACAGTGGCTCCTGCTTGGAGTCCCAGCTACTTGGGAGGCTGAGGTGGGAGGATCATTTGACGCCAGGAGTTTGAGGCTGCAATGTGCTACAACTGCACCTGTGAATAGCCACTGCATTTCAGCCTGGGCAATACAGCAAGACTCTGTCTCTTAAAAATAGGTGGGGCTTTTGAGAAGTGATTAGGTCATGAGGGTAGAGCCTTCATAAATGGGATTAGTCCTTATAAAAGAGGCTGAGGGAATGTTACCCTCTTGCCCCTTCCTTCTGCTATGTGAGGACACAACAAAAAGGGCCACCTATGAAGCAGAGGGCCCTCACCAGACACGCAATCTGCTAGCACCCTGATCTTGGGCTTCCCATTCTCCAGAACTGTAAATGATAAATTCTGTTGTTTATAAATTACCCAGTCTAAGGTATTTTGTTATAGCAGCCAAACAGACTAGAATACTACCCATAAGCTCTTTCCTTAACTTTATATGTTATATCCAATTGCCCACATCATTTCCTTACACAGAGACTGTAACTGTAACCTCACATTAGATGAGTCTAACACAGTGCTCATTATAATCTAATCTCTGGGCTGGGCACGGTGGCTCACGCCTGTAATCCCAGCACTTTGTGAGGCCAAGGCGGGTGAATCACCTGAGGTCAGGAGTTCAAAACTAGCCTTGAAGAACATGGTGAAATCCTGTCTCTACTAAAAATACTAAAACTAGCTGGGCGTCGTGGCATCCGCCTATAATCCCAGCTACTAGGGAGACTGAGGCAAGAGAATCTTTTGAACCCAGGAGGCAGAGGTTGCCATGAGCCAATATCACGCCATTGCATTCCAGCCTGGACAACAAGAGCGAAACTCTGTCTAAAAAAAAAAAAAAAAAATTAGCCGGGCATGGTGAAATGTGCCTGTAATCCCAGCTACTCGGGAGGCTGAGGCTGGAGAATCGCTTGCACCTGGGAGGCAGAGGTTGCACTGAGCGGAGATCACACCACTGTACTCCAGCCCGGGCAACAGAGCAAGACTCTGTCTCAAAAAAAAAAAAAAAAAATCTGATCTCCAAAATTTCTGTCTTCCCTCTTTTGATCTGTGGCCCCTTCATCCAAACAGTCTTTCTGACTCCGACATGTTCCCTAAAATTCCATAGTTCTCATTAAAATCTTGAAATTTTTATAACTTCTTCCTTTCTTCATAGCTCAAATTCTAACAGCAAATGACTTAAAACTGTCCCTTTCCACTCCTACTCTCCAGTAAAAGTCTTCATCATCTCTTTCCTAGACTGAAGTATTAGTTAATAATTCTTATCTTATTCCAATCCATTCTGTTGCCTGGGACAGCTTTCTAAAATCAAATTTTGAGCATCTCATTCTTACTCAAAAATTTTAGTTTCTTTTCTCTTTTTTCTCTTTTGAGACAGAATATCACTCTGTCACCCATGCTGTGGCACAATCTCAGCTCACTGCAGCCTCCGCCTCCCACATTCAAGTGATTCTCATGTCTCA
Source organism: Homo sapiens (assembly GCF_000001405.40). Classification (NCBI taxonomy): domain Eukaryota; kingdom Metazoa; phylum Chordata; class Mammalia; order Primates; family Hominidae; genus Homo; species Homo sapiens. The sequence goes on from NC_000014.9 coordinate 34,600,243, forward strand.
GCCTCCCAAGTAGCTGGGATTACAGGCAAGCGCCACCACGTCCAGCTTATGTTTGCGTTTTTAGTAGAGACAGGGGTTTCACCATGTTGCCCAGGCTGGTCTTGAACTACTGGCCTCAAGTGAATACCTTGCCTTGGCCTCCCAAGTGTTGGGATTACAGGAATGAGCCACCGCACCCGGCATTTTTCTTTCTTCTTCTTCTTTTTTTTTTTTTTAAAAAGAGACAGGTCTCACTATGTTGCCCAGGCTGGTCTCGAACTCCTTGGCTCAAGCAATCCTCCTGCCTCAGGCTCCCAAAGTACTGGGATTAAAGGTGTGACTTACTACAACTGGCCCAAATTCTTTGATCTTGAGGTTAACCTGTACATGAGCACTATGCTATATTTATTTTCTGCAAAAATTATGAATTAATCTTGTCATCCAAACACAGGTTCCAAGATTTGTATCAGTCATTCAGTAAAAAATTTTTTGCCAGCACTATGAACGAAGAAATCTTTAAAGTGCAATCACCTCGGCCAGGCATGGTGGCTCACACCTGTAATCCCAGCACCTTGGGAGGCCGACGCAGGCAGATCACCTGAGGTCAGGAGTTCGAGACCAGCCTGACCAATATGGTGAAACCCTGTCTCTATTAAAATATAAGAATTAGCCAGGTATGGTGGCTACTCGGGAGGTGGAGGCAGAGGAGTCGCTTGAACCTGGGAAGCAGAGGTTGTACTGAGTCGATACAGTGCCATTGCACTCCAGCCTGGGCGACAGAGACTCTGCCTCAAAAAAAAAAAAAGAGAGTTTTTAGGCAGGGAAGGAAAAAATAAGGAGTGATCAGCACCAATGGTCAGTTAAACAGATCCAGAGTCAATAATTTACCCGAATCTGGAATTCTTTAGCTCAATCACCTCCTTGGAATTCTCCACAAGGCTTCGGAAGACTCCAAACTCAAATTTAAGAAACATTAGTCAATGTGATAACCCTATTTCTTTTTTTTTTTTTTTTTTTTTTTTGAGACGGAGTCTCGCTTTGTCACCCAGGCTGGAATGCAGTGGCGCAACCTTGGCTCACTGCAACCTCCGCCTCCCGGGGTCAAGCGATTCTCTTGCCTCAGTCTCCCGAGTAGCTGGGACTACAGGCATGCGCCACCAAGCCCAGCTAATTTTTGTATTTTAAGTAGAGACGGGGTTTCACCATATTGGCCAGGCTGGTCTCAAACTCCTGACCTCGTGATCCGCCCACCTCGGCCTCCCAAAGTGCTGGATTATAGGCTGAGCCACCGTGCCTGGCTCCTACTTCTTAAGAGGTTTGCAATTAAGGATTACAAAAAAAATCAGTGTCCCTTGTAGTAACATGATTTATTTTTTATTTTTATTTTTTGAGATGGGAATTTCAGTCTTGTCCCCCAGGCTGGAGTGCAATGGCACCATCTTGGCTCTCTGCAACCTCCGCCTCCCAGGTTCAAGTGATTCTCCTGTCTTAGCCTCCCGAGTAGCTGGGATTACAGGCGCCCACCACCATGCCCAGATAATTTTTGTATTTTTAGTACAGATGGGGTTTCACCATGTTGGCCAGGCTCGTCTCGAACTCCTGACCTCAGGTGATCTGCCCGGCTTGGCCTCCCAAAGTGCTGGGATTACAGGTTACAGGCATGAGCCACCATGCCTGGCTAGTAACATGCTTAACTATCATTCTGTCAATTAATCTACTCAAGTTCTACTGAAATAACTGCATTACTACTGAAAAAGTGTCACTTAAACTACCTTGAAAAATACAAACAGGCCAGGTGCGGCTCACGCCTCTAATCCCAGCACTTTGGGAGGCTGAGGCAGGTGGATCACCTGAGGTCAGGAGTTCGAGACCAGCCTGGCCAACATGGTGAAACTCCATCTCTACTAAAAATACAAAAATTAGGCCGGGCGCAGTGGCTCATGCATGTAATCCCAGCACTTTGGGAGGCTAAGGTGGGAGGATCACCTGAGGCTGGGAGTTTGAGACCAGCCTGACCAACATGGAGAAACCCCGTCTCTACTAAAAATACAAAAATTATCTTGGCATGGTGGCGCATTCCTGTAATCCCAGCTACTTGAGAGTCTGAGGCAGAAGAATTGCTTGAACCAAGGAGGCAGAGGTTGTGGGTGAGCTGAGATCGCACCGTTGCACTCCAGCTTGGGAAACAAGAGCGAAACTGTCTTAAAAAAAAAAAAAAAATTAGCTGGGCATGGCGGCATGCGCCTGTAGTCCCAGCTACTTGGGAGGCTGAGGCACGAGAATCACTTGAACTTGGGAGGAGGAGGTCACAGTGAGCCAAGATTGCGCCACGGCACTTCAGCCTGGACGACAGAGCAAGACTCTGTCTCAAAAAAAAAAAAAAAAAGAAAAATACAAACATTCTAAAAAAAGACCTTGAGCCTTTTCTAACTACTCTTGCCTTTTCCAATGACTCTTTAAAAAGAGAACTTGGGGCCGGGCACGGTGGCTTATGCCTGTAATCCCAGCACTTTGGGAGGCTGAGGTGGGTGGATCACGAGGTCAGGAGATCGAGACCATCCTGGCTAACACAGTGAAACCCCGTCTCTACTAAAAATACAAAAAATTAGCAGGGCATAGTGGCGGGCGCCTGTAGTCCCAGCTACTCGGGAGGCTGAGGCAGGAGAATGGCATGAACCCGGGAGGCGGAGCTTGCAGTGAGCTGAGATGACGCCACTGCACTCCAGCCTGGCTGACAGAGCGAGACTCCGTCTCAAAAAAAAAAAAAAAACTTGGGCTGGGCGCTATGGCTCACGCCTGTAATCCTAGCACTTTGGGAGGCCGAGGTGGGTGGATCATGAGGTCAGGAGATCGAGACCATTCTGGCTAACACGGTGAAACACCATCTTTACTTCAAAATAGAAAAAATTAGCTGGGCGTGGTGGCAGGCGCCTGTAGTCCCAGCTACTAGGGAGGCTGAGGCAGGAGAATGGCATGAACCCGGGAGGCGGAGCTTGCAGTGAGCCAAGATCATGCCACTATGCCACTGTACTCCAGCCTGGAAGACAGAGCGAGATTCCGTCTCAAAAAAAAAAAGAAGAAGAAGAAGAAAAAGAAAACTTGACCACCAATCAATGTGATACTCACATCTTGATTATATTCCAAGAAGACATGGAAATTTAAATCTCTTCTCAAAATAGGATGTGCTGCCACACGACACAGGAACACTTCATGCATCGCAACTGTCTTCTTGAATATTGCCAAATATTCACTAGAAACAATATACAAAATTAAAGGTAAAAAACTCCATCAACTAAAAAGTCACCTGCAACAATTTTTTTCAGAAAATACTCTTTGGATTATTCCGAATGCAAATCAGAGATACAAAGATATAATTCATGTAAACAAGGTTTTTAGTTGAACTGTTAATGAAATACATAAAACCCAGCTTTGAAAAAGGTTTCATGCCAGTTAATAATATTTATATCTAAATGTTAATATTTTTAAGTTTTACAAATTTTTCTTACTTATGCGAGTTGATGTTAAAGTTAACTATAGGGCTGCTTGTTCTCAGCTCTACAGGAAGTGTGCTACAAATTATTTGATAGAATCTTAATGATTCAATATCCAATGACTGCTTTTAAACAACTTAGTACAAAAAAAATTAAAACCCAAACCTCGGTGAGCATATTTTCAACGTTAATAATTATTTTCATCTAATTACCCAAACACACAAGAAACACACTATGAAGAAACTAATTTTTTTTGCCATTACACCAAAGAAATGTGTTTAAAATATTTTAATACCAGCAGTGAATCCCAGAGACCACAAAGTAATACATGTCAGTTTGGGGGAAAAAAAAAAAAAAACATTCAAGGAAAAGGCTTGATATTCTTGCTTCAACTACGTGCAAGAAGGATAAGTTTTACATACCAGCAAACCAGCAGGACCAATGATGGGAGAAGTTTGATCTCTGTGAGGGTAGTCATTCAGTGAAGACAAAAAAGAAGGATGCAGAGGATGGAGGTAGCAGTAGAATAAACCCAAGGTTCTCTGTTATCCAACCCCTAACCAGACCACAAAAGAATCATGATCAGGGCCACTGGAAAATCACAGATTCTTCGATATTAATGTGCTCTGCTCATTTCCAATTTTCAGTCTTATAAACTTTGAATATATATCTGTCTGCTATCAGACCGCTGCTTGCAACTAAGACCTGCTTTGCTGATTTATCTTTTCAAGAGTTTAGCATCCTGAAGAGAAGTATAGTAGCAGTGTGAATATATAACTAAAAACTAAAACTAGTGGAAGAAGAGAAGAGGAAATGCATGAAGGGGAGAAATGACCAGAAAAAGTGACAGAGGTGATAACTAAGGAAAATTATTTCCTTGTACAACTCTCAAAATAGAGAAACATATCCAGCAAATCCAAAATTACTCCAAATGTTTAACAAAAGGGGAAAGATTCTGTGTTTTCAGCAAATACACTAAAAACGAAATATGGGTTGAGTATCCCTACCCGAAAATCTGAAATCCAAAGTACTCCAAAATCTGAAATTTTTTAAATAAAGACATGATGCTCAAAGGAAATATTCATCAGAACATTTCAGATTTCAGATTAGGGATGCTCAACCAGTAAGTATAATGCAAATACTCCAAAAAAAAAAAATTAAAATCCAAAATGCACTCCCAGGGATTCTGCATAAGTGATACTCAACCTGTACATAATTTCCCTTTCTTCTTTTCTCTGCCTGTGGCTTCTGCCCAAAGGGAAAAGAATACAGAAGCAAAGTAACTAAAGAATAGTTAAAAACTGTTTTTCATTAAATGACTATTAGTTTCATATATACTAGAAATGTATTAGTTTCTTGAAAAAACTGTGATAATTCACACTACATACATACGCAGTTTTTAAGAAAACAGAATATATGCAGTTGCTCAGTACATTCTCTTTTGAGAAGTATGGCAATATGCCCACATTGAAAAAAGAGAACTAGGTTGGTAGTGACTAAGGCTTTGTAAATAGAAAAAAAAAAACAATGACTATTCTACTTTAAAAAGTCATGTTCTCTATTTCTTTTTCCCCTTAAGTCCAAAGACAGACTGGACCTTTTACCTTTTTAAAAGAAGCTTTTGGATCTTCCATTTTCAACTTTCAGGGTCTATTTCAAATATGAATTTAAATAACTTTACAGTGGAAACAATTATTCTATAATTTTCCTGTAGGCTCTGATCATGATCATTAATACTGGTTGTATGACTTAAACCTGCATCTTCCAGAAAGGGTTTAATGATGGGATATCAGAAAACACCAAAAAAGGCATTAAAGCAAGCACAATTAACAAAGGCAACAACAACCAAAAAAAAAAAACAAAAAAATAAAAAAATCACTTACGCTTCCAGTTCCTGTTTCATCTTTGTGAATTCTTCCTTCGTCATTGACCCTTCTCCTTCACCAAGCTTCTGTAGTTTTTCCCTTGAAGCATCAAAATCAGGTCTTGGTGGTGCTGGTGGAATCTGTAACAGGACCAAATGACTAATTTTAAGGAAATTTTCATTTCTTGAAGCATTGTACTACTGCCACCATAGAAGACTGTGTCTGGGAAAGCTAAGGGGATCCAGAATGAGCTGAACACCAGGAACACCCAAATTCAGATTGGAGAACTTGACTAGTTGTAGAAATTAAGTTTTGGCCAGGCGCAATGGCTCACGCCTGTAATCCCAGCACTTTGGGAGGCTGAGGTGGGCGGATCACCTGAGGTCAGGAGTTCAAGACCAGCCTGGCCAACATGATAAAATCCCGTCTCTACCAAAAATACAAAAATTAGCTGGCCCTGGTGGCAGGCACCTGTAATCCCAGCGACTCGGGAGGCTGAGGCATGAGAATCGCTTGAACCTGGGAGTCGGAGGTTGCAGTGAGCCAAAATCGCACCGCTGCACTCCAGCCTGGGTGATAGAGGAAGACCCTGTCTCCAAAAAAAAAAAGTTATCTAATCTTTTTTTTTTTTTTTTTGGAGACGGTGTCTTGCTCTGTTTCCCAGGCTGGAGTAGCTGGGATTATAAGCGCACGACACCACGCCCAACTAATTTTTGTATTTTTGGTAGAGACGGGGTTTCGCCATGTTGGCCAGGCTGGTCTTGAACTCCTGGCCTCAGGTGATCCACCCACTTCAGGCTCCTAAAGTGCTGGGATTACAGGCATGAGCCACTGCACCTGGGCTAGTTAACCTCTTAAAGACACTTCCAACTCTTCTTTTTTTTTTTTTGGGGGGATGGAGTTTTGCTCTTGTTGCCCAACCTGGACTGCAATGGCGTAATCTCAGCTCACCACAACCTCTGCCTCCTGGGTTCAAGTGATTCTCCTGCCTCCGCCTCCCGAGTAGCTGGGATTACAGGCATGTGCCACCATGCCTGGCTAATTTTGTATTTTTAGTAGAGATGCGGTTTCTCCATGTTGGTCAGGTTGGTCTCAAACTCCTGACCTCAGATGATCCACCCGCCTCGGCCTCCCAGCCACAGGCGTCAGCCACCGTGGCCGGCCGAGACTTCCAACTCTTAAGTATCTGTCCAACTATGGTTTTTTCTTTTTCTTTTTTGAGATGGAGGCTCGCTCTGTCACACAGGCTGGAGTGCAGTGGTGGGACCTTGACTCACTGCAACCTCTGCCTCCCAGGTTCAAGCAATTCTGCCTCAGCCTTCCAAGTATCTGGGATTACAGGCACCAGCCACAACGCCCAGCTAATTTTTAAAAATATTTTTAGTAGAGACGAGGTTTTACCATCTTGGCCAGGCTGGTCTTGAACTCCTGACCTCATGATCCACCCGCCTCGGCCTCCCAAAGTGCTGGGATTACAGGCATGAGCTACCGTGCCCAGCCCCAACCATGGTTTTAAAACCAGTATGGTTTGTCACATCTCCTTAATCCCTAGGACAAGCCCATTTCAATTCTAACAAATGGTAAGAAATTAAGTTTAAATGAGGGAATGTAACATACCCCACATCCCCTAAGAAAACACTTCAGGATAAAAGGTGGTAACGAAACATGTTTCATAACTGACAATTTAAAAAAACATATCAGGCTGAGTGCGGCGTTTCATAACTGACAATTTAAAAAAACATATCAGGCTGAGTGTGGCAGCTCATGCCTGTAATCCCAGAACTTTGGGAGGCCGAGGCAGGGGGAATCACCTGAGGTCAGGAGTTCGAGACCAGCCTGGCCAACATGGCGAAATCCCGTCTCTACTTAAAAAACAAAAAAAATTAGCCGGGCATGGTGGTGGGTGCCTGTAATCCCAGCGACTCAAGTGACTGAGGCAGGGGAATCGCCTGAATCCAGGAGGCAGAGGTTACAGTGAACAAAGATCAGGCCATTGCATTCCAGCCTGAGCAACACAAGTGAGACTCTGTCTCTAAAAAACATAACAGGGCCGGGCACGGTGGCTCACGCCTGTAATCTCAGCACTTTGGGAGGCCAAGGTGGGTGAATCATCTGAGGTTAAGAGTTCAAGACCAGCCTGGCCAACATGGTGAAACCCTGTCTCTACTAAAAATGCAAAAATTAGCTGGGTGTGTTGGTGCATTATTGTAATCCCAGCTACTTGGGAGGCTGAGGCAGGAGAACTGCTTGAACCCAGGAGGCAGAGGTTGCAGTGAGCCGAGACTGCGTCACTACACTCCAGCCTGGGCAACAGAGTGAGACTCCATCTCAAAAACAAAACAAAACAAAACAAAAAAACAGTTCACAAAAAATGCTAAACAAGATTCCAAAACATAACGAAGTACCTAAAACCTCCTAGAAAATGGAATTAAAATGGAGTCTCAATACTTACGATATAACCTGCATAGTCTTCATTTTCAACAAAGGAATCATGAAGCCAGATAAATTCCTCATGTTGCCGAACAACTGAAAACTCGTTTTGTTTAAAATTTGGCAATGAACTCTGTAAAGATAGAGATTTTCTTGAATAAAAATCAAATTTACACTAAAAAGTTTTTTGAAACTGGGTCTTGCTCTGCCACCAGGCTGGAGTGCAGTCGAACAATCTCGGCTCACTGCAGCCTCAACCTCCCAGGCTCAAGCAATCCTCCCACCTCAGCCTCCGAGTAGCTGGGACTACACCACACCTGGCTAATTTTATTTTTTGTAAAGATGAGGTCTCACTAAGATGCCCAGGCTGGTCTTGAACTCTTGGACTCAAGCGATCATCCTGCCTCGGCCTCCCAAAGTGTTGGGATTACAGGTATGAGCCACTGTGTCTGGCCTTAAAAAGTTTTTAATAAATATTTTCTATCATTTAAAAAAATTCATCTTATTTCAAGACCATTAGTGTCCTTTAAGTCTACCATAAAACTCTGAGCTATATGGACAAGATTATCTTCGGATTGTTGGGAAAGTAAGTTGACAGGCTTATTATATTGTACTGCTACAGTTACTTAAAAGTTATGTCATTAATATATATCAAACTCAACTATTCAAACAAAGGAAAGAAATCTGCAATCTGAAAATGTGCTCAAGAACTGAAATCTAATAAAAATAATAATTTGTGGCTGGGCACGGTGGCTCACGCCTGTAATCCTAGCACTTTGGAAGGCCGAGGTGGGTTGGATCACTTGAGGTCAGGAGTTCGAGACCACCCTGATCAATAAGGTGAAACCCATCTCTACTAAAAATACAAAAATTAGCCGGGCGTGGTGGCTTGTGCCTGTAGTCCCAGCTACTTAGGAGGCTGAGACAGGAGAACTGCTTGAACCCAGGAGGCAGAGGTTGCAGTGAGTGAGCCAGGATCATGCCACTGCACTCCAGCCTGGATGACAGAGACTCCGTCTCAAAAAAAATAGTAATAATAATTATTTGTAAGACAGTAATTTGACTAACAGAAAGAACAATGAAATTGAAAGTAACAAGAATGGTAAAAGATACTAATAAAAATTTGGAAAAAAATTAAATTTGCCTTCTGTCTAGGTTCTGATTCTCAGAATATTAATCTAAAAAAAGTACATTTTGGCTGGGCGCGGTGGCTCACGCCTGTAATCCCAGCACTTTGGGCGGATAACAAGGTTGGAGATCGAGACCATCCTGGCTTACACAGTGAAACCCCGTCTCTACTAAAAAAAGAAAAAAATACAAAAAATTAGCCGGACATGGTGGTGGACGCCTGTAGTCCCAGCTACTCTGGAGGCTGAGGCAGGAGAATGGCGTGAACCCAGGAGGAGGAGCTTGCAGTGAGCCGAGATCGTGCCACTGCACTCCAGCCTGGGCGACAGAGCAAGACTCCGTCTCAAAAAAAAAAAAAAAAAAAAAAAAGTACATTTTCCTACATCTATTTTTGTTAAAATAGTTTCTTTCCAATTATGTTTAAAACCCAAGTCTGGTCAACATATCACATATGTAGTATAATAAATGGCTAAAATAATAGAAAGTACAAAATCACATTTACCTTTGTGTGAACAGTGAATTTTACTTTATCCCGCTCACTAAGAGCATCAGAAATGTCCACCTGCAGAGCAGCATCACTTTGAAGATCTACATTTATTGCTTTAAGCTAGAAAAAGAAAACCAGTATCTTCATGAAAATCATGTTTTATATAATTTCATTTTTTCTCTTAAGACAATGCAAAAACAAAACAAAAATAACAAAAGATTATTAAGTCTAAAGAGGTACTCATGTCCATTTAACATACATACTATATACATTTTGAAGCAGCTGCTTTGGGCAACGCTATTACCTTAATTCTATAGTATTCAATTCTAGAATTTTCATTTTATAGTATTCAACTATATTCTGCTTTGTGTAAGTCACTGAGTTAATCATGATTTATTATAGTTTAGTTACAGTTTATTTCAAAAAGAAAACTCTTTTCAGCCAGATGTGATGGCTCATGTCTATAATCCCAGCACTTTAGGAGGCTGAAGCGGGAGGACTGACTGAGCCCAGGAATTCAAGACCACCCTGGGAAACATAACAAGACCCTGTCTCTACAGAAATTGAAAAAAAAAAAAGAAAAGAAAATAGCCAGATATGGTGGTGCACACCTGTGGTCTCAGTACACAGGAGGCTGAGGCAGAAGGCTTGCTTGAGCCTAGGTCAAGGCTACAGTAAGCAGTAATCGTGCCACTGAACTCCAGCCTGGATGACAGAGCAAAACCGTCTCAAAAAAAAAAAAAAAAAAAAACTTCTTCCAAAAAAAAAAACAAAACCCTATTTTCCAAGAAAGTGGTCCATCTAAGTTCAAGTGCTCTAAAATTAAGGAATGTGTCTGCCTTGAAGCACAATAATAAGAAGACTATCAAGCAACAATTTTAACTCCTGCCTCTCTATATTCAGGAATATACAATGAAACTATCAAATATAATTAAACATATTAATGTAAAGTGCTAAGAAAAATACTAACATACAGTAAGTACTCAATAAGTAACTCCATAAACTACATTTGAAGAAATAAATATATTTCCTATTTAGTGCTTCTACTTTCTCATCTATAAGAAGACTCTTCTACTTATTAATTTTTAAACTTCATCTGTTTTTCTTACTCTTTAAACAATAAATAACTTGTTTGGGTAATTTTGAGACTTAGGAAAGAGTCAAAACACTCAAAGTCTTAGCCAGCTGCAAAGACATGAAATAGACTGTTTCAAAGACAGTACTCTAGTTGTAAAACCTAGGACTTAGAGAATCTCACCTGGTCATTAGTATCTCAAATTTTAATTATATTGTAAATGAACAAAATGCTGAATGCAAATACAAAATTGTTTACTCAATGATTTCAAATATATATACGTGTGTGTGTGTGTATATATATATATAATTCTATTTTTTGTTTTTGAGACAGGGTCTCAAAACCAGGTTGGAGTGCAGTGCTCTGTTCACTACAACCTCTGCCTCCCAGGTTCAAGTGATTCTCCCACCTCAGCCTCCTGAGTAGCTGGGATTATAGTCGTGCGCCCCCACATCCAGCTATTTTTGTAGTTTTTGGTAGAGAAGGGGTTTTGCCATGTTGGCCAGGCTGGTCTTGAACTCCTGACCTCAAGTGATCCGCCCACCTTGGCATTCGAATTGCTTGAGCTCAGGAATCTGAGACTAGCCTGGCCAACACGGCAAAACCCCATCTCTACAAAAAATACAAAAATTAGCCGGGCACATGTTGTACACCTGTAGTCCCAGCTACTTGGGAGGCTGAGGTGTGGGGAATGGCTTGAGCCCAAGAGGTGGAGGTTGCAGTGAGCTGAAATCATGCCACTTCACTCCAGCCTGGGCAATAGAGCCAAACCCTGTCTCAAAAAGAAAAAAAAAAAGGGGGGGAGGCCGGGTGTGGTGGCTCACACCTATAATCCCAGCACTTTGGCAGGCCGAGGCAGGTGGATCATGAGGTCAAGAGATTGAGACCATACTGGTCAACATGGTGAAACCCCATCTCTACTAAAAATACCAAAATTAGCTGGGCATAGTGGCGCACACCTGTAGTCCCAGCTACTTGGGAGGCGGAGGTTGCGCTGAGCAGAGATTGTGCCACTACACTCCAGCCTGACAAAACAGTAAGACACTGTCTCAAAAAAAAAAAAAAAAAAAGAGAAATCTGTTCCCTTTTTTCTTTTTTGGAGACTGAGTCTCGCTCTGTCACCCAGACTGGAGTGCAGTGGCACAATCTCGGCTCACTGCAAGCTCCGCCTCCCGGGTTCACGCCATTCTCCTGCCTCAGCCTCCCAAGTAGCTGGGACTACAGGCACCCACCACCACGCCTGGCTCATTTTTTGTATTTTTTTAGTAGAGAGGAGTTTCACCGTGTTAGCCAGGATGGTCTCGATCTCCTGACCTCGTGATACGCCCGCCTCGGCCTCCCAAAGTGCTGGGATTACAGGCGTGAGCCACCGTGTCCAGCCTCCTTTTTTTCTTTAATCACATTCAGGCTTTTTGTTTTTTTAAATAGAGACAGGGTCTCGCTATGTCACCCAGGCTGGTCTTGAACTCCCGAGCTCAGGCAATCCTTTCACCTTGGCCTCCCAAAGTGCTGGGATTACAGACGTGAGCCACTGAGCCAGGCCAGGCCACTTTTAAGATGTTTATTGTGGTAGGCTGAACAATGGCTCCCCAGGAGGTATCTACATCCAAATTCCTAGGAGCTGTAAATGTTACCTTATATGTCAATAAATGACTTTGCAGATGTCATTCAATTATGGATTTTGAGATGGGGATTTTGAGATTATCCTGGATTATCCAGGTGGGCCTTAAAGGCAATCACATCATCTTTTTTTGAGATGGAGTCTCACTTTGTCCCCTGAGGTTGGAGTGCAGTGGCCCCATCTTGGCTCACTACAACCTCCGCCTCCCATGTTCAAGTGATTCTCCTGCCTCAACCTCCCGAGTAGCTAGGACTACAGGCATGCACAACCAGGCCCAGCTAATTTTTGTATTTTTAGTAGAGATGGGCTTTTGCCACGTTAGCCAGTCTGGTCTTCAACTCCTGACCTCAGGTGATCCACCTGCCTCAGCCTCCCAAAGTGTTGGGATTATAGGCGTGAGCCACCACGCCGAGCCAGGACATTATCCTTATATATAAAAGGCAGAGGCCAGGCGCCACTGGTGGCTCACGCCTGTAATCCCAGCACTTTGGGAGGCCGAAGTGAGTGGATCACCTGAGGTCAGGAGTTCGAGACCAGCCTGACCAATGTGGAGAAGCCCTGTCTCTACTAAAAACATAAAATTAGCTGGGTGCGGTGGTGCATGCCTATAATCCCAGCTACTTGGGAGGCTGAGGCAGGAGAATGGTGTGAACCTGGGAGGTGGAGCTGGCAGTGAGCCGAGATCACGCCACTGCACTCCAGTGACAGAGTGAGACTCTATCCAAAAAAAAAAAAAAAAAACTGACACAGGAAAAAAACACTCCAATAACTAATGAGAAGGTCATGTGACCATGGAGGCAGATTAGAGTAATGCAGCCACAAACCAAACCAAGGACTGCTGCTGCTGGTAGCCACTGAAAGCTGGAGGAGGCAGGGAATTCTTCCCTAGAGCCTCCGGAGGGAGAGCTGGCCCTGCCAGGTTGACATCCTGACTTCTCTGACTTCAGCTCAGTGATACTGATTTCTGACTTCTGGCCTTCAGAACTGTGAGAGAATAAATTTATGTAGTTTTAAGCCATCAAGTTTGTGGTAACTTGTTACAGCAGCCACAGGAAACTAGTTCATTTATCATACAGGTTTTGGAATAATGACTAGCATTTCTCCACTTCTGAGGTTTTCATTGCTTAGTCTAGCATTTCCAAAACACACCTAATAAGAATCAACCTGGTTGCTTGTTAAAAATACAGAATCTGGCTGGGCATGGTGGTTTACGCCTGTAATCCCAGCACTTTGGGAGGCTGAGGCGGGTGAATCACGAGGTCAGGAGATCGAGATCATCCTGGCTAACACAGTGAAACCCCGTCTCTACTAAAAATACAAAAAAATTAGCCGGGCGTGGTGGCGGGTGACTGAAGTCCCAGCTACTCCGGAGGCTGAGGCAGGAGAATGGCGTGAACCCAGGAGGCAGAGCTTGCAGTGAGCCAAGATAGCGCCACTGCACTCCAGCCTGGGCAAGAGCGAGACTCCATCTCAAAAAAACAAAAACAAAAACAAAAAACAGAATCTGGGGCCGCGTGTGGTGGCTCACGCCTGTAATACCAGCACTCTGGGAGCCCGAGGTGGGTGGATCACGAGGTCAGGAGTTCAAGACCAATGTGGCCAAGATGGTGAAACCCCGTCTCTTACTAAAAATACAAAAATTAGCTGGGCCTGGTGGCAGGTGCCTGTAATCCCAGCTACTCGGGAGGCTGAGGCAGCAAACTGCTTGAACCTGGGAGGCGGAAGTTGCAGTGAGGTGAGATGGTGCCACTGCACTCCAGCCTGGAAGACAGAGCGAGACTCCATCTCAACACAAAAACAAAAACAAAAACAAAAAAACAGAATCTGGCTGGGTGTAGCAGCTCACACCTATAATATTAACACTTTGGGAGGCTGAGGCGATTGGAACACTTGAGCTCAGGAGTTCAAGACCAATCTAGGCAACATGGCAAAACCCCATCTCTAAAAAAAAACCGAAAACAATAACCAAAACAAAAATTAGCCCAGCCTGGTGGGACACACCTGTAGTCCCAGCTAGCTGAGACAGGAGGATTGCTTGAACTCAGGAGGTCGAGGCTGCAGTGAGCCAAGAAACTGCCAATGCACTCCAGCCTGGGTGACAAAGTGAGACCCTGTCTCAAAAAAAAAAAACCAAAAAACTCCAAAACCAGAAACAGAATCCCAGGCCTATCAAAACAGGAACGTCAGGCAAAGGCCCTTAAAATCTGTAACCGAATACACCAGCAGACATTTTCAGGATTTTCCTTGCCTTTATATTCTGTCAAAATTTCCTCTCAGCTGTTAATATGTTGTTCTTAATATTTATATGAAATATTTTGGCCAGCCAAGGTGGCTCACGCGTGGAATCCCTGCACCTTGGGAGGCCAAGGCAGGAGGATCGCTTGAGCCCAGGAGTTTGAGACCAGCCTGGGCAACATAGCAAGACCTGTCTCTACAAAATAAAAAAATTAGCTGGGCATGGTGGCCCACATTTGTAGTCTCTGCTACTCAGGAAGCTGAGGCAGGAAGATCAAGAGTTTGAGGTTGCAGTGAGCTATGATGGCACCACTGCACTCCAGTCTCGTAAGACCCTATTTCAAAAATTTTTCTTCCAGATTTCCTATCTCTATGTACACTTTTGCTTTCAGATTTTTTTTTTTAACTACTGATCTATCAGTTTGGAAGCATACCTTTCAGAGATATCTACATTTGAGAAGATGTTATTTATTCTTCCAATTCAAGATTATTCCAAGTTATTAAAACAGTTCTTTCTCTTCCATTTCCTTATCCTTCTATACTAAATATACTGTTTCCCTTTATTGTTTAGTTTTTTTTTTGATAGCACAACACTTGGTTTCTTAAATGGTAACTTTTATCTATATAAAATATCCCTGTACTATCCACTTAACGGTTTTGGTCTTGAATTCTACTTATTTTGGCATAATTTACATACAATAAAATACAGATTTTCAGTATAAAGAGCTTTAACAAATATATAGGCCACCTACCATACTCACAGGCTTATGTGATCCTCCTGCCTCAGCCTCCTAAGCAATTGGGACCACAGGTGTACACCACCACATCTGGCTAATTATTATTATTTTTTAAGAGATAGGGTCTCCCTATGTTGCTCAGGCTGTTCTCGACCTCCTGGGCTTAAGTGATTCTCCCACCTCGGCCTCCCAAAGTGCTGGGATTATAGGCGTAAGCCACCGCACCTGGCTAAATTCTCTCTTGTATACCTTATTAAAGCATGTTATCCATTTATATATTGCCTTAAGAGCTATTAACTCAATCTACCATTTGTCTTCTCCTTTTCTTTTTTTTTCCCCTTGAGACAGAGTCTCGCTGTGTTGCCCAGGCTGGAGTGCAGCGGTGCAATCATTGCTCACTCTACTGTCAAACTCCTGGCTTAAGCAATCCCCTCCGTCCTCGGCCTCCCAAAGTGTTAGGATTACAGGCGTGAGCCTGTAATAGGACTTATGACTGGCCTAAGTCCTATTTCTAATAAACAAGATGTATAATGGAAAAGCCAGTCCCCAAAATAAAATCACCCCCCACCATCAGTATAAAATATCACTGAAAAGTTAACATGCTATCATGGTTCATCAATTCTAGATGCATATTTTTTATAACATATCTGAAATAGGAATGTCCTTTTTTATTTTTATTTTTTTGAGGCAGAGTCCCGCCCTGTCACCAGGCTGGAGTGCAGTGGCGTGATCTTGGCTCACTGCAATCTCCACCTCCAGGGTTCAAGTGATTCTCTTGCCTCAGCCTCCTGAGTAGCTGGGATTACAGGCATGTGCCACCACACCCAGCTAATTTTTGTATTTTTAGTAGAGAGGGGGTTTCACAATGTTGGCCAGGATGGTCTTGATCCCCTGACCTCATGATCCACCTGCTTCAGCCTCCCAAAGTGCTGGGATTACAGGTGTGAGCCACCATGCCCAGCCAGGAATGTCTTTCAATTGATGACAAATTACAATTTAACTAGCAACATTTTTTTTTCCTTAGTGGTACATAAAAGTCTTTCAATCAACTGCACCTTAAATCTGATAAAATATATTGTAGATTTTTTAATTTTAAAGAGACAGAGTCTTGCACTGCTACCCAGGTTGGAATGCGGTGGCACAATCATAGCTCATTTTAACCTTGAACTCCTGGGATCAAGCGATCATTCCATCTCAGCCTTCCAGGTAGCTGGGACTACAGGCACACATCACCATGCCCAGCTAATTTTTGAGATGGGATCTCACCATGTTGCCCAGGCTGGTCTTGAGCTCGTGGGTTCAAGTGATCCACCTCCTGACCCCGTTTGGCTTCCCGAACCACTGGTATTACAGGTGTGAGATTTAGTGTTCATTACATAAAATGTACACAAATTGTCCAGGCAGATTTTCTTCTCAGTTTAGCAAAAAGTCAATCATTTTAGAGGGTTTTATTAAGGACCGGAGTCAAGCAAACAACTTGTGTTTCATAAAAATTTAATCGGCTGGGTGTGGTGGCTCATGCCTGGCATCCCAGCACTTTGGGAGGCCGAAGAGGGAGGATCACAAAGTCAGGAATTTGAGACCAGCCTGGCCAACATGGTGAAACCTTGTTTCTACTAAAAATATAAAAAAGAAAAAAAAAATTAGCTGGGCGTGGTGTGGGCGCCTGTAATCCCAGCTACTCAGGAGGCTGAGGCAGGAGAATTGCTTGAATCCAGGAGGCGGAGGCTGCAGTGAGCCGAGATCGCACCACTGCACTCCAGCCTGGTCAAGAGAGCAAGACTGTCTCGGGTTAAAAAAATTTAATCAACTTTCTGTAACTAGTGAGTTCAGTTTGAAGAAATTTCTAATTAGATTACATTCAATGGCTTAATCTTTTTCTGGAACAATACACATTGATTGGACTGTCTTTTGTCAGAGGCTAGGTTAAACATGTGTGTCGCTGGTCAAGAGAAAGATTATGACAAAAAAATATGGATTAAGTAACATAAATGTACTATCATTAGAAGAACAATTTAAAGACTCTGACCTGTGACCTGTTGTTCCACATATAATTACTTAGTAAAAGGCTGGGCACAGTAGCTTATGCCTATAATACCAGTACGTTGGGAGGCCAAGGCAGAAGGATCACTTGTGGTCAGGAGTTCGAGACCAGCATGGGTAACATAGTGAGATCGTGTCTCCACAAAAAATTTAAAAATTAGCTGGGTGTAATGGTGCACATCTGTGGTCCCAGCTACTCAGGGGACTGAGGCTGCCGTGGGCTGTGATTGTGCCACTGCATTCCAGCCTGGGTGACAGAGTGAGACCCTGTCTCAAAAAAAAAAAAAAAAAAAAAAAAAAGACTTGGACCAGGCGCGGTGGCTCACGCCTGTAATCCCAGCACTTTGGGAGGCTGAGGCAGGCGGATCACGAGGTCAGGGGATCAAGACCATCCTGGCTAACACGGTGAAACCCCGTCTCTACTAAAAATACAAAAAATAAGCCGGGCGTGGTGGCGGGCACCTGTAGTCCCAGCTACTTGGGAGGCTGAGGCAGCAGAATCACTTGAACCCAGGAGGCAGAGCTTGCAGTGAGCCAAGATTGCACCACTGCACTCCAGCCTGGGGGACAGAGCAAGACTGCCTCCAAAAAAAAAAAAAAGACTTAGGAAGACATTCACTACTAGTTACTATACTGACTAGTGTACTATGAAGTATCTAGCTTAGAACATCCCTAAGACGTCAGTTGTTCATATTTTGACAGCAAAGCAAATGTAGAGAGATGGATGAGTGGATGGGATGGGGCAAAGAGGAAGGAAGAAAGAAAATAACTTTGACTCTTACAATAGTCTCCCAACTGATCTCTTACTTCAGCCCTTGCCCCTCATAAATTTATTCCCTACAGGGCCACTACTATGATATCATTAAACTAGAAATCATTTCTCTGCTTAAAATCTAAGGAGTTTCCACTTGAAGAAAAGCTGAATACCTTACAGTGGCCTACCAGGCACTATAAAATCTCCATCTGATATCATCTAATTTACCACTCCTCTGGCTCACTATAGTCCTGCCATGTGGCCTCCTTTTTGGGGAGGGGGGGATGGAGTCTTGCTCTGTCGCCAAGGCTGGAGTACAGTGGTGTGATCTCAGCTCACTGCAACCTCTGCCTTTCTGATTCAAGCAATTCTCCTGCCTCAGCCTCCCTAGTAGCTGGAATTACAGACGTGCGACACCATGCCCAGCTAATTTTTGTATTTTTAGTAGAGACAAGGTTTCACCATCTTGGCCAGGCTGGTCTCGAACTCCCAACCTCAGGTGATCCACCCACCTTGGCCTCTCAAGTGCTGGGATTACAGGCATGAGCCACTGCACCTGGCCCTCGTTTTTTGAACACACAAACATGCTGCCGTCTCAGGGAGTCTTTGCAACCGCTGGTTCCCTCTGCCTGGAACACTCTGCCCCCAGATACGTATCTGCACAGCTCACTTCCTTCAAGTCCTTAAGTCTTCCTCAGGAAGGCCTTTCCTAGCCACCCTATCTAAAAGTGCAGCTCAAACCATCCTCCCCTCCCAGCCCAAAAATCCCTACTCCTCCCTCATTTTTCTTCATAATGCCTATTCAAAACCTAATATACTTTACTTTTTAAAAATGTCTCTTCATGACTGTAATTCAGCTCCATGAAGACATGGGTTTTTGTCTGTTTTATTCATTGCTACATTCCCAATGGAAGTTCTCGACAAATATTTGTGGAATGTAAAGGAGGGAAGAGGAAAGAAAGAAAGGTGGTAACCACAACTGGGCTACAAAACTATTTTCAGGTAATTACAGTATGATCAATTAAAAACCCCATGATAGAAGTAAAATTTGATTGGCCAGGCGCAGTGGCTTATGCCTGTAATCCCAACACTTTGGGAGGCCAAGGTGGGCAGATCACAAGGTCAGGAGTCTGAGACCAGCCTGGCCAACATGGTGAAACCCCATCTCTACTAAAAATACAAAAATTAGCTGGGTGCAGTGGTGCATGCCTGTAGTCCCTGCTACTTGGGAGGCTGAGGCAGAAGGATCACTTGAACCCAGGAGGTGGAGGTTGCAGTGAGCTGATATCGCACCACTGCACTCCAGCCTCGGTAACAGAACACAACTCTGTCTCAAAAAAATATATATATATATATTTAGAGAGAGAGAGAGAGAGAGAGATAGAATAAATATAAACACTAGGCAATACAGTAATATGCGGCTATTTAATAAACTTTTTTTTCAGCACTTATACGCAAACACTGTCCCAGGTATTGTGAAAGATTTAAAGTGAACAAAAAGCCCTGCCTTCAAGAAATCTGTTTGCAATGAGGAAGACAATCAATCTTATGTAATATAAAATTAACTGCTTCCTGCTTTCTCCCCACCACTTTTACCACATGTACAATGTAACCTCATCAACACCTCCAGTCCTGTGACCTTTCCATTTATTTCCAGTCTGTCGGCACTCCCTCTGCTTCACTCCATGAATGCCATTCCAATACCTTTCCTGCTGGTCCCTTCAACTCTCACTGCTCTTTTACCATACCTGGCTCACAAATTCCCATACTCAGGATCTACTTATCTTTTATTTATTTATTTTTTTATAGAGATGAGGTCTCACTATGCTGCCCAAGCTAGACTTGAACTCCTGGGCTCAAGCGATCCTCCCACCTTAGCCTCTCAAATGCTGGGATTACAGGCATGAGCCACCTGACCTCAAGATCAATATAATCGTCAACTTTTACATTTGGGCTGCTGAGTATGGCTAGAGAAAAGTCACCATTGTTTGTACTGTTCCATTTCAAATTAATGGTCTCCAAATTGCATATGCTCTTTGAAAACCACTCAGCAGTCCAGTCCTGTGCAACTCTGCTCAGCTCCTCTTTTGATTCCCTGCAGCAACAATTCCAACTTTTACTACCACATTACACCCCACCCTCAACAAGTGAACTTGCCTCCTCCAGCCCAGAGAAATAAATGCCAGCAGCTGTTTATTCTCTCAGGCCCACCAACACATCTTTTTACAAATAAATTTTGCCTCACAGCTGGTCATGGTGGCACACGCCTGTAGTCCCAGCTACTTGGGAAGCTGAGGTGGGAGGATCACTTGAGCCCCAGGAGGTCGAGGCTGCAGTGAGCTGTGATGGTGCCACTACATGCCAGCCTGGGCAACAGAGCAAGACTATGTCAAAAAACAAAAACAAAAACAAAATTCTTTACATGAGTACCTAATTTCCAAACCAATGATATTTTTCAGTCTTCTTGGCCTCTATGCAGTATTCTGCCTTGGTATCATTCTGACCACTCCTTTCTTAAAACTATCTCAACCTTTAAAACAAAAAAATCATTATTTTTAAAACTGGACATGGGGCCGGGCATGGTGGCTCACGCCTGTAATCTCAGCACTTTGGGAGGCTGAGGCAGGAGGATCACTTGAGGCCAGGAGTTTGAGACCAGCCTGGGCAACATAGCGAAACCCTGTGTCTACTAAAAATACAAAAATTAGTTGGGCGTGGTGGTGCATGCCTGTAATCCCAGCTACTCAGGAAGCTGAGACACAAGAAACTGCTTAAATCCGGGAGGGAGAAGTTGCAGTGAATTGAGATGGTGCCACTGCACTCCAACCTGGGTGATAAAGTGAGACTCCCTCAAAAAAAAAATAAAAAATAAAAAATGGTGACGGGCGTCTCACTCTGTCACCCAGGCTGGAATGCAGTGGTACAATCATAGCTCATTACAGCCTCAAACTCCTGTGATCAAGCAATCTTCCTGCCTCAGCCTCCCAAGTAGCTAGGACTAAATGCATGTGTGACCACACCCTGTTAATTTTTAGTTTTTGTAGAGAGAGGATCTCTCTACAGACCCCAGACTGGTCTCAAACTCCTGGGCTCAAGTGATCCTCTTGCCTCAGCCTCTCAGAGTGCTAGGATTATAGACATGAGCCACTGCGTCAGCTTCTCTCAACTTCTGAAGCCTCCTCTGATTCGCCTCCTACCCCTCTCAGCCCCATTAACCAATCATCTTTGCTCTGGTCCTTAAATGCTGGTTTCCCTTGGGTGCTAGCTAATATTGGAAATATCAGCCATTCTCAACTAATAATTCCTAATTATATCCCCAATTTAGACTTTTTATTCTAAGTTCCCAATTTGAATTTCAAGTTACCAACTAGACATAGCCACCTGGATGTATTCACTTATTAAACAACTGAGTGCCCTCAATGTATCAAGCACTGTCCTACATGTTAGGGAGACAGCAGTGAAGAGACACAATCCTCAGCCTTACAGATCTTACATTCTAGTTTGGTGGGGGCAGGTTAGATGCCTCACAGGCACTTTAAATCCAACATACGTGGAACCAGACTTATGACCTAACCTCTAACCCTGTTCTTCCTTCCTACATTCTATGTTTTCTCCTTCTCCCTTGCCCAGCCCATGTATTACTTATTCAGTCACTATGTCCTGTCTATTCTATCTCCTAAACATCTCTTTACTACATCCCTTCCTTCATCCCTCTTCCACTGCCTTAGTTCTACCTTTGTCATTTCTCATCTGGACTGCTGCATTAGCCTGTTAACTGGTTTCTTTGTTTTCTGAAAGGAAGCATCAATCTATCCTCAATATTAGAATAATCTACAATGTTTTTTCACCTGGGCATGTCTTTCCTTTTTTTTTTTTTTTTTTTTTTTTGAGATGGAGTTTCACTCTTGTCGCCCAGGCTGGAGTGCAGTGGCGTGATCTTGGCTCACTGCTACCTCTGCCTCCTGGGTTCAAGCGATTCTCCTGCCTCAGTTTCCCTAGTAGCTGGGATTACAGGCACCTACCGTCACACCTGGCTAATTTTTTTTGTATTTTTAGTACAGTTGGGGTTTCGTCACGTTGGCCAGGCTGGTGTTGAACTCCTTACCTCAGGTGATCCGCCCACCTCGGCCTCCCATAGTGCTGGGATTATAGGCATGAGCCACTGCACCCGGCCTGGGCATGTCTTTCCTAGCTTAAAATTCCTCAGTACTGGCCGGGCACGGTGGCTCATGCATGTAATCCCAGCACTTTGGGAGGCCGAGGTGGGTGGATCACGAGGTCAGGAGATCGAGACCTTCCTGGCTAACACCGTGAAACCCCATCTCTACTAAAAATACAAAAAGAAATTAGCTGGGCGTGGTGGCGGGCACCTGTAGTCCCAGCTACTCGGGACGCTGAGGCAGGAGAATGGCGTGAATCCGGGAGGCGGAGCTTGCAGTGAGCCGAGATCGTGCCACTGCACTCCAGCCTGGGCAATAGAGCAAAAAAAAAAAAAAAAAAAAGATTCCTCAGTACTTCCCACTGCCTGGAGTCTTTCACTATGCACTACATACTCTGTACTAGCTGCATGTACCTTTGCAACCTCTGCTCCAGTAAGAACAAGTGCTCTAGGAGGAACCAAATTACCAACACATGCCATCCTCCCTGTTGGAAAGCAGACCAATAGCACAGTGGTTAAGAGCCAGGCCCTAGAGCTAGATTGCCTATTTGACCACAGCTCCTACCGGCTGTATGACCTTGGGCAAGTTATTTAATGTCTCTGCAACTCAGTTTTCCTTTCCCAAATAGGAATAACAGTAGGTGTATTTCATAGGGATTTGAGAATTGAGTTTATATGGAAAGTCCCTGACATGCAGTGAATGCATGTAAGTGTGTAACTATCATTATGTCTTTACTACTACCCCTTCCCCTAAAGTTGAACACTTTTACTTTGTACTCCCATACACTTCATTGCAAGGGATTATAACTCTATCTCCTTCACTACACTGTGATGGTCTCAGGGCAGGAACTTTGTCTTATTGATCTTTTTAATCCTCAGCCAACATAATATATGTCACATTTTTATGTGAAGTAACTATCAATAAATGTGGCATGTGTTTAAGCTAAAAAGTGTGCAGGTGCAAAACAAAATGCAAGCATCTGGGCCAAATTCAAGTTGAATTTGAAGCGAAAGAAAAGGTGAGGGGGAAAAAAAACACTGAAATGCATGCATAAAACAGACAGTCAAGTGTAGACGTACTTGGGCAATGGGGAGTAGACTAGAATATGGGGGAGGGGATATTGAGAAATGAAGCCAGTCAGAAAAGGTTATGAACAGAGTTGAATGTTAGCCTAAGGAGTTTGGACCTTACCCCCCAAAAAAAGGGGTCCAAGGAAGTCCTTTTCACTAACGTGCTATATGGTTTAATCATTTTAGTAATATAAGTAATTTGACGACTGAATTGGAAAGTAGAAAGACTAAAGACAGAGACTAAGGAGAGGTACTGCTACTATCCAAGCAGGAAGAAGCAAGGAGCTTAAATGGAACCAAGCACATGAAAGATGGGATAAACAACATTTCCAAGGTGAAATTAACTGGCCTCAATGACTGTTCTGATATAAAGATGAAGGATATGACTCAGAGGTTTCTTGCCGGCACAACTGGAAAGTGATGCTATTAATGAAGATAAGGAATACAAAGGTAGGAGCAAGGCTACGAGTACAGGAGAACAAGTAGTTACTCCACCTAAAGTAATTCTTGAAAACAATAAACATATTATTTAGAACTGAAATCAAGTGCAAAGAGAATCATGCCATCACTCTGGCATGCACTGTTCTTATTTAACAAGCACATCAGAAAAAAAATGTGTCCAATTCAAAGGGCTCATTTGTGTACTAAATAATATGTTACTGTCCTTTATTTGGGGGAGGAAAAACCTATTATATAGAGGTAGGGCTAAAGAGATGAAAATGTGGCCAATATTTTTCAACACTATGTATTCTTGAAGCCTGCTTTTTAAATTTCTCACAAAACAATATTTTCCTTTTTTTTTGAGACAGTTTCGCTCTTGTCGCCCAGGCTGGAGTGCAATGGCACAGTCTCGGCTCACTGCAACCTCTGCCTCCTGGGTTCAAGTGATTTTCCTGCCTCAGCCTCCCAAGTAGCTGGGATTACAGGCACCAGCCATCACGCCCGGCTAATTTTTGTATTTTTAGTAGAGATGGGGTTTCACCATGTGGGCCAGGCAGGTCTTTAACTCCTGACCTCAGGTGATCTGCCCATCTCGGCCTCGCAAAGTGCTGGGATTACATGCATGAGACACTGCGCCTGGCCAAAACAATGTTTTCTTAGGGCACTAAGATTCTGTTCTAATCGAAATATCATGATGAAAATGTACAGCTGCTTAAAGATTTATTTTAAAACACTGACTTTAATTTTGCTTACTTGTAGCTGGACGCTGTGGCTCACACCTGTAATCCCAGCACTTTGGGAGGCTGAGGAGGGTGGATCATGAAGTCAAGAGATCAAGACCATCCTGGCCAACATGGTGAAACCTCGTCTCTACTAAAAATACAAAAATTAGCTGGGCGTGGTGGCGTGCACCTGTAGTCCCAGCTACTCAGGAGGCTGAGGCAGGAGAATAGCTTGAACTTGGGAGCCAGAGGTTGCAGTGAGTCAAGGTCGCACCACTGCACTCCAGCCTAGCGACAGAGCAAGACTCCGTCTAGGAAAAAAAAAAAAATTTTTTTTGCTTACTTGCTGCTTTACATGAAATGCTAGTTATTATTTTTGAATGTGCTGTCCCCTTTGCAACTTGTATCAATATGTACTTCATGCTTTTTCTGTCAAAATTCCCCTTTCTTTTCGAGACAGAGTCTCGCACTGTTGCCCAGGCTGGAGTGCAATGGCACGCTCTCAGCTCACTGCAACCTCCGCCTCCTGGGTTCCAGTGATTCTCCCGCCTCAGCCTCCCGAGTAGGTGGGATTACAGGTGCCCGCCACCATGCCCAGCTAATTTTCTGTATTTTTAGCAGGGACAGGGTTTCACTATGTTGGTCAGGCTGGTCTCGAACTCCCGACCTCGTGATCCACCCACCTCTGCCTCCCAAAGTGTTGGGATTATAGGAGTGAGCCACTGTGACCAGCCAAGACTCCCTTTCTTAAAAGGCTCAACAAGATGATCTAAACTAAAAATGCAATGCCTAAAAGTTCTAATTATGGTAATCTATTTCTATCAGGACAAACACAATGTAAGGAAATTTAAACAGGCCAGATATTTCTATTCCTAAAATGAGGAAATAGCAGGATAACTTTCTGCAGCAGTAATCAAATTTCAGTGCACAAACAGAAACTCCTTGGGTGCTGGTCAAAAAAGCAGTTATCGGCCGGGCGCGGTGGCTCACACCTGTAATCCCAGCACTTTGGGAGGCCGAGGCGGGCAGATCCCCTGTGGTCAGGAGTTTGAGACCAGCCTGGCCAACATGGTGTAACCCTGTCTCTACTAAAAATACAAAAAAATTAGCCAGGCCTGGTGGCGGGCACCTATAATCCCAGCTACTCAGGAGGCTGAGACAGGAGAATCACCTTAACCCGGGAGGTGGAGGTTGCAGTGAGCCAAGATTGCCACTGCACCCCAGCGTGGGCAACAGAGCGAGACCCTGTCTCAAAAAAAATTTAAAAAAAAAATGCAGTTATCTGCCCATATGTAGAGGTGGGGCTGAAGAGATCAAAGTGTGACCAACAGTTTTCAATACTGTGTATTCCCTACCCTAAGAGATTCTGATTTAGTGAGGAGGTGACACCCAGAAACTTTCATTTTGATTTTCAAATGCACCAGGTAATTCTAATGCAAGTATTTCAAGGCCACTTTGAGAAACCTGTGCAGTGGCTCTGATATCAGAAATGTGTTTTAAAGTCCAGCTCTCCCATTTGTTGCTGTGTGACCTCAGACTACTAACTTAGTTTCTCTGAAGTTCGGATTTCTCATTAGAAAAAGGGGGATACTAAAGGCTTTAGAGGGATGATGAAATATAATGAAATATAAATATAATGAAACAATGATTATGCTGTGCCCACCTATAATTTTATAATTATTATGATTCACCCAGTTCCACGGGACAAAAATAAGGAAGAACTGGGTAAGTGTATATATCCATCCTGATGTTCTAAAAGCATTCTAATTCAGGTTTTTTTCCATTTCCATATTAAAATTTTCATCTACAGGATTCTATAAGAACATCACAGTCAGGAGTGCTCTTTTGTCTTCCTCTCCCTTTAATTTTGTAATACATGAAAAAGTCTCTGGGGCCAGGCACGGTGGCTCACGCCTGTAATTCCAGCACTTTGGGAGGCCGAGGCAGGCAGATCACAACGTCAGGAGATCTAGACCATCCTGGCTAACAAGGTGAAACCCCGCCTCTACTAAAAAAAAAAAAAAATGCAAAAAATTAGCCGGGCACGGTCGCGCACTCCTGTAGTCCCAGCTACTCAGGAGGCTAAGGCAGGAGAATGGCATAGCATGAACCCAGGAGGCAGAGCTTGCAGCGAGCTGAGATCACGCCACTGCACTCCAGCCTGGGCAACAGAGCGAGACTCCATTTCAAAAAAAAAAAAAGAGAAAGTTTCTGGACAAATTACTTAAGGGCTTCCAGTTTCATGAGCAAATCTTTCTGAAGGCATAAAGCCATGAACACAAATATTCACCAAAAAATACTTTTCACAACATCAACATACTCAAAAATTAGTATTTTTACTGAACATTATTAAGATCCTCCAAGAAAGCAAATCCTGTTTGCTTGTGCTAGTAGACACCAAAAATAGGACATAAAGTTATCTAAAGGTCATATGCTTTATATTTAGAATAATTAGTTTAATTGTGCTATAATCAACTCCTCATACTTCATTAAGTAACTCTGCTAGTTTCCGCTATTTTAAAACCCGAAATACAATTTTAAAAATTTTTTTAGAGACAGGACCTCACTCTGTCACCCTGGCTCTCTCAAGCCATAGCTCATTGTTCTCAAGCTCTCAGCCTCTCAAATAGCTAGGACTACAGGTATATACCACCAAGCTTGCCTAAGTTTAAAAAAAAATTGTTGGCCAGGCGCGGTGGCTCACGCCTGTAATCCCAGCACTTTGGGAGGCAGAGGCGGGCGGATCACGAGGTCAGGAGATCGAGACCATCCTGGCTAACACGGTGAAACCCCGTCTCTACTAAAAATACAAAAAAATTAGCCAGGTGCGGTGGCGGGCGCCTGTAGTCCCAGCTACTCAGGAGGCTGAGGCAGGACAATGGCGTGAATCCGGGAGGCGGAGCTTGCAGTGAGCCAAGATAGCACCACTGCAGTCGGGCCTTCGGCCTGGGCGAAAGAGCGAGACTCCGTTTCAAAAAAAAAAAAAATTGTTTTTTCTTTTTTTTCTTTTTTTGAGATGGAGTTTTGCTCTTGTTGCCCAGGCTGGAGTGCAATGGTGCAATCTCAGCTCACTGCAACCTCCACCTCCCAGGTTCCAGTGAATGAATCCAGTGATTCTCCTGCCTCAGCCTCTGAAGTAACTGGAATTACAGGCATGCGCCACCATGCCCAGCTAATTTTTGTATTTTTAGTAGAGACAGGGTTTCACCATGTTGGTCAGGCTGGTCTCGAACTCCTGACCTCAGGTGATCCACTCACTTCGGCCTCCCAAAGTGCTGGGATTACAGGCGTGAGCCACCGTGCCTGGTCTTAAAATTTTTAGGTACAGATGAGGTCTTGCTATGTTGCCCAGGCTGATCTTGAATTCCTGCCTTAAACAATCCTCTTGCCTCGGCCTCCCAAAATGCTGGGATTAAAGGTGTGAGCCATTGTGCCTGGCCGAAACTAAAAATCTTACCAACAACTAGTAATTCTATATGATGCTTTTGCTCTAACCTGAAATTCTAAATAATGCCTTTGTTTACACTGAGAAATTAATTTATAAAAGTATGCAGCACCTTCTCCATCTTTCTTACTATTTAAAAGCTCGGCTGGGCACAGTGACTCACGCCTATAATCGCAGGAGGATCACTTAGGCCCAGGAGTTTGACACTGGCCTGGGCAACATGGTGAGACCCTGTCTCTATAAAAACAAACAGGCCGGGCGTGGTGGCTCACGCCTATAATCCCAGCACTTTGGGAGGCCGGGGTGGGTAGATCACGAGGTCTGGAAATCGAGACCATCCTGGCTAACATGATGAAACCCCGTCTCTACTAAAAATACAAAAAATTAGCCGGGCGTGGTGGCGGGCGCCTGTAGTCCCAGCTACTCGGGAGGCTGAGGCAGGAGAATGGCGTGAACCCGGGAGGCGGAGCTTGCAGTGAGCCAAGATAGCGCTACTGCACTCCAGTCTGGGTGACAGAGCAAGACTCCGTCTCAAAAAGCCAACAAACAAAAACCCAGCTAGGCATGGTGGCCCGTGCCAGTAGTCCCAGCTACTTGGGAGGCTGAGGTGGGAGGATCACTTAAGCCCAGGAGGTCAAGGCTGCAGTGAGCTATAACCATGCCACTGCACTCCAGCCTGGGCAACAAAGGGAGATACTGTCTCATAAAACCAAATAAATAAATAAAAGTTTTATAAAAGTCATCAGTTCATACTAACTACCTCATCTGTTATTACAAACAGCAATAACATCCCACAATATTTTATCACCTACCAAATATGCACTAACAGATGTCTCTCTCACATTAAAACGGATAAGAAAAAGCAAAAGGGAAAACTGAAGTGCAGGCTGTGAAATGTGAAGGAACCATGGAACCTTGCTGAATGGTAATTATCATATATCAACATTTTCCAAGTGCTCACTTGTACAAGGGACTATAAAGATTACCACCCTTCAGCCAAGGAAAAAGGGGGTGGAGAGTGGGGTGGGAGGGAGGAATCAGAGCCCGGAAGGCTCTTTCTGAAGTAGAATGCAACTAACCTCAGAACACCAAGGGCAGAATGGAGGTTATCAAAGGCCTGGCGGAGTGTGTATGTGGGGGGTGAGTGGGTGGAGCGTCGATGTTGGTCAAAGGGTACATACTTGAAATTTGCTTAGATCTCAAATGTTCTCACACAAAAAAAAATGGTAACTAGGTGAGGTGATGGATATGTCAGGTTGATTTTGGTACTCATTTCACAATGTATTCGTGTATTAAAATATAATGTATACCTTAAGTATATACAATTATCAACAGTATTTGTCAATATACCTCAAAGAAGCTAAGGGGGAATAAAACACCAAGGAAATCCTGCCAAAGACAGGATTTGTTGGATATTAGAAAAAGTAAAGATACCATGGGCTACCTGCACTTTGCATAATCTAGTAGGGCACTGGACAGGAGTTGATTCGGCTACTATAAAAATCCTTGCAAAATGGTAATGTAGACTACACCTGTACTATTTGAGAGAGACAGAAGGGTGGGCGGGAGCAAGTTCGAGATGTCCACACCGGGTGAAAATTGAGGGTGCCGCTGGGAAGGTCCGAGAATGGGTTTTCATGGCCCCAAAGTGTCGAGGGAGGGTGGGGGCGTTCCATCTCCCGCCTCCATTTCCACT
Organism: Homo sapiens; assembly: GCF_000001405.40. Taxonomy (NCBI): domain Eukaryota; kingdom Metazoa; phylum Chordata; class Mammalia; order Primates; family Hominidae; genus Homo; species Homo sapiens. The sequence goes on from NC_000014.9 coordinate 34,629,622, forward strand.
TCGCCACCTGCACCCCGCCCCGCGTGGGAGTGGAGGTCCACCAGAAGGCCCGAACAGCGGCGGGGGACAAGAAAGCGGCCGCGGGTCCCCGGGAATCGGAGCCGAGCGGCCCCTAGGGAGGAAGGGCTGCGGGAGGGTGGGGCGCGGTGCAGCGAGGAAACCGAAAGGAGGACTACGGGGAGGGAGTGCCGCGCGGCTGGGGACCCATCCCCGTACCACACCCGGGGACCCAGGATGGGGAAGGAGGGTCCAGGGTCCCGCGAGCGAAAGGAAGGCAGAACTTACTCCGCGGTCCTCTTCTGAGAGGAAGTCCGGGCCGTCGTCCAGGCCTTCCTGTGGGGTCGGCGGGCACGGCGCGCCGGGGAAAAGGATGAGATGGGGGAGACACAAAGGGAGACATTAGTGACAGGCTGGCGCGGTCCCCGCGCCCGCCCCGCGCCCGCTGCCCCCACCGCGCTCCCGGGACTCGGCGCCGCGGAGAACACCCACCATCATGGCTGCTCCGAGGCGAGGGCCGGCGCAGGCGCGCATCTCCCTGCTGCCGGAGGGAGCCGGCGGCCAGGAGCGGGGCGGGGCGGGGCGGAGGCGAAGGGGCGGGGCCTAAGGACGGCCCGCCCCGTCCCCGGCGCTGGTCGCTCGAGTCCGTGAGCGAGGAAGGTTAACAGGGCCTTCTGCCCAAGGTCAAGGCACCGAAGTCGGGAGAGCCTGAAGACCCAGACCTCATGGCTGGGGGCACCTCGCAGCTGGCGGGCTCTGACCAGGGAAGGGCCAAAGGCCACCCAGGGAGCTCTCCAGTTCCCCTGCCCCGAGGGCTCCAGCGAAAAACGATGCAGGCGCCCTCCGGAAGCCATAATACATCATCTGGTCTTTGTATTATGCCACACGATAATTAATCACAATTAATATCATTTTGCCTATGGAAGTTGCTGGAAACAAGGACCTTCACACAGTCGGTAATCAGGGACTATAATCAAGCTTTTACCGCTGGCGAGGTAATAACTACCTCAGAGTTTGGGGCACTAATGGTTGCGAACTATAAAAATGAGCTGTTTTCATTACAAAAATATTCCTTTCCTTTGTTAGAAGAAATTTCCCCACACCTACTCTAACTGTCCAGGTGGTTAGCATCACACGGGATCCACAGGCATTTCAAATAACGGGAGAAAATCATACTTAATCCTAGAATCTACACGTTCCTGAGCTTGCATTCAGTTAAGGAAAGGCATCTTCAGATGTTCAGACCAGAAACCCTTAACCCATTGAAATCCGTACTCTAGGGGCCGGGCGCTGTGGCTCACGTCTCTAATTCCAGCACTTTGGGAGGCCAAGGCGGGCGGATCACCTGAGGTCAGGAGTTTGAGACCATCCTGGCTAACATGGTGAAACCCCGTCTCTACTAAAAATACAAAAATTAGCCGGGCGTGGTGGCGCGTGCCTGTAATCTCAGCTACTTGGGAGGCTGAAGCAAAAGAATCGCTTGAACCTGGAAGGCAGAGGTTGCAGTGAGCCGAGATTGCACCACTGCACTCCAGCCTGGGCAACAGAGCAAGACTCTGTCTCAAAAAAAGAAAGAAATAAATCCTTATCTCCCTTACTCCTCATATCCAACCAAATCCTATGGCTTCTACAATTGATTGTCCTTCATACCTCTTTTTTTTTTTTTTTTGAGACAGAGTCTCGCTCTGTCGCCCAGGCTGGAGTGCAGTGGTGCGATCTCGGCTCACTGTAAGCTCCACCTCCAGGGTTCACGCCATTCTCCTGCCTCAGCCTCCCGAGTAGCTGGGACTACAGGTGTGTGCCACCACACCCGGCTAATTTTTTTGTATTTTTAGTAGGACAGGATTTCACCATGTTAGCCAGGAAGGTCTTGATCTCCTGACCTCATGATCCGCCCGCCTCGACCTCCCAAAGTGCTGGGATTACAGGTGTGAGCCACTGCGCCCAGCCCATACCTCTTTAATTAGTCCAATTTTTCCAGTTCTCACAGCAATTACCATCAACTCTCGTCTACACCTTTGCAATACTCTCCTGACTCCACTATTTTCCATCACTTTATCCTATTTTACACACTGCTGCCAGTTTTCCTCCTAAAACACAGATATTGATGATTATGCTACTACCCTGTTCAGTAATCTTTACAAGCCCCCATTACATAACGATTCAATTCCTCAGCCTACGATTTCAAGCCTTCTACATTTGAATCCCTCTCTACTCTGCCAGGCCCTCCATCCTATTTTATTGAAGTGAAGCTCTCAAAACAATATTAAACTTAACTGATATTTTGGCCGGACGCAGTGGCTCACACCTGTAATCCCAGCACTTTGGGAGGCCAAGGGGGGCAGATCATCTGAGGTCAGGAGTTCAAGACGAGCCTGGCCAACATGGTGAAACCTCATCTCTACTAAAAATACAAAAATTAGCTGGGTGAGGTGGTGCGCACCTGTAATCCCAGCTACTCGGGAGGCCAAGGCAGGAGAATTGCTTGAACTCGGGAGGCAGAGGTTGCAGTGAGCCAAGATCATGCCACCACACTCCAGCCTGGGTGACAGAGACTGCGTCTCAAAAAGAAAATAATAAATAAAAATTAAAAATTTAAAAAAACCACTTAACTGATATTTTCATAAGAACTTCTTGTAGCTTTCATTTTGTATGTAAGGAGAACTGAAGTATAGAGAGGTTAAGTTACTGCTCCAACAAAGGTTACTCTACGAAATGGGGGGCGGGGAAGGGACTTTATTTTTTGTCTTTTGTTTCTTGTTTCCCAGCGCATTGTGGTGACTACTAAAGTAGTCTTTTTCACTGGGAGTCATGAGGCATCATGTGGTGTCATTGTAGTGTGATGAAGTGTCGGGAGGAATGTTCCAGTAATTTGTTACCTACTAAAAGTGCCACTATTTCCTATTGGTTTGTTTTTAGATTAAAGGTAATGTCTGCAAAGCTCTTCCTAGGTGGAGAGAGAGGAGTGGAGCCACAATAAATGAGAGGGATTTACATACAACTGATAGGAAGGCCAAGTGCGTCCTTGTGGACAAAGGTTGAGAAGTGCCACAGAGAACCACCTGAAATGCCTCCTATCATTAACCAAGAGTTTTAAATTTCAGCATTTAAATAAAGTCCAGCCTGGGCGTGGTGACTCACCCCTGTAATCCTAGCACATTGGGAGGCTGAGGTGGGAAGACTGCTTGAGCCTAGGTGTTGAAGACCAGCCTGGGCAACATGGCAAAACCCTATCTCTACAAAAAATACAAAAATTAGCCGGGTATGGTGGCACACACCTGTGGTCCCTGCTACTTGGGAGGCTGAGGTGAGAGGATCACTTGATCCCAGGGAGGCTGAGGCTGCAGTGAGCCATATCGAACCACTGCACTCCAGCCTGGGCAACAGAGTGAGACCCTATCTAAAAAAAAAAAGAAAAAAATATTAAACAAAGTCCAGAAACATTGTAATTCCCAAATGCCAAAACTTTAAAATCATTAGTTATGAAAAAAAGAGGTAGGATCTAAAATATAAGCAACTCAACTAAAATTATCAACAAAGGCATGGTAATTACTGCAGCCATAATTCATAGCTGAAAACTCACATGAGTACAGAACCCAATCTTGAAACGATAAACTTGTTAATTAATATCAGCGCTTTCCTTTCTGAGCAAAGGTCTCCAGCTATATTTTGTGAATGATAAAAAGGAATTGTCAGTAACTGATTCTAACAACTGTCAAAAGGCCAAGTTATAGAAATTAAGGAATTTCAGAAGAAAAGAAGTTAAGAAAAGTTTACATGACAGATTTTTCTGCTACTGATAAAATAAAGAAGATATTAAAGGTGAACCACTCTTCTAATATTTGTAACCAAATAATCAATTTTTCATTTTGTTTTGATAGATTTCTATGAAATTATCTACTTCTATACAAATGTAATGAACTAATTATGCTGAATTGCTGTCTGATTACTTAATAGATTTAGCTAAAGTAAAATGTTGATTGTGAATAGTTAATAGTGTGCTTCAAAAACAAATGTATTGAAAGATTTTAGAGAAGAGTAAAATTTTAGAGAATAATGAATGTTATTTTTAAATTTTAAAAATAAAAAATAGTATTTGCTTTCAACATTTTTGTCAAAAATCAAGGTTTTTCTAGAAAAAAATTTTAATATAAAATGACAATTATTTAATTATAGAAGAAAAATGTTTAATTCCTTTCCTTTTATTATGTTCTGATCAAAGAAGATTTCACCAAAACATATTTTTGCCAATTTCTCACTTCCTCAAATTCTAGAAGATCCCTTTTTGTTTTAGATAACCCGTGGATCCTAATTTTTTCCTCCTACTCCACAGGAGTTATGCTACAGCAAAATTCTCTATAGGAAGATTGCTGAACTCTGTTATTTCCAAGATGTGCTGTATCAATCAGGATGCCTTTAGCTGCAAGTAACAGATAACATCAATTCAAATAAACTTGAGCAGTAAGGAAACTTATTATTTTACCACCACCACCACAACAACAACAAAATCAAGAAACTAGGTGTTTCTGGGCATAGTACAACCAGTGGGTAATGGTGTCATCAAGAACCTAGATTTCTTCCAACTCTCCACTCTGCCACCTTCAGTAACAACCTCATTCCAAGGCTGGTTCTCTTCATGATCCAAGATTACTTCAGTATTTCTAGGTTTTACATCTTGACATAACAACATCCACAAGCAGAAAAAAAAAAAAAAAAAAAACCCTGCCCAGGCTGGGCGCGGTGGCTCATGCCTGTAATCCGAGGCCAAGGCGGGTGGATCACGAGGTCAGGAGTTCAAGACCAGCCTAGGCAACATGGTGAAATCCTGTCTCTACTAAAAATTAAGGGGCGTGGTAGCACATGCCTGCAATCCCAGCTACTCGAGAGTCTGAGGCAGGAGAATGGTTTGAACCTGGGAGGCGGAGGTTGTGGTGAGCCCAGATAGCGCCACTGCACTCCAGCCTGGGTGATAGAGTGAGAGACTCCGTCTCAAAAAAAAAAAAAAAAACAAAACCACAAAAAAAACCTACCCAGAAGCGACCCCTCCCTCTCATATACTTCTCATATTTCATGGACTAGAAATGGATCACATCCTCACTCTTAAACAATCCCTGGCAAGGGGACTGATATAACCATGACTGGCTTAGAGTCTAAGACTTCGCCCAGTCAAGATTTACCCCTATGGCTGGACGCAGTGGCTCACGCCTGTAATCCTAGCTGCTTGGGAGGCTGAGGCAGGAGGATCACTTGAGCCCAGGAGTTCAAGATCAGCCTGGGCAACAAAGTGAAACCGTGTCTCTACAAAAAATTAGCTGAGCATAATGGTGTGCGCCTGTAGTCCCAGCTACTCAGGAGCCTAAGGTGGGAGGATCACCTGAGCCCAGGAGGTTGAGGCTGCAGTGAACCTCGATCATACCACTGCACTCCTGCCTGGGTGACAGAGTGAGACCTTGTAATAGATTTAGCTACATGAAAGTAAAATCTTGTGATTGCAAATAGTTAATAGTGTGTTTTAATAGCGTTTTCAATGCGTTTTAAGTGTTTTACTTAATAGTGTTTTAAATTTTTATTTATTTCAAAATAAATAAATGTGTTTTAAGTGTTTTACTTGTGTTTTAAATGTTTTTTTATTTCAAAATAAATACATAAGTAATAATAAACATTTTTAAATAAAAAAATTGGCCAGGCGTGGTGGCTCACGCCTGTAATCCCAGCACTTTGGGAGGCCAAGGCAGGCAGATTGCCTGAGCTCAGTAGTTCACGACCAGCCTGGGCAACACGGTGAAACCCCGTCTCTACTAAAAATACAAAAAATTAGCCGGGCGTGGTGGCATGTGCCTTTAGCCCCAGCTACTTGGGAGGCTGAGGCAGAAGAATTGCTTGAACCCGGGAGGCAGAGGTTACAGTGAGCCAAGATCGCGCCACTGCACTCCAGACTGGACGGCAGAGCAAGACTTCGTCTCAAAAAAAAAAAAAAGAAAGAAAGAAAAAATTAACCAGGAGCGGTAGTCTCAGCTACTCAAGAGGATGAGACAGGAGGATCCCTTGAGCTCAGGAGTTTGAGATTATAGTGAGCTATGATCCTGCCACTGCACTCCAGCCTGGGTGACAGAGTGAGACCTGTCCCTTAAAAAAAAAAAAAAAAAAAAAAGATTTACCTCTGAGCCTGCGACTGGGGTTAGCCTCCCCAAACCAAAAGAAGAATGTCAGCCAGGCGTGGTGGCTCACACTTGTAATCCTAGCACTTTGGGAGGCCGAGGCGGGTGGATTGCCTGAGTTCAGGAGTTCAAGAACAGCCTGGGCAGCACAGTGAAACTCCATCTCTACTAAAATACAAAAAATTAGCTGGGCGTGGCAGTGTGCACCTGTAGTCCCAGCTACTTGGGAGGCTGAAGCAGGATAATTGTTTGCACCCGGGAGGCGGAGGTTGCAGTGAGCTGAGATCATGCCACTGCACTCCACCCTGGGTGACAAAGCCAGACTCCGTCTCCAAAAAAAAAAGAAAGAATGTGAGCACCTGGATAAAACTGGACAGAGCGAGACTCCGTCTCCAAAAAGAAAGAAGAATGTGAGCACCTGGATAAAACTGGAGTTGTGAGAAAGGAAAGGAGGGGAAAGGAATGTGGGGTAGAAAACCCCAATATCTCTTATAAATACCAAAGAAACATTTTTAAGGCCAAAAAGAGGTCGTGGTACAATAGCAATCAAAAAAGACATATTGGCCAGGCACAGTGGTTCACGCCTGTAATCCCAGCACTTTGGGAGACCAAGGTGGGCAGATCATGAGGTCAAGAGATGGAGACCATCCTAGCCAACATGGTGAAACCCTGTCTCTACTAAAAATACAAAAATTAGCTGGGCATGGTGGCACACACCTGTAGTCCCAGCTACTCGGGAAGCTGAGGCAGGAGAATCACTTGAACCCAGGAGGAAGAGGTTGCAGTGAGCTGAGATCGCGCCATTGCACTCCAGCCTGGTGACAAAGTGAGACTCTGCCTAAAAAAAAAAAAAGACGTTTTATCTGACATGGTCCAAATTTATTAGATGCGATAGGCCTGATAAAATGAATAATTCATAATCCACTAGTTGGAGAAAATCACTTTTCATGTTTTGGCAAATATCCTCTTAAATGTTTCCCGTGCCTATGCCTCAGATAGTATTTTTCTGGCGTAATCAAGATCAACATATATATTACTAAGTATATTTCTATTCTTCAGCATGAGGTTTTGTTTTTTGTTTGTTTGTTTTTGAGACAGAGTCTGGCTCTGTCGCCCAGGCTGGAGTGCAGTGGCGCGATCTCGGCTCACTGCAAGCTCTGCCTCCCAGGTTCAAGAGATTCTCCTGCCTCAGCCTCCCAAGTAGCTGGGACTACAGGCGCCCGCCACCAGGCCCGGCTAGTTTTTTGCATTTTTAGTTGAGACGGGGTTTCACCGTGTTAGCCGGAATGGTCTCAATCTCCTGACCTCATGATCCGCCCGCCTCGGCCTCCCAAAGTGCTGGGATTACAGGCATGAACCACCGCGCCCGGCCCAGCATGAGGTTTTTTTTGTTTGTTTTTTTGTCTTTTTGTTTTTGAGATGGAGTCTTGCTCTGTCGCCCAGGCTGGAGTGCAGTGGCAGAATCTCAGCTCATTGCAGCCTCCGCCTCCTGGGTTCATGCGAGTCTTCCAACTCAGCCTACCAAGTAGCTGGGATTACGGGCACCCGCCATCATGCCTGGCTAATTTTTGTATTTTTTTAGTAGAAACAGGGTTTCACCATGTTGGCCAGGCTGGTCTTGAATGCCTGACCTCAGGTGATCTGCCCGCCTCGGCCACCCAAAGTGCTGGGATTACAGGCATGAGCCACTGCACCGCGCCAAATACGTATTTCTTGAAAGACCAGTGACTTTGAACTTTTGTTTGTTAATTTCATATTTGTTATTTCTTCTTTTATAAATTAACTATTTCTGCTTTTTTTTTTTTTTTTTTTGACACGGAGTCTTGCTCTGTCACCCAAGCTGGAGTGCAGTGGCGCAATCTCGGCTCACTGCAAGCTCCGCCTCCCAGGTTCATGACATTCTCCTGCCTCAGCCTCCCAAGTAGCCGGGACTACAGGCGCCCGCCACCACGCCTGGCTAATTTTTTGTATTTTTAGTAGAGACTGGGTTTCACAGTGTTAGCCAGGATGGTCTCGATCTCCTGACCTCATGATCCCGCCGTCTTGGCCTCTCAAAGTGCTGGGAATATAAACGTGAACCTCCGTGCCTGGCAACTATTTCTGTTCTTAGCCTATATATTTTACTGTTACTTTGTGAAATCTCTTTATATATTAAACATAAAGGCCCTTTGTGCTGGGGATGGTGGCTCATGCCTGTAATCCCAGCACTTAGGAGGCTGAGGTGGGAGGATCGCTTGAACCCAGGAGTTCCAGACCAGCCTGGGCAACATAATGAGACACCATCTCTTAAAAAAAAAAACAAAAAACAAAAAAACAAAAAATTAGCTGGGCGTGGTGGTGCACACCTGCAGTCCCAGCTACTCAGGAGGCTGAGGTGGGAGGATCACTTGAGCCCAGAAGGTCAAAGCTGCAGTGAGCTAAGAACCCACCACTGCACTCCAACCTGGGTGACAGGGCAAGACCTTGTCTTTTGTTTAAAAAAAAAAAAAAGAAAGAAACCCTTTGTTAGGTATGATAAAGTTATATTTTATTTTAATTAATTAGTTTATTTATTTTTTGAGATGGAGTCTTGCTCTGTTGCCCAGGATGGAGGGCCATGGAGCGATCTCAGCTCACTGCAACCTCCACCTCCTGGGTTCAAGCGATTCTCCTGCCTCAGCCTCCCGAGTTGCTGCGACTACAGGCACATGCCACCACGCCTGGCTAATTTTTGTATTTTTTTTAGTAGAGACAGGGTTCCACTATGTTGGCCAGACTGGTCTCGAACTCCTGAGCTCAAGTGAACATCCTGCCTTGGCCTTCCAAAGTGCTGGGATTACAGGCATGGGTCACCACAGCCAGCCTGCCTTTTAATTTTAGATCATGATGTTATTTCAGGAAAACTCTTTTAAACCATGTTTTTCCTCTGTTCTCACACCACCACAACAATAATCAGCATAGAAGACTTCTATAACCAAAGTTGTTTGAGTTTTTCCTCACACACCAAGCAGAGGACGCCAGCTGGATGTTCTCCAATTCAATTATGACACTATCTACTTGGAGATAGTGTCAGATCCCACAAGTTGAGGGCTCAGTCCCCAAGACACCAGGTGCCCCAGTTGCACCTTTGGAACTTCTGACTGACTGGCTTCAAGTTGGAGTTCCCTCTTTGAGTTTGTTTAATTTGCTGGAGTGGTTCACAAAACTTACGGAAACACTTACTTACGTTTACTGGTTTATTATAAAGGATATTGCCAAAGATAGAGATGAAGAGATGTGTAGGGTGAGGTATGGGGAAAGGGGCAAAGAGCTTCCATGCCCTCCCTGGGCGTACCACCTTCTAGGAACCACCACATGCTCAGCTATCTGAAAGCTCTCCAAACCCTATCCTTGTGGGTTTTTATGGAGGCTTCATTACATAGGGATGATTGACAACCATGCAGAAATGTGACTGGTCAAAAAGCACATGATCTAAAATGATTGACAACCATGTAGAAATGTGACTGGACAGGCTGGGCGCAGTGGCTCACGCCTGTAATCCCAGCACTTTGGGAGGCCGAGGCAGGCGGATCACGAGGTCAGGAGATCGAGACCATCCTGGCTAACACAGCGAAACCCCGTCTGTACTAAAAATACAAAAAATTAGCCAGGCGTGGTGGCGGGCGCCTGTAGTCCCAGCTACTCGGGAGGCTGAGGCAGGAGAATGGCCTGAACCCGGGAGGCGGAGCTTGCGGTGAGCCAAGATTGTGCCACTGCACTCCAGCCTGGGAGACAGAGTGAGACTCCGTCTCAAAAAAAACACAAAAGAAATGTGACTGGACAAAAAGCACATGATCTAAACCTAACAAGGCCTGTCCAGATTTTTCTTGGACTCACTGTGTAACATTCCTTCCTCTAGGGTATGGGCCGGGATTCTCTCTGGAACGAGGGCATTTAACCCACAATCAGATTAGAGTCCTGCCTTGGGCAGGTGAAAGAAGGACTGGAAAAGGTCAGAAAGAGATTCTGTTTCCTGAGGCCTAATGTACCCCAACATTATAACAAGGACCATAGGAGTTATGAATCAGGAATTGTGCGTGATGTATATATCACAAAACCACAGATGTTTTTGACATACACAAGTTTTTAAAGTTAATGTAGTTAGATCCATGAATCTCCTTTAGGATTTTTTTTTTTAATTTAAACTTTTTTTTTTCTGTAGAGACAAGGTCTCTCTATGTCGCCCGGGCTGATCTCCTGGCTTAAGCGGTCCTCCTGCCTCAGCCTCCCAAAGTGCTAGGATTACAGACGTGCGCCATGGCAGCCAGCCTAGATTTCTCTTTTTTTTTTTTCTTTTTTGAGATAGAGCTTTGCTCTGTTGCCCAGACTGGAGTGCAGTGGCACAATCTCGGCTCACTGCAACCTCCGCCTCCTGGGTTCAAGCCATTCTCCTGCCTCAGCCTCCCAAGTAGCTGGGATTACAGGTGCATGCCACTACACCCAGCTAATTTTTTTGTATTTTTAGTAGAGATAGGTTTCACTGTGTTATCCAGGATGGTCTCAATCTCCTAACCTCATGATCTGCCCGCCTTGGCCTCCCAAAGTGCTAGGATTACAGGCGTGAGCCACTGCACCCAGCCCTAGATTTCTTATTTTAGTGATAATGCCTAAAAAGACCCTGCCTACTCTAAAATTACATAACTATCTGCTGTTTTTTTTGCTAGTAACTTTTTTTTCTCTTTTTGAGATGGAGTTTTGCTCTTGTTGCCCAGGCTGGAGTGCAATGGCACAATCTCAGCTCACTGCAACCTCCGCTTCCTGGGTTCAAGCAATTCTCCTGCCTCAGCCTCCCGAGTAGCTGGAATTACAGGCATGCGCCACCACGCCCGGCTAATTTTGTATTTTTAGTAGAGATAGAGTTTCACCATGTTGGTCAGGCTGGTCTCGAACTCCCGACCTCAGGTGATTCACCCACCTCGGCTTCCCAAAGTGCTGGGATTACAGGCATGAGCCACCACACCCAGCCTTCTAATAACTTTTTGATTGAACATTACTGACTTCAATTAATGGACCAAATCAGATGAACAAAATAATTTTGTCAACCTTATCACTCCTGATCTCCCCCATAATTCAGGCATTAAAAAATAAAAGCAAACCACATTTTATTTAAGTAAATCAATAAGCAAGGAAGCACTATATCTGGAAGGTCAAAAAAGTAAAAATCATGTCTCAGCAGATTGAGGGTAGAAAAGCTAATGTTCCAGAGATGTAAATCACTCTTAGAGAAACAATCAACTTCCACTTCCCTGGGATTCAGACCTAGGAATCAGCGCCAATGGTGAAACAGCTTATCTTGGTGCCTGGAGACCAAGGGGAGAAGTGACATGATCTCTACAGAAACCAAATCTCTGGGCACATGTAGATTTATTGATTAATGTCAGTACCTCTAATTATATTTGGAAGGATTCTATCTGGAAGCTAAAGACTGTTGAACTGTAACACACTTACTTTCGCCTATTTTTAATGGAAGTTCCTAAAGGGAGAGACACAGAGGACAGTTTAATTTTGCTCCGTGCCTAGAACAACAGCAACATTCTATTAAATCATTTCTAAATTACATTTCAATATGATGATTTTATGACCTCATTCCTCTATCATACAGCTGCAGTGGAGGCACAAGAGATAAGACCTGGAGAAAATGTGGGAAAGAAAGAGCCTAAAACATGACACTTGTAAGTGGTCAGCAAAATTAATATAAGGGCTCATGGCCAGGCATGGCAGCTCACGCCTGTAATCCCAGCACTTTGGGAGGCCAAGGTGGGTGGATCACGTGAGGTCAGGAGTTCAAGACCAGCCTGGCCAACATGGTGAAACCTTGTCTCTACTGAAAATACAAAAATTAGCTGGGTGTGGTGGCACATGCCTGCAGTCCCAGCTACTCAGGCGGAGGTTGCAGTGAGCTGAGATCGGGCCACTGCACTCCAGCCTGGGCAACAGAGTGAGAACTCCATCTCAAGAAAAAAAGAGGAGGTGGGGCTCAAATTGAAGATTCCCAAAGCCCCTCAATTACCTTTCAGAAGAATTATACCCAGAAATAACTCTATTTTTTAAGTCACAAAAGCATCTAAAATATTTCATTTCCCAAAATTCTATTTTTAGTCATATTGCTAAGAATACACCCACCGTGCAATACGAGACTTCGTTGTGTTTTTTTCAATCATAGGAAAAGAAGGTTTTAAAATTTTACAAAATTGTTGGACTCTGTGCAGCAAGTAATCCACTATTTCTCTTTAAGAATTTCGGCTGGGCACATAGTTGGGCGCAGTGGCTCACGCATGTAATCCCAGCACTTTGGGAGGCTGAGGTGGGCAGATCACGAGGTCAGGAGTTCAAGACCAGCCTGACCAACATGGTGAAACCCTGTCTCTACTAAAAATACAAAAATTAGCCGAGCATGGTGGCACATGCCTGTAATCCCAGCTACACAAGAGGCTGAGGCAGAAGAATCGCTTGAACCCGGGAGGCAGAAGTTGCAGTGAGCCAAGATCGCGCCACTGCACTCCAGCCTGGGTGACAGAGTAAGACTCTGTCTCAAAAAAAAGGAAAAAAAAAAGGAATTTTGACTGGGCACAGTGGCTCCCACCTGTAATTATAGCAACTGGGCACAGTGACTCAGACCTGTAATCACAGCAACTCAGGAGGCTTAGGTGGGAGGATAACTTGAGGCCGGGAGATAGAGGCCAGCCTAGGCCAGCTAGGGGCAGCCTAGCAAGACTCCATTTCTCTAAAAAAATTTTTTTTTAATTAGCTGGGTTGTAGTGACATGCACCTGTACTCCTAGCTACATGGGAGACTGAGGTAGGAGGATCACTTGAGCCCAAGTTCGAGGCTTCAGTGAGCCATGATCATGCTACTGCTCTCCAGTCTGGGCAACAGAGTGAGACTGTGTTTCTAAAAAGAAAGAAGAAAGAATTCCTGCCTTCAGAATAAAAAATACACTTCCCCCAAATAAAACATCTACTGCTTCTCTAGAGTTGTTTCCTCCCCTTTTCCTTCTATGTGTGTATGTGTGAAGTGTGTGTGTGTGTGTGTGTGTGTGTGAAGCCTTTTCACTTCCACTTTTTCCTGTATTTTGGAATCTAGATTTTTAAAAAATTATCTTTATGATCACTGTCAAAAATGGAATTTTTTGCCGGGCATGGTGTCTCACGCCTGTAATCCCAGAACTTTGGGAGGCCAAGGCAGGCAGATTAGGAGGTCAGGAGTTCGAGACATGCCTAACCAACATGGTGAAACCCCATCTCTAAAAAAAAAAAAAAAATAACACAAAAAAACACAAAAATTAGCTGGGCGCAATGTAATCCCAGCTATGCTGGAGGCTGAGGCAGGAGAATTGCTTGAACCTGGGAGGCAGAGGTTGCAGTGAGCCGAGATGGCGCCACTGCACTCTAGCCTGGGTGACAGAACGAGACTCTGTCTCAAAAAAAAAAAAAAAGAATGAATTCATATCATATTAACTTTTAGAGGTAGGTGGCTTGTTTGTTTGAGACAGGGTGTCACTCTTGTCACCCAGGCTGGAGTGCAGGGCATCGTCATGGTTCACTGCAATCTTGACCTTCAACCTCCCAGGCTCAAATGATCCTCCTGCCTCAGCTTCCCAAGTAGCTGGGACCGCAGGAGTCTGCCAACACAACTAGCTAATTTATAACTTTTTATTTTTATTTGTTAAGAGATGAGTCTCTCCATGTTGCGTAGGCTGGTCTCGAACTCCTGGGCTCAAGGGATCATCCCGCCGTGACCTCCCAAAGTGTTGGGATTACAGGCGTGAGCATCTGATGCAGGCTCCACTTCTAATTTTAGTTCTCTTGCTGTTTCCACATCTGCAGTTACTTCCTCTACTGAAGTCTTGAATTGCTAAAAGATTCTGATTACTTTTAAGAAAAAGAAGCTTTTAAATCCATGAGGATTGGAATCAACTTCTTTCAAACTTTCATTTAATGTTGATATTTTGACCTCCTCTATGAATCCTGAATGTTCTTAATGGTATCTAAAATGGTGAATCCCTTCCAGAAGGTTTTCAATTTACTTTGCCCAGGTCCATCAGAGGAATCATATATATGACAGCTATAGCCTTATGAAATGTATTTCTAAAATTATAAGACTTTAAATTCAAGATTACTCCTTGATCCACAGGCTTCAGAATGGCTATCGTGTTCAAAGGCATGAAAACAATATTAATCTCCTTGAACATCTCTAACGGAGCTCTTGAGTGACTAGGGGCATTTTCAATAAGCAGTAATATTTTGAAAGAAATCTCTTTTTCTGAGCAGTAAGTCTCAATAATGGGCTTTAAAAATTCAGTAAACTGTCCGGGTGCGGTGGCTCACGCCTGTAATCCCAGCACTTCGGGAGGCCGAGGTGGGCGAATCATGAGGTCAGGAGTTTCAGACCAGCCTGGGCAACATGATGAAACCCCGTCTCTACTAAAAATACAAAAAATTAGCTGGGCACAGTGGCAGGTGCCTGTAATCCCAGCTACTCGGGAGGCTGAGGCAGGAGAATCTCTTGAACCTGGGAGACAGAGGCTGCAGTAAGCCGAGATCAGCGCCACTGCACTCCAGCCCGGTGACAGAGTGAGACTCTGTCCAAAAATAAATAAATAAATAAAAAATTCAGTAAACTGGCCAGGTGCTGTGGCTCATGCCTGCAATCTCGGCACTTTGGGAGGTTGAGGCAGGTGGACCACTTGAGCCTAGGGGTTTAAGATCAGCCTTTGTAACATGGTGAAACCCCATCTCTACCAAAAATACAAAAGTCAGCCAGTCTCATAACCCAGTCTCTAAATAAATAGATAGATTAAAATTTTTTAAAAGTTAAAAAATAATATTCAGTAAACCATATTGTAAACAGATGTGCTGTCAGCCAGGCTTTGTCGTTTCGTTCCATTGATAAAGCATAGGTAGGCTAGATTTAGCATAATTCTTTTTTTTTGTTTTTTTTTTTTTTTGAGACAGAGTCTCGTTCTCTCGCCCAGGCTGGAATGCAATGGCACGATCTCGGCTCACTGCAACCTCCTCCTCCCAGGTTCAAGTGATTCTTCTGCCTCAGCCTCCTGAGTAGCTGGGATTACAGGCACCCACCATCATGTCCAGCTAATTTTTGTACTTTTGTAGAGATGGGGTTTCACCATGTTGTCCAGGCTGGTGTTGAACTCCTAACCTCAGGTGATCCGCCTGCCTCGGCCTCCCAAAGTGCTGGCATTACAGGCGTGAGCCACTGTGCCTGGCCGATTTAGCATAATTCTTAAAGGCCCTGGGATTTTGGAATGGTAAATGAGCACTGGCTTCAATTTAAAGTTACCAGCTGGTTTAGTCCCCAAGAAGAGAGCTTGTCTTTTGAAGCTAGGCATTGAGTTTTCCTCTCTAGCTGTGAAAGTCCTAGATAGCATCGTTTTCTAATAGAAGTCTATTTTGTCTATATTGAAAATCTGTTTAGTGTAGCCACCTTCATCAGTTATGTTAGATCTACTGGATAACTTGCTGCTTCACCTTGCACTGTTATGTTACGAAGATGACTTCTTTCCTTAAACCTTATGAACCAACCTGTGTTAGCTTCAAAATTTTCTTCTGCAGCTTCCTCATCCCCTCTCAACCTTCACTGAATTGAAGAGAGTTAGGGCCTTACTCTGGGTTAGGCTTTGGCTTAAAGATAATATTATGGCTGGTTTGATCTTCTATCCAGACCACTAAAACTTTCTCTATATCAACAATAAGGCTGTTTCACTTTCTTTTTGTTTGTTTGTTTGTTTGTTTTGAGGTGGAGTCTCACTTTGTCGCCCAGGTTGGAGTGCAGTGGCACAATCTTGGCTCACTGCAACCTCCACCTCCCAGGTTCAAGCAATCCTCCTGCCTCAGCCTCCCAAGTAGCTGGAACTATAAGTATGTGCCGCCGTGCCTGGCTAATTTTTGTATTTTTAGTAGAGAAGGGGTTTCACCATGTTGGCCAGGCTGGTCTCGAACTCTTGACCTTGTGATCCACCCGCCTCAGTCTCCCAAAGTGCTGCGATTACAGGTGTGAGCCACCGTGCCTGGCCTAATTTTTAAATTTTTTGTAGAGATGGTTCTCCCTGTGTTGCTCAGGCTGGTCTCTATTTTCTGGGCTCAATAAATCCTCCCTCCTTGGCCTCCCAAAGGGTTGGGATTACAGGCGTGAGACACTGTGCCTGGCCTTTTAAAATTGTCTGTGGAGACAGGGTCTCACTATGTTGCTTAGGCTGGTATGAAAGAACTTTAATACCTATATTTTCATATGATTTCCTTCTTTTATAACCCTAGTTTATGCACTTAATCATTTTTCTGGAATCCTGCAAAATACCTGACCAATACTCCTCAAAACTGTCAAAGTCATGAAAAAAAGGGAAGATTGAGACACTACCACAGACCAGAGGAGACAACTAAATACAATGTGGTTTCTTGGATTAGATCCCGGAACAGAAAAAGGACATTGGTGGAAAAACTAGTGGCAGTCTGGCATCTAGTTAATAATAATGTACCAATGTTAGTCTCTTACTTTCAGGAAATGTGCCACAGTATTGTAAGATGACCACTTTAGGGGAAACTGAAACTGAGTGAGGAGCATGTGGAAACTGTACTTACTATCTTTGCAACTTGTTTGTAAATCTAAAATTATTGCAAAATAAAAAGCTTATTTTTATTTTATTTATTTTATTTTTTTTGAGACAGGGTCTCACTCTGTCACCCAGGCTGGAGTGCAGTGGCACGATCTCGCCTTACTGTAACCTCCGCCTCCTGGGTTCAAGCGATTCTCCTGCCTTGGCCTCCCGAGTAGCTGGGATTACAGGTGCCTGCCACCACGTCTGGCTGATTTTTGTATTTTTAGTTGAGACGGAGTTTCACCATTTTGGTCAGGCTGGTCTCGAACTCCTGGCCTCAAGTGATCCTCCTGCCTCGGCCTGCCAAAGTGCAGGTATTACAAGCGTGAGCCACTGTGCCTGCCCTAAAAAGCCTATTTTTAAACAAGCATTATTCTGAGAAGGGATTCAGGCATCTACAGCACAAAAGGATTCAGAATGCTTGCCATAGAGCTGCAGATGCTGTTGAGTGAGGGCAGAGAGAGCACCAGGATCAAACGGACAGTCTTGCGGGCCAAAGCCTGGCAGCAGGAACATCACTTCTGCCCAGATAGGTCCTGTGGCCCATCCTGAGGCAGTGGGTGTGGGAACTGTAACCCCTGATCTGGGCAGCAATAACCCTGAACTCTGGAAGGGGCACATGCCTCAGCTAGCCACCTGCCACCTGCCACATGAGTTCAAGGAGATCCTTTCTATCGATCATGGCTTAAACAGATGACAAATTAAGCTGATTCAAGGACGTTCACTTACAAAGAAAAGAAGTTCAAAGTTGAAGGTAGGGATAATGCAGGAAATCAGGGTCAGCAGAAATCCCAAATAATTTAAATCTCCTTAAGGGCAGGAATAACTCCACCATAGCAGTAGTATAGTAAGAAGTCCTTAATGGACCCCCAACACCCCCAACAATAGTTTTTTTTTTTTTTTTTTGAGACGGAGTCTTGCTCTGTCGCCCAGACTGGAGTGCAGTGGCGCGATCTCGGCTCACTGCAAGCTCGCCTCCCAGGTTCACGCCATTCTCCCGACTCAGCCTCCCAAGGAGCTGGGACTACAGGTGCCCACCACCACACCCAGCTAATTTTTTCTATTTTTTAATAGAGACGGGGCTTCACCGTGTTAGCCAGGATGGCCTCGATCTCCTGACCTCGTGATCCGCCCGCCTCGGCCTCCCAAAATGCTGGGATTATAGGTGTGAGCCACCACGCCCAGCCTACCCCAACAATAGTTTTAATTGAATTGCAGTAAAATGGAATTGGCCAGTCACAGTGGCTCATGCCTATAATTCCAGCACTTTGGGAGACTGAAGTGGGTAGATTGCTAGAGCCCAGGAGTTTGAGATCAGTCTGAGCAACATGGTGAGACCCTTCCTCTACAAAAAATACAAAGAATTAGATGGGGCTTGCACGCACCTGTGGTCCCAGCTACTCAGGAGGCTGAGAGGGTGGGAGAATCGCTTGAGCCCGGGAGGCAGAGGTTGTAGTGAGCTGAGATCACCCCATTGCACTCCAACCTGAGGAACAGAGCAAGACCCTATCTCAAAAACAACAACAACAACAACAAAAGAAGTAAAAAGCTGGGGGATATAAAGCAAAACTGACCTTGAGCAGAAAAGTTAAAGAATGACTTTTTCAAGTGCAGACTTAAGGCCGGGCGCGGTGGCTCACGCCTGTAATCCCAGCACTTTGGGAGGCCGAGGCGGGCGGATCACGAGGTCAGGAAATCGAGACCATCCTGGCTAACACGGTGAAACCCTGTCTCTATTACAAATACAAAAAATGAGCGTGGCACGGTGGCGGGCGCCTGTAGTCCCAGCTAGTCGGGAGCCTGAGGCAGGAGAATGGTGTGAACCCGGGAGGTGGAGCTTGCAGTGAGCCGAGATCGCGCCACTGCACTCCGGCCTGGGCGAAAGAGCGAGACTCTGTCTCAAAAAAAAAAAAAAAAAAAAGTGCAGACTTAAGTCAGACAAACTGCATTTGAGTTCTGGATTTGCCACTTGTTACTGAAACAGGACTTGTATTTGTAAATATTAAAACAATGAATCTAAATACTTCCTTAAATTTTGTTTGCTAGCTTCCCATCTCTGGACTGAAAGCCTAGAGATTTATTGCCCCATGACAAGAGAGAGCAGTCACCCGCCCTTTTTTGAAGGACATTTGGGTCTTCTAGTTAGAATATCAAGTGCCTAAATGGCCGGGCGCGGTGGCTCATGCCTGTAATCCCAGGACTTTGGGAGGCCGAGGTGGGCGGATCGCGAGGTCAGGAGATCAAGACCATCCTGGCTAACACGGTGAAACCCTGTTTCTACTTAAAAAAAAAAAAAAAAAAAAAATTAGCCGCGCGTTGTGGCGGGCGCCTGTAGTCCCACCTAGCTACTCCGGAGGCTGAGGCAGAAGAATGGCGTGAACCCGGGAGGCAGAGCTTGCAGTGAGCCAAGATTGCGCCACTGCACTCCAGCCTGGGCGACAGAGCAAGATTCCATCTCAAAAGAAAAAAAAAAGAATATCAAGCTTCTGACTATGTAAACAAGATATTCCTGCCTGCTCGTAAGACTTTTCCATAGTCTAGAGCGGAGGAGGAGACAAAGTTAGGTGGGGAGAAAAAGGAAAAGTGGGAGAGATAGGAGGAGGGAATGACAGACGCAAGGATCTTGATTTCTTTAGGTTTGGAGGGAATTGGGGCATCAGAGGCTTTGAAGCAACTGCTGATGGTAAGGGGAGGTTCTTGCCCTGTTTCCCATTTTAGGACGCAGAGATGACTTGACAGGAGGGCTGCCCCTTTTCTAATCTGGCAGTTCAGCCCAGTCAGGGCTGATCTTGAGGTAGGGGGAGATCTTGAGATTTAGCTTTCCCTGGGGTGTGACTGAGGCCCAGAAGTTTCCCAACCCTCAGCCCTTCCTCAAAATTAGAAGATAGCCGAGTTGGATGCCAGAAGGTCTTCCATATGTAAAGTTCCCAGCCAATATTAGTATTGAGTATTCAGCTATGTAGAGATTTTCTGAGGACTGAGACAAAACTTTGAAAAGGTCTTTTCTCATCTCCATGCCTAGAGATCTTAGAATAGATCACAATTCCTGGCCCTCTTCCTGTCTCCTCCTCTCCCCAATTCCCACCAGCTCCCTTCACCAGCTTCATCTGGGATGATTTCAGTCTAGGGCTTCTCAGAAGCAGAGAGTTCAACCAAATGACCTCTTGAGGTTTCTTTCTACTTCTACTTTATGACTCAGAGAATGTATTGAATTACTTACTCTTTTATATTCTACAGCCACATTTTTCAGTCACTTCTCTGACCTTGCTATCTACACAATTTCCTTGTTTTGCAGTTTCTAAAAAGGAAAGTCAGATAGAACATGTGTATTCTCATTTTAAAAGCATACTGACAGCATGCGATAAATTCTAAATTATTAAAAATATCTCGGCTGGGCAAGGTGGCTCACGCCTGTAATCCCAGCACTTTGGGAGGCCGAGGTAGGTGGACCACTTGAAGCCAGGAGTTCGAGACCAGCCTGGCCAACATGGTAAAACCCTGTCTCTACTAAAAATACAAAAATTAGCTGGGTGTGGTGGCACATGCCTGTAATCCCAGCTACCTGGGAGACTGAAGCAGGAGAATCACTTGAAATCTGGTAGGTAGAGGTTGCAGTGAGCCAAGATTGTGCCACTGCACTCCAGCCTGGGCAACAGAGTGAGACTCTATCTCAAAAAAAAAACAAAAAAAACCTCTTTCCCCCTCTTGCATTTAATTGAATGGTATAAACGTGGTGTGGAAGGCTTTCAGAAATTCCAGTGAAAACCACCATCACCTGCCACAGAACTCATTAAAAGGCTGAGACTGCAGTAGTTATAAAGGTCTGGTGCGAGACAGGAGTGTGGTGTTCTTGAGAAGCTGAAAGATGGTCAGTCTGGCTGGTGGGATCTGTCAGGCCTCTGAGCCCAAGTTAAGCCATCATATCCCCAGTGACCTGCACTTATACATCCACATGGCCTGAAGCAACTGAAGATCCACAAAAGAGGTGAAAATAGCCTTAACTGATGACATTCCACCATTGTGATTTGTTTCTGCCCCACCTTAAATGATCAATGTACTTTGTAATCTCCCCCACCCTTAAGAAGATTCTTTGTAATTCTCCCCACCCTTGAGAATGTACTTTGTGAGATTCACCCCCTGCCCGCAAAACATTGCTCCTAACTCCACCACCTATCCCAAAACCTGTAAGAACTAATGATAATCCCACCACCCTTTGCTGACTCCCTTTTCAAACTCAGCCCGCCTGCACCCAGGAGAAATAAACAGCCTTGTTGCTCACACAAAGCCTGTTGGTGGACTCTCTTCACCGGGATGCGCGTGACAGGATCCATGATCTGGAAGCCTCCATAAAGGGATGTGGGGGTGACTGGCCCCAACCTTCTTTCTTTTTTTTTCCTGGCCACGTAGAGAGACTATATTCCCTGGCTCCCATACAGATAGGAGTAGCTGTGTGACTAAGTTCAATGGAACATGATTGAAAATGATGTGTGCACATCCGTAACAACTTAGCATAACCTTAGTTGCTTAACACAACATAAATTTATTCTCTTACTTCTGGAGGCCGGAAGTCTGAAATGAGCTTCACAGGGCTCAAGTCAGAGTGTTGTTGGCAGGGCTGCTTCCTTCTGAAGCTCTAGTGGGGAATTCTTGCTTTTTCTGGCCTCTGGAGGCCTTCTGCATTCCTTGGCTTGTGACTCATTCCTTGCATCACTCCAGTGTTTTCAATCTTCATATCTCCTTACTTCTTTATCCTTGACTTTCTTGCCTCGCTCTTATAAGGTCATTATATTTAGGGCTCATCCAGATAATCCAGGATAATCTCCCCATTTTAAGTCCCTTAATTTAATCACAGCTACAAAGTATCTTTTGCAATAAAGATAACAATCACAGATTCCAGAGATTAAGATGTGGACATCTTTAGAGGCCATTATTCTGCTGACCACAGTGATCCTAGACACTCCATCTCTCCATATCTGCCAGCTGAATGCAGAGAATGAGGAAGCCAAAGAGATAGGGGAAGCCAAAGAGTAGAAGGAGCCTGTGTTGCTGAATGACCAGGTAGAGCAGAGCTCCCTTGCTGAGTACACTGGACTGTGAAATGAAGGAGAAAAAAAAATTATTGTGTTAAGCCACTGTGGTCTTTTAAAGACACACCTCACCAAGCTCAGCCTCCAACTTAAAAATGACTGGACAGTACTTTTACCTATTGCCCTTCTCAGAATTAGAGCCTGTCCTTGAGATGCTACAGTGTACAGTCCATTTAGACTTTTATATGGATGCATTTTTTTTTTTTTTTTTTTTGAGACCGAGTCTCGCTCTGTCACCCAGGCTGGAGTGCAGTGGCATGATCTCGGCTCACTGCAACCTCTGCCTCCCAGGTTCACGCCATTCTCCTGCCTCAGCCTCCTAAGAAGCTGGGACTACAGGCGCCCGCCACCATGCCTGGCTAATTTTTTGTATTTTTAGTAGAGACGGGGTTTCACTGTGTTAGCCAGGATGGTCTCGATCTCCTGACCTCATGATCCGCCCACCTTGGCCTCCCAAAGTGCTGGGATTACAGGCGTGAGCCACCACGCCTGGCCTGGATGCACTTTCTTACTCGGCCCCAGCCTCGTCCCAGACACCGGCCCTCTAGGCGGCTATCTTCCAGTCCTCCAGTAAGCTAGACAGGAAATTCACCAGGCTGCTAATCTTCTCTTGCCTATTCCAAATTCCTAGCCATAAGAAGACACCCTAGCTGGACGATCAGTTCTTGTTAAGAGTCTGACCCCTCAAACCCTACAACCTCAATGGACTAGACCCTACTTAGTCATCTATAGTACTCCAACCGCCGTCTGCCTGCAGGACCCTCCCCATTGGGTTCACTGTTCCAGGATAAAGCTGTGTCCCTCGGACAGCCAGCCTGATATCTCCTCTTCCTCCTGGAAGTCACAAGTATTCTCCCCTACTTCCCTTAAACTCATTTGCATTTCTGAAGAACAGTAATAACCCTTATGAGCCTAATACATCCCTTCATTCTATTAGGTCTATCCATCCTTACCCTACTCTTTGCAACAGGACTTTATGCAGTCACCCCCACTACTTGGACTGTGCCCCAAAACTTGTCATCCCTACTATATTCTGTCTAGTCATACTCCTATTCACCATTCTCAACTACTCATAAATGACCTGCTCTTGTTTACACTGCCGGTTTACATTGTTTCTCCAAGACATCATAGCTGATATCTCCTGGTGCTATCCCCAAACTGCCACTCTTGACTCCCTCTTGGAGTGGATAGATGATCTATGGTGGCAGGGCACCCCCCAGTACTTCCACCCTGATGAAGTTCTATTCTTTACTTTTGTACTCACTCTTATTCTCATTCCCATTCTTATGCCACTCTCTACCTCTCCCTAGTTACCTCCAGCATACTATCAATCTCACCCACTCTCTCCTCACTGTCTCCAATCCTTCTCTAGCAAAGAATTGTTGGCTATGCATTTCCCTTTCTTCCTGCTTTTACACAGCCACCCCCACTCTATAGGCTGACTGGGCTACCTCTCCCGTCTCCCTGCACCTCAGAACCTCCGTTAATAGCCCTCATCTTTACTCACCTGAGGAACTCCTTTACTTTCTAGACAGGTTGGGTGAGAACTCCCCAGATATTTCACACCAACAAGCTGCCACACTTCTCTGCATCTACTTACGGCACCTTTCTCCTTATGTCAATTCCACCCCCCTATATTTGGACCCCTAACCACACAAACAACTATCCCTGTTGCCGCTCCTCCCAACAACAGCCTACTGGAATCCCTTTAGGCAACCTTCCACTGTCCAAATGTTCCTTTACTCTTTATCTCCAGAGCCCAGCCACACACATTACCAAACAGATGGGAGCATTCTGACTTTGCATTACTGATAAGCCCTCTATCATTACTGACAAACTAAAACACATTGGCAGTCACTATTGTTTAGGAAGACACCTACCCTGCATCTCACTCCATCCTTGGCTACCCTTCCCCTGCTCATCTGAATCTCCTCCTAGCCCCTCCTCTTGCTTGCTTATACCCAGCTCCATGAATAGCAGTGAAAGGTTACTTGTAGACACTATGCGCTTTCTCATACACCATGAGAACCGAACCCCTCCCTCTACACAGTTGCACCATCAATCCCCATTACAATCTCTAACAGCTGCTGCCCTTGCTGGATCTCTAGGATTTTGGGTGCAGGATTACTCTTTCAGTACACCCTCTCATCTTTTCACTTTACATTTCCAGTTCTGCCTGACAAAAGGTCTCTTCTTTTTATGTGGCTCTTCCACCTACATGTGCCTACCTGCCAACTGGACAGGCACATGTACTCTAGTCTTCCTTACCCCCAAAATCCAGTTTGCAGATGGGAATGAACAACTGCCTGTCCCCCTCATGATGTTAACAGGACAAAAAAGAGTCATCCCACTAATCCCTTTGCTTGTGGGTCTAGGACTCTCTGCCTCCACTATTGCACTTGGAACTGGAATAGCAGGCATCTCAACCACTGTCACAACATTCTGCAGTCTCTCTAATGACTTCTCTGCTAGCATTACAGATATATCACAAACTTTATCTGTTCTCCAAGCCCAGGTTGACTCTTTACCTGCAGTTGTCCTCCAGAACTGCCGAGGCCTTGATTTACTCACTGCTGAGAAAGGAGGACTTTGTATATATATATATATTTTCTAATTTTATTATTATACTTTAAGTTTTAGGGTACAAGTACACAACGTGCAGGTTTGTTACATATGTATACATGTGCCATGTTGGGGTGCTGCACCCATTAACTCATCATTTAGCATTAGGTATATCTCCTAATGCTATCCCTCTCCCCTCCCCCCAGGACTTTGTATATTTTTAAATGAAGAGTGTTGTTTTTACCTAAAGCAATCTGGCCTGGTATATGACAACATAAAAAAACTCAAGGATAGAGCCCAAAAACTCGCCAACCAAGCAAACAATAACGTTGAACCCCCTTGGACACTCTCTAATTGGACGTCCTGGGTACTCCCAATTCTTAGTCCATTAATACCTGTTTTTCTCCTTTTACTCAGACCTTGTGTCTTTCGTTTAGTTTCTCAATTCATACAAAACCGCATCCAAGCCATCACCAATAATTCTATACGACAAATGCTCCTTCTAACAACCCCACAATATCACCCCTTACCCCAAAATCTTTCTTCAGTTGAATCTCTCCCACTGTAGGGTCCCACGCCACCCCTAATGCCCCTGGAAGCAGCCCTGAGAAACATCGCCCATTATCTCTCCATACCACCGCCAAAATTTTTCACCGCCCCAACACTTTACTGCTACTTTGTTTTATTTTTCTTATTAATATAAGAAGACAGGAATGTCAGCCCTCTGAGCCCAAGCTAAGCCATCATATCCCCAGTGACCTGCACTTATACATCCACATGGCCTGAAGCAACTGAAGATCCACAAAAGAAGTGAAAATAGCCTTAACTGATGACATTCCACATTGTGATTTGTTTCTGCCCCACTCTAACTGATCAATGTACTTTGTAATCTCCCTCACCCTTAAGAAGGTTCTTTGTAATTCTCCTCACCCTTGAGAATGTACTTTGTGAGATCCACCCCTGCCCCCAAAACATTGCTCTTAACTCCACCGCCCATCCCAAAACCTATAAGAACCAATGATAATCCCACCACCCTTTGCTGACTCTTTTTTTGGACTCAGCCCACCGGTACCCAGGTGAAATAAACAGCCTTGTTGCTCACACAAAGCCTGTTTGGTGGTCTCTTCACATGGACACGTGAGACACCTATGTCTATATCCTTGCCCTAGTCTCATTGTGGGCAGAGCAGACTTCCTGGCCCTTGACTTTAGGCTTGACCATGTGACTTGCTTTGGCTAACAGCGTGTGATTTGAAGTGACAGTGTGCCTAGACCTTAAGACATTACTTGTGCTTCCACTTGCATTCATTTGTCTCTGCCATTGCCACAAGCTCAGACTACATCAGCCAAATCCCAGCTGACCTACAAATCTATGAATGATTATTGTTGTTGTGGGTTTTTTTTTTTTTTAAGGGACGGGGTTTCACTCTGTTGTCCAGGCTGGCATGCAGTGGCATGATCATAGCCCATTGCTGCCTCGAACCTCCTGGGCTCAAGTGAGCCTCCTGCCTCAGCCTCCCAAAGCACTGGGATTATAGGCATGAACCACCACACTGGGCTGATTATTGCATTAAGCCAATAAATCTTAGGGTGATTTACCAGACAGCAATGATTGACTAATATAAACACTGAGATTTTAATTTTTTTTTTTTTTGAGACGAAGTCTCACTCTGTCACCCAGTCTGGAGGGCAGTGGCACAATCTCAGCTCACTATAGCCTCCATCTCCTGGGTTCAAGTGATTCTCCTGCCTCAGCCTCCTGAGTAGTTGAGACTACAGGCATGAGCCACCACGGCTCATTAGAGACAGGGTTTCACCAAGTTGGCTAGGCTGGTCTCAAACTCCTGACCTCAGGTGATCCGCCCACGTTGGCCTCCCAAAGTGCTGAGATTACAGGCATGAACCACCAAACCCAGCCTTAATTTGTTTATTATAGCAGACTAAAACAGAGGCTGGGAGAATAACTGACTGAAGGAACTGGAAGAATAGAATGCTGTGGCCAGAGAGTGAGGATGGAATCTATTATTCCAGTTTGAATCTATTATTCCAGTAGAGTTGCAGTTCCCAGTGACAGGGTGTGACCATAGAAGGCAGTGGCTAAAATTGAGTGGAGGCATAGCTCACTAGAGATAAGCAGATCAAAGATAATGACAGAAATTCAGGCGAAAAAGAAGACTTGTTATAAACCAAATGCCTGAGCTATCACTGAATGAGGGGGACTGGTCTTGAGACTGGAAAGCTAAACATCAGGTCACTTTGGAAAGAAAAAAAATTAGATTGTTATAATGACTCTGAATACTAGCTGGATGTGGGAGCCCTCCTCCTAACTCCTATTGTATGGGAAGGTGAGATCACAATTGGGAGGTGAGATCTTTACTTGGAAAGATAAACTGTACTTGATCTTGGTTGTCTAATCCAGTCCCCTAGGACAAGAAAAGCAGTGGGGCTGGGCAGCCTCCATTGAATGACAGATGTGAAATTATACTGGAGCTTCTGCTGAGTGGACCAAAGATCAGTAGTGCTGGCGGGGTACTTCAACAAGGCCTGAATTAAATGCAAATGCAAAATGTTTTCCACTGGCACATTTAATGGAAAATTGCTTCTGTATTAATTGTCTCATAAATTGCACAGAGACAAGAAATAGCATGAGAGTATTTTGCATATCCTCTATAGAAATTAAGTTTTCTGGCTAGGCATGGTGGCTCATGCCCATAATCCCAGCACTTTGGGAGGCCGAAGCAGGTGGATCATGAGGTCAGGAGTTCAAGACCAGCCTGACTAACATGGTGAAATCCCGTCTCTACTAAAAATACAAAAATTAGCTGGGTGTGATGGTGCGTGCCTGTAATCCCAGCTACTCAGGAGGCTGAGACAGGAGAATCGCTTGAACCTGAGAGGTGGAGTTTGCAGTGAGCCAAGATCATGCCATTGTACTCCAGCCTGGGCAACAGAACAAGACTGCATCTCAAAAGAAAAAAAAAGAAAAGAAATTAAATTTTCTAGTAAAAATACAATCATAAGATAAATGGGCTTGATGTTTGAGTGCTCCTAAAAAAGGGCCTGGACATGCTTATAAACTCACTTCTTTCCTTTTTTTTTTTTAAATCTTGCTTTATTTATTTATTTTTTTTAGATGGAGTCTCGCTCTGTCTCCCAGGCTGGAGTGCAGTGGCGCGATCTCGGCTCACTGCAAGCTCCGCCTCCCGGGTTCACGCCATTCTCCTGCCTTAGCCTCCACTGAGTAGGTGGGGCTACAGGCGCCCGCCACCACTCCCGGCTAATTTTTGTATTTTTAGTAGAGACGGGGTTTCACCATGTTAGCCAGGATGGTTTCGATCTCCTGACCTCGTGATCCGCCCTCCTCGGCTTCCCAAAGTGCTGGGATTACAGGTGTGAGCCACTGCGCCCGGCCTAATCTTGCTTTTTCTGCTTATGTAGAACTCACTTACTTCTGCAGCTCTAAAGGCATCCTGAAGATATAAAGTTCATTTTCCAACACAGTTGCTTACGCCTGCCTTCTGAAACAGACTACAGTTTCCTTTACTGATCATGTTTTATTTATTTATTTATTTTAGAGATAGGGTCTTGTGATTGTTGGCCAGGTTTGTCTTGAACAGTTAGCCTCAAGCAATCCTCCTGCCTCAGCCTCCCAAAGTGTTAGGATTACAGGCATGAGCCACAGCGCCCTGCCCCTTTCCTCATTATAGATGGCATTGCAGTGGTGCATTTCTAATCCCAAACAGTTTATATGGTATGATAGGCAGAATAATGGCCCCCAAGAAGTCTGTGTCCTAATCCCTGGAACCTGTAAATATGTTACCTTACATGGCAAAAGGGAATTAAGTTAGCAGATGGAATTAAATTTGCTAATCACCTGACCTTGAGATGAGATTATTGTGGATAATATGTGAGCTCAATATAATATAATCACAAGAGTCCTTATGAGTGGAAGAGGGAACCTGAAGCTGAGACCAGAGAGATGGCAGTGTGAGAAAGACAGCAGAAATGCACCAAACTCCAGAAGCTGGAAAAGCCAAGGAAACAGATTCTGCCTTAGATCCTCCAGAAGGGGCCAAGCGCGGTGGCTCACGCCTGTAATCCCAGGACTTTGGGAGGCCGAGATGAGCGGATCATGAGGTCAGGAGATCAAGACCATCCTGGCTAACACGGTGAAACTCCGTCTCTACTAAAAATACAAAAATTAGCCAAGAGTGGTGGCGGGAGCCTGTAGGCCCACCTACTCGGGAGGCTGGGGCAGGAGAATGGCATGAACCCAGGAGGCAGAGCTTGCAGTGAGCAGAGATCGCGCCACTGCACTCCAGCCTGGGAGACAGAGCGAGACTCCATCTGAAAAAAAAAAAAAAGATCCTCCAGAAGGAATGCAGCCCTGTCAGCATGTTGATTTTAGCTCCTTGATTTCAGTGAAGGCCCTTTTTCACTTCTGACCTCCAAAACAAAACGATAATAAATGTGTGTTTTCTTAAACCATTAAGTTTGTGGTAATTCAGCGCAGCAGCAATAGGAAACAAATATACATGGCATTCTCAATTCTGTGAGCTATTCCAGGATCCCTGAAGCAAATCCTCCTTTTTACTTAAGCTAATTTGGGTTGGATTTTGGTCTCCTTCAAAGCAATTTACAAGATCTCTTATTATAAAACAGTACTTCTCACTAGGACAAAAATCAGACCTTCAGAAATAAAATACATGTGCTATACCCTAAACATGTCATGACAAGATTTCTTCTGAGTGATGAATGGACAGGAAAAAGAAATTTGAAGAAGTATAACAAACTAGCATTTGACAGGTAAGAGTATGTCACTGAATTAAAATGTAGATAAGGGAGCCACATGTTCTAATTTCCCTCTGATTTCTTCTTTGTCTCACGGGTTATTTGGCAGTGTGTGATTGGATTCCAGAAAGATATTCCAAATATCTTTCTGTTGTTGACTTCTAATTTAATTTTATTGTGTTCACAGAAGATCCTTTGTATTATTTGAAACTTTTGGCCAGGTGTGGTGGCTCATGCCTGTAATCCCAGCACTTTGGGAAGCTGAGGGGGGAGGATCACCTGAGGTCAGGAGTTCAAGACCAGCCTGGCCAACATGGTGAAACCCCGTCTCTACTAAAAGTACAAAAAAATTAGCCGGGAGTGGTGGTGGCACGTGCCTGTAGTCCTAGATACTCCGGAAGCTTAGGCGGGAGAATCACTTGAACCCAGGAGGCAGAGGTTGCAGTGAACCGAGATCGCACCATTTTGCTCCGGCAGCCTGGGTCACAGAGTAAGATTCCATCTCAGAAAAAAAAAAAAAAAAAAAAAAAAAAAAAGGCCGGGCACAGTGGCTTATGTCTGTAATCCCAGCACTTTGGGAGGCTGAGGCAGGAGGATCACCTGAGGTCAGGAGTTCAAGACCACCCTGGCCAACGTTGTGAAACCCCATCTCTACTAAAAGTACAAAAATTAGCCAGGCTTAGTGGCAGGCACCTGTAATCCCAGCTACTCGGGAGGCTGAGGCAGGATAATCACTTGAACCCGAGAGGCAGAGGTTGCAGTGAGCCGAGATTGAGCCACTGCATTCCAGCCTGAGCGACAAGAGTAAGACTCTGCCTCAAAAAAAAAAAAAAAGAAAGAAAAAGAAACTTTTAATATGAGTTTCAATTTCTTTTTTTTTGCCTTTTCAGACGGAGTCTCGCTCTGTCACCCAGGCTGGAGTGCAGTGGCACGATCTCGGCTCACTGCAACCTCTGCCTCCCGGGTTCAAGCTATTCTCCTGCCTCAGCCTCCCAAGTAGCTGGGATTACAGGCACACACCACCACGCCCGGCTAATTTTTGTATTTTTAGTAGAGATGAGGTTTCACCATGTTTGTTGGTCAGGCCAGTCTCAAATGCCTGACCTCGTGATCTGCCCACCTCAGCCTCCCAAAGTGCTGGGATTACAGGTATGAGCCACCCCACCTGGCTCAATTTTGTTTAAACTTTAAAAATGTATTTAGATTTGAAGCCATTACTCTCAGCAAACTAACACTGAAGCAGAAAACCAAATGCCACATGTTCTTATAAGTGGGAGCTGAATGATGAGAACACATGGACACATGGGGTTGAACAACATACAATGGGGCCTGTTGGAGGGTGGAGGGTGGGAGGACAGAGAGCACCAGGATGAACAGCTAATGAATGCTGGGCTTTTTCTAGGTGGTGGAATGACCTGTGCAGCAAACCACCATGGCACAAGTTTACCTATATAACAAACTGGCACATCTTGCACAGGTACCTCTGAACTTAAAAGTTGGAAATTTAAAGACATGTATGTAGACTTGTTTTATGACCCAGAAAATAGTTGATTTTGATAAATGTTCTGTGTGCCCTTAAAAAAAGAATATGTATTCTGAGAAGAATATGTATAGAATACAGAGTGTTCTGTAAGTGTCAGTTAGGTCACATTGGTTGATAATGTTGTTCAGTCTTGTCTACTTGTTCTATTAATCATTGAAAGAGGTGTTCAAATCTGTGACTATAATTGTGGATTTGTCTGTTTCTCATTGCAGTTCTATCAGTTTTTGCTTCATGTGTTTTGAAACTTTGCTGCTAAGTGTATAAACACTTAGAATTATGTCTTCTTGAGGAATTTGACCCCTTTTCCATTATAAAGTGAACCTCTTTATACCTGTTAATATTCTTTGCTCTGAAATCTACTTTGTCTGATATTGATGTAGCCCTTGAAGCTTTCTTTTAAATTGTGTTAGCATGGTATATATTTTACCATCCTTTTCTTTTAACCTGTCTGTATCTTCATATTTGAAATGGCTTTCTTGTGGAATCATATAGTTGGTTCTTACTTTTGTATCCAACCAATCTTATCCAACCAATTGGTATCCAGCCAATCTCTTCCTTTTAACAGGGATGTTTGAACCATTTATATCTAATGTGACTACTGATATGGGATATGTCTGTAATTAAATAAACCATCTTGCTATTTGTTTTCTATTTGTCCCACCTGTTCTTTTTCCTTTCTCTCCCTTTTCTGCCTTCTTTGGGATCAATTCAGTATTTTTATGAGTCCATCTTAACTCCATTATTGACTTATTAGTCTTTGTTTTATTTTTTTCTTAGTAGTTGCTTCAGGATTTGCTATAGTCTGAATGTTTATGTTCCCCCAAACTTCATATGTTGAAAAACTTATCCCCAAAGTGATAGTATTAGGAGATGGGACCTTTGGGAGGTAAGTGATTGAGGCAGAGCTCTCATGAATGGGATTAGTGCCCTTATAAGAGAGACTTGAGGCTGGGTACAGTGGCTCATGCCTGTAATCCCAGCGCTTTGGGAGGCTGAGGCAGGTGGATTGCTTGAGTTCAGGAGTTTGAGACCACCCTGGGCAACATGGTGAGACCTGGACTCTACCAAAAATGTAAAAAATTAGCCAGGCATGATGGCATGTGGCTGTGGTCCCAGCTACTTGGGAGGCTGAGGTGGGAGGATCTCTTGAGCTTGGGAGGTGGAGGCTGCAGTGAGCCAAGATCATGCCACTGCACTCCAGCCTGGGCAGCAGAGCCAGACCTTGTCTCAGATAAATAAATAAATAAATAAGTAAACAAACAGACAAATAAATTAAATAAAGAGACTTAAGAGAGATCTCTCACCCCTTCTACCATGTAAGGGTAGGGTGAGAAGACCCTATAAAGAAGTGGCCCCTTACTACACCCTGAATCTGCCAGCACTTTGATCTTGGACTTTTCAGCCTTCAGAATGGTGAGAAATAAATTTCTTTTGTTTATAAGCCACTCAGCCTATGGTACTTTGTAATAGCAGCTCCAATGGATTAAGACAGGGTTTATAATATGCATCTTTAACTTATCAATTTGACTTGAAGCAACAGTATACCACTTCACATCTAGTGTTAGGATCTTACAGCAGTATATCTTCATTTCCTCCCTCCTAGCCTTTGTTGTCATACATTTTATTTCCATTCATTATAAATCTCACAGTACATAAGGCAAAAATAATAAACATTGCTTATTAAAAATTGGCTGGGTGTGGTGGCTCACGCCTGTAATCCTAGCACTTTGGGAGGCTGGGGTGGGTGGATTGCCTGAGCTCAAGAGCTCGAGACCAGTCTGAGCAACATGGTGAAACCCTGTCTTTACTAAAAATACTGAAAAAAAAAAAAAAAATCAGCAGGGCATGGTGGCCCATGCCTGTAGTCTCAGCTACTCGGGAGGCTGAGGCATGAGAATCGCTTGAACCCGGGAGGCAGAGGTTGCAGTGAGCCGAGACTGCACCACTGCACTCCAGCCTGGGCAACAGAGCAAGACTCTGTCTCAAAAATAAATAAATAAATAATGTCTTTTATGTTTACCCTCGTATTTACCATTTTCCATTCTCTTCATCCCTTTGTATAGATCCTGATATCCATCTGGTACAATTTTCCTTCTATCTGAAGAACTTCCTTTAAAAATTTTGGTAATACTGGCATTCTGCTTATGAATCCTTTTAGCTTTTGTATATCTTTAAAAATCTCAGCTGAGTATGATGGTTCACATCTGTAATCCCAGCACTTCGGGAGGCCAAGTTTGGAGGATCACTTGAGCCCAGGAGTTCAAGACAAGTCTGATCAATATAATGAGAACTTGTTTCTATAAATTGTTTTAAAAAAGCAGCTGGGTGTGGTGGCACATGCCTGTAGTAACAGTACTTGGAAGGCTGAGGTGGGAGGATCAACTGAGCCTGGGAGGCGGAGGTTGCAGTGAGTCAAGATTGCACCACTGCACTCCAGCCTGGGCTACGGAGCAAGAAAGATCCTGTCTCAATAAATAAATAAGTAAATAAATAAATAAATAAATAAATAAATAATAAAGCAAAAGCAAAAAATATTTCCCATAGCTCACTGGTGCTCTGTCCAATTTTTTTGGTCTTTTCCTCTGTGTGTTTCATTCTGGATACTACGCCTTCAAATTCACCTCCAAATATTTTCTTCTTCAGGGCATAATTTGCAGTAATCCCATCTAGTGTATTTTTTATCTTAAATATGGTATTTTTCCATTTCCACAAGTTTGATTTGAGTCTTTTTAATATTTTCCATGTTTCTAATTAATATTCTCATACTTTCTTCTACCATTTTGAACCTACAGAGTATATGATAGCTGTTTCAATGTCCTCGTTTAATATGATATTTCTCTCATTTGTTCAATTTATGGATTTATATTGCTTTATTTTTCTCTTCAGTATTGGTTATATTTTTCTTCTTCTTTTAATAGTTGATTGGATGTCAGACATTATAAATTTTACCTTATTGGGTGCTGGATTTTTTTTTTTTTTTTGTATTTCGATATCCCTTTAAATATTTTTTAGCTTTGTTTTTGTTTTGGTACACACCCTTCTTCAAATCTTCGGCTTTCTCTCTCTTCCTCCACCTGTCTCCCCAGGGCTCATCTCTATAAGTTCCAGATGCCTTTGTTTTTTCAAATTCTTAGTTCTGGCTCCTTAACTCAGGGAGACCTCAGGGCTTCGAGACTCTACCCTGGTTCTCTGCTCTGTGCTGCTACCTGGAAACTCTCCCCAGGCAGTAAGAGAAGACAACTGTGAGGCTCATCTCTTTTGTTTCCTTTCAGGGATCACTGTCCCACGCTACCTGTTGTCCAATGTCTGAAACTGTTGTTTCAGATTTTTTTTCAGTTTAAGTTTTTTTTTTTTTTTTTTTTTTTTTTGAGATGGAGTCTCTCTCACCCTGTTGCCCAGGCTGGAGTGCAGTGGCGCAATCTCGGCTCACTGCAAGCTCCGCCTCCCGGGTTCACGCCTTTCTCCTGCCTCAGCCTCCCGAGTAGCTGGGACTACAAGGCACCCACCCCCATGCCCGGCTAATGTTTTTGTATTTTTATTAGAGACGGGGTTTCACAGTGTTTGCCAGGATGGTCTCGATCTCCTGACCTCGTGATCCGCCCGCCTCGGTCTCCCAAAGTGCTGGGATTACAGGCGTGAGCCACGGTGCCCGGCCCAGTATAATTTATTGAATAATCTTTGTCTCCCTTCCTGAATTAAAATGCAGCCATATAGCAAATTACCATATATTCTTGGGTCTATTTAACAGAATGCTGTATTAATTTTTTTTTTTTTTTTTTTTTTTTGAGACGGAGTCTTGCTCTGTCTCCCAGGCTGGAGTGCAGTGGGGCGATCTCGGCTCACTGCAAACTCCGCCTCCCAGGTTCACGCCTTTCTCCTGCCTCAGCCTCCCCAGTAGCTGGGACTACAGGCGCCCGCCACCAGCCTGGCTAATTTTTTGTATTTTTAGTAGAGACAGGGTTTCACCGTGTTAGCCAGGATGGTCTTGATCTCCTGATCTCGTGATCTGCCTGCCTCGGCCTCCCAAAATGCTGGGATTACAGGTGTGATCCACCGCACCCGACCCAGTTTAAAAAATTTAAAGGCAACATGGCAAATTTTTCTTTTCTTTTTTTTTTTCTTTTGAGACGGACTCTTGCTCTTTTGCCCAGGCTGGAGTGCAGTGGCACGATCTCGGCTCCCTGCAACCTCCACTCACGGGTTCAAGTGATTCTTCCACCTCAGCCTCCCTAGTAGCTGGGATTATAGGCGCCTGCCACCATGCCTGGCTAATTTTTGTATTTTTAGTAGAGACGGGGTTTTGCCATGTTGGCCAGGCTGGTCTCAAACTCCTGACCTCAGGTGATCGGCCCACCTCAGCCTCCTAAAGTG
Source organism: Homo sapiens (assembly GCF_000001405.40). Lineage (NCBI taxonomy): Eukaryota > Metazoa > Chordata > Mammalia > Primates > Hominidae > Homo > Homo sapiens. The sequence goes on from NC_000014.9 coordinate 34,664,760, forward strand.
TTAGGATTACAGGCGTGAGCCACTGCGCCCAGCCAAGATGGCAAATCTCATTCCCCTTGCTCCGTTATGGCAGAAAGCAGAAGTCCCAGGAGCCATATTCCAGTTACAGATATGTTACTTTTACCCCTGAGCAAGTTAGTTAATCTCTCAGACCTTACTACCTCAAATGATTTTAAATGATATTTATACATGTGTAATACATATGTCAGCTTCATAGAGGTTCCCAAGTCCTTTGGAACTCAAATAACATTTGGTTCAAATACCCGTCCCATTTTCTCAGAGGATACTCTGGGGTTTAGTTTCCTTTTGGCGTTCTCTGGTTCTGAAATCTTGCTTCCAGCAATGCTAAAGCTCCGGTGCTCTGTGTCACCTTGTCCTCTCACTGGCACTGGAGACTGCCTCAATCTCTTCTCTGTGAAGCACCACTATCCAGAGTGTATTATTGTTGAAGGAAGAGAGCCACAGAAGGGGATGACATTCTGGGGCAGACTGACCTAATCTGGATTTTAACATTTCTTAACTTAAAAATTCCTGGTCCATTCCCATTTATGGAGAAATCATTCTGTGTCTCTTCCATTCAGGCTGTAGCCTCTAGGCATTGTGCTGGGTCCCTCTTAGGGTCACTACAGGTCCTTATAGTGCCTTTGTGCACATTTAGAAAAAGGTACCCTAGGCCGGGCACTGAGGCTTATGCCTGTAATTCCAGCACTTTAGGAGGCTGAGGTGAAAGGATCAGCTGAGGTCAGGAGTTCGAGACCAGCCTGGGCAACATGGCGAAACCCTGTCTCTACTAAAAATGCAACTATTAGCCTGGCGTGGTGGTGGGTGCCTGTAATCCCAGCTACTTGAGGTAGGAGAATTACTTGAACCCGGGAGGTAGAGGTTGCAGTGGCTGGGTAACAGAGCAAGGCTCTGTCTCAAAAGAAAAAAGAAATGGGCACTACATTCAGGAGGCCTCACAACAGATGGCCAGATTGCAGCCCCAGTGCCTCCTCACCTGGCTGACTTACTTGTCTCAATCCCTCAGATTCTAATTTATTTCTTATAGAGTAGTTTACTCTTTCTTTACTTGCCCCAAGCCATCAAACTTATTCCCAAAGGGTCTCATTTTTATAATTAATTTTTAAAATGTGCTCCTAAACCATAATAGTTCTAACTAGCACTGGGATCAGTTTTGATTTTTTCTTCCCCTGCTAAATGTACACCATGATGATGGCAGTAGTGAGGAAGACAATGACAACAATCCTTAAGCCAATATGTTTAAGTTATTACATGAAGAAAGACAATGCCCTTTTCCAGGAAAATAAATGGTCTTTTCTTTGACATGTAAGAGATTTCTTGTTATACCCCTATTCACTACAGAATAGAAACTAGAGTTTCTAAAGTACTTTAAGCTCTCAAAAATAAAAATGCTTAACTCTGCAGATGCATTTGATAAATGTATCTGTATGGCAGCAAGCCAGCAAGTTCCTGAACGACAACAGGATGTAAGCTCAGCTTTATGAAGCATATTTATTGTCAGAGTCATCACATTCTCTAACAGACCATGGGGAAGTAAGAGACATGGGCCGCAATTTTGACATCATATGTTTCTGCAATTTAAAAATGCACCAACAGCATTTGGGAGAAACAAAAAAGGCAGGATGTTAAATGTTCACACCAACTATAAGTTACATACTCATTTCAGAATTTTAAAGTGAGAACAATAAAAACATATCATGGAAGCAGAGAGCGTATCTACTTTTTGTTTAGGTCCTCTACAGCACATTTCTCTATATCTTGAAGAAAAAGTCATTTTGCTAATATTGTTGCTAAATAAATGCACAGTAGTCTTTAAAATAGACTTTGAAAAGGCACCATTCCTATTAGGTTGGTATAAAGATGAAATGAAATAATACATGTAAAATGCTTAGTGTAATGCTTGAAGCATAATACTGTTGACTACTCCACAGAAATTCAGAAGGAATCACAAAGAGAAGACTAGGGGATTATTTATTCCTGGTATTACTCAATCCAATTCAACAAATATTTAATGATCATCAACTTTATTTTTATTTTTATTTTTTTGAGATGGAGTCTCACTCTGTTGCCCAGGCTGGAGTGCAGTGGTGTGATTTCAGCTTACTGCAACCTCTGCCTCCTGGGTTCAAGCAATTATCGTGCCTCAGCCTCCCAAGTAGATGGGATTACAGGTTTGCGCCGTCGTGCCCGGCTAACTTTTGTATATTTAGTAGAGACGGGGTTTCACCATGCTGGCCAGGCTCGTCTCGAACTCCTGACTCCAGGTGATCCACCTGCCTTGGCCTCCCAAAGAGCTGGGATTACAGGCGTGAGCAACCACGTCCAGTTGATCGTCAACTTTATGCTAAGAATTGGGCTGGAAGCAGGTATAGGAGGAAATAGAAAAGAATGCTGTGGCCAGGCAAAGTGGCTCACATCTGTAATCCTAACATTTTAGGAGGCTGAGACCAGAGGATTGCTTCAGCACACAAGTTTGAGACCAGCCTGGGCAACCGAATGAGAACCTTCTCTATAAAAAATTAAAACAAAAATAAATTAGCCTGGTGTGGTAGCATGCACCTGTTGTCCCAGCTACCCAGGACACTGAGGCAGGAGGATTGTTTGAGCCCGGGAGTTTGAGTCTATGATTGCACTACTGCACTCCAGCCTGGGTGGCAGACTGAGATCCCATCTCTCTAAAAAAAAAAAGCCGGGCACGGTGGCTCACGCCTTGTAATCTCAGCACTTTGGGAAGCCGAGGCGGGCAGATCATGAGGTCACGAGATCGAGACCATCCTGGCTAACACGGTGAAACCCTGTCTCTACCAAAAATACAAAAAATTAGCCGGGCATGGCAGCATGTGCCGGTACTCCCAGCTACTTGGGAGGCTGAGGCAGGAGAATGGCGTGAACCCAGGAGGCGGAGCTTGCAGTGAGCCGAGATGGCGCCACCGCACTCCAGCATGGGTGACAGCGCAAGACTCCGTCTCAAAAAAAAAAAAACAAAAACGGTATGTTTATCTTGTTTTAGGAGGAGAGAGCAGAGGACAAATATTGGATATATTTAATTTTATTAACTAAATGTTAAGTTTAAATATTGACAATGTCACACTTGAATTACTGAATATGTTTAATTTTATGAAGTATGTTATGTTGCTCTAAATATGCATATTTAGTTTAATGTGTATTGTTTTATGTAGATGACTTAGAGATAATTTTGTATTTGTCAGTAATCCTAACCACAGAATGTTATAGTTTTCAGTGGCACTAACACTTTCTTCTCTAAGAACATTAAAATAAATGAGCCAACTGGAATAGTGCCATCACCTCTAATTATTGGGTCTTAGGAGTAAATAGATCAATTAAGAACTATGCCTTACTTCTAAAATAGCAATCTTAGAGATGTGCTAGGACGTGACAGGTCCTTGTTCCTGATGACAAGGGTGAATGGCCTTGTAGGTCTCTTTAAGGAGATTGCATGTTAGCCTAGGTTTTGTAATAGCCAGTCTCCAAGATGGCCCTCAGTGATCCTTGCCTGTTGGTATTCGTGCCCTTGTGTAATTTCCTCCCACACTGAATTAGGGTTGGCCCTCTGTGACCAATAGAATACAGCAGAAGTGATGGTGGGCCTTCCAAGGCTGTCATAAAATCCACTGATGCTTCTGCTTTGGTCTCTGGGACCATTCTGGGAAAAGCCAGCTACAATCCTATGGGGACCCTGAGTAACCCTTGTAGGAAGGCCCATATGGAGAAGAAGGAAGGTGCACAACCAACAGCCAGCACCACTTTGCCAGTCCTGTGAATTAGTCAGCTTGGAAGTGAATCCTTCAGCCCCACTCAAGCCTTGAGATGACTGCAGCCCTGGCCAAATCCGATTGCATCCTTCTCAGAGCAAGAACTTCCAGGCCAAACTCTTCCAAATTTCCTGACCCACAGAAACCATGAGAAATAAAATGATTATTGTTTTTCTAACTCACTAAGTTTTAGAATAACATGTTATTGATACAGAAGGTATGGAAGTGATGTGACTCATTCAAGGAATTTTTGTTTTGTTTTGTTTTGTTTTTTATTTATTATTATTATTTTTTTGACAGGGTCTCACTCCTGTCGCCCAGGCTGGAGTGCAATGGTGCAATTATGGCTCACTGCAACTTCGACTTCCTGGGCTCAGGTGATTCTGCCACTTCTGCCTCTCAAGTAGCTGGGAACACAGGTGCACACAACCACCCTTGGCTAATTTTTAAATTTTTTGTTGAGATGGAGTCTTGCTATGTTGCCAGGGCTGGTCTCGACCTCCTGGGCTCCAGTGATCCTCCTGCCATGGCCTCCCAAAGTGCTGGGATTACAGACATGAGACATTGCAGCCAGCCATAGACCTGCATTTAGAAACAACTCTGCCTGAGGCCAGGCATGATGGCTCACGCCTGTAATCCCAGCACTTTGGGAGGATGAGGCGAGAGGATCACTTGAGGTCGGGAGTTCAAGACCAGCCTGGCCAGCATGGTGAAACCCTGTTTCTACTGAAAACACAAAGATTAGCTGGGCGTGGTGGTTCATACCTGTAGTCCCAGCTACTCAGGAGACCGAGGCAGGAGAATTGCTTGAACCCAGGAGGCAGAGGTTGCAGTGAGCCAAGATCGAATCACTGCACGCAGCCTGAGTGACAGAGCAAGAATCCCATCTCAAAAAAAAAAAAGTATATATATATAAAATATGTATATTATATATATACACACACATATATATACTTATGTATATTTTTATGTATATATACTTTTATATATATTTTTAAGACATCAGCAACATTGACTGGTTTTACTTATTTATTATTATATATTTTTTCATACAGAAACAAGATCTTGCTATGTTGCCCAGGCTGATCTTGATCCTGGCCTAAAGTTATCCTCCTGCCTTGGCCTCTCAGAGTGCTAGGGATTATAGGTGTGAGCCACTGTCCCAGCTCATAATCTGATTCTAAAGAGACAATTGATATCTTAAACTGAAATTTATTTTTAACTTTTTTTAAAATTTATTTTATTTTATTTTTAAATTTATTTTATTTTATTTTATTTATAAGAGACAGGGTCTCTTAACAACAACAACAACAGCTACTGTAACAATCTCCTAAAGTGTTTGTTTATGTGTTGAAATGTTTTCCTTTTTAACTTCACAGAAATCTTTTGGAAACTATTCTCTCTTACTTTGAAGAAATATTTATCTGAAGTTTAGCAATTCCTTCCATTTTACACCATTTTACTTTCATTCTACCCTTAGAACCAATGTATGTCTCGAGTTTGTGATTACAGCTTTGACTAAGCATGGCTCTCTCCTTCTTTGCTTGGGCAGTGCTTTAATGGATTGCCCAGCCATCTGTATGGACCCAGGAAACTATTATACTTCCATTGGAAAGTCCCCATATGTGATCTGTGTTAAAGAGCTATAGAGCACAGGTCACAGGAAGATTCACTCCCACCCAGGATAGGATGTGTGGCATGAGTTGACACTTGGGAAAGCTCCCTCTCAGACTGTTTTCCCTCTGTTTTTCCGCAGAATCTGAGATTCCATCATCAGATGAGTTCTCATTAGCTGGCTCCAGCAGTTGCTTACTAAATTGTATATAACTTTGTGCATCTTCCATTTGCCTTCCAGATTTACTTTCCACCCTTCCTCACCTTGCTCTGTAGGGCCACTGTCCTGTGTGGATCACTTCAATAGCGTTGGGTTTCAGTAGAGTTCAACCAATGAAGATCCCAGCAGAGATCAAGAAGAGAGGGCAGTGAGGGGTGTTATTATTGCCCAGCTTCTTTCCTAAGAGGTTGTCTTGGGCTGGCTAGGGTCCCTTGACTGAAGGGTCCCTTCTCTCAAGGAAGGCATCTCTCAATGGCTCTCTGAAGAATTTGCATCCTCCCATCATCCTTCCAGGCCTAAAGGTGGTATTATAAAAGCCCTGATACTGCTGTGCCTTGTGGCTCTCCTACACACTGCATGCACGTGTAAATAGTACCTTTATTAAACCCACTTTGAGTTATACTAATTTGGGTGTGCCATCTGTTTCCTCCTGGGACTTTGATAGAGACACCTTCATAGAAGCAAATTATTAAGCTATTATTGGCCATAAACATCCAATTATAAATTAGTTTGTAAAACTGGTTTTCAAGGAATAACTACCTGAGGTTGGACTCAGAGGGAATGAGACATAGGACAAATAAATCTTCACAGAGTTAAAGAGAAACAATACAATGCAACAAAGAGAGGAAGGGGGCTTGAAACTGGGAGATTTCAGTTTGAATTCCAGATCAGCAGTTTACCCCAGGGCCTCATTTTTCTCATCTCTAAAAGGAAGGTTTTAATTTTTAAATTTTATGATTTTGTTGAGACAGAGTCTTGCTCTGTTGCCCAGGCTGGAGTGCAGTGGCGCAATCTCAGTTCACTACAACCTCCGCTTCCTGGGTTCAAGTGATTCTCCTGCCCCAGCCTCCCAAGTAGCTGGGACAACAGGCGCGTGCCACCACGCTTGGCTAATTTTTGTATAAAATGAAGGTTTTTAAATAGAATAATGGCTTTCAATCTGTGTTCCACAAAACCCCAAGAGGTACCTCAATGTCCAACAACCTGGGAAGTGAGAGATGTAGAGAAAGGACAGGAAGAAAAAGACAGATCCCAACTCTACTTCAACCAGGACAGCTTTGCTCTGTCTGCTTATAGAGATTTCTGAGGTGATGTATACAAGACTGGATATTCCAGCTGCCAATCTTCTAGGGAAAAGTGAGCTGTGGGACATTTGTGTGTGTGTGTGTGTGTGTGTGTGTGTGTGTGTGTGTGTGTGTGTTTATTTTTTTAGAGATGGAGGTCTCACTGTATTGCCCAGGCTGATCCAACTCCTAGCTTCAAGCAATCCTCCTGCCTTGGCCTCCCAAGTAGCTGAGATTACAGGGGCAAGCCACTGTGCCTGGCTAATGTGCGCATGTATTAGTCCGTTTTCACGCTGCTGTAAAGATACTACTCAAGACTGGGTAATTTATAAAGGAAAGAGGTTTAATTTACTCACAGTTCTGCATGGCTGGGGAGGCCTCAAGAAACTTACAAGCATGACAGAAGGGGAAGTAAGGTACCTTCTTCATAATGTGGCAGGAGAGAGAAGGAAGAGGAACTTCCAAACACTCGGAAAATCATCAGATCTCTTGAGAACTCACTATCACAAGAACAGCATGGGGGAAACCGCCCCTTTGATCCAATCACCTCCCTCCCTCAACACATGGAGATTACACATGGAGATGAGATTTGGGTGGGGACACAGAGCCAAACTGGCTAATTTTTAAATTTTTAGTAGAGACGAGGTATCACTATGTTGCCCAGGCTGGTCTTGGACTCCTGGGCTCAAGCGATCCTCCTACCTCTGCCTTCCAAAGCACTGAGATTACAGGTGTGAGCCACCATGCCTGGGCTGGGCTACTTTAATTTATTCTTCTAAAATGCTAATTACTTTAGATTTTGGGAACCAACAGACATATTGATCACATTTCAAATGGTATCTGGCCAGGCACAGTGGCTCACACCTATATTCCCAGGATTTTGGGAGGGTGAGGTGGGAGGATAGCTTTAGCCCAGGAGATGGAGGCTGTAGTGAGCTATGATTGCGCCACTGCACACCATCCTGGGCAACAGAGCAAGTCTCTGTCTCTAAAAAGTAAATAAAATAAAATAAGATAAAATGTATCTTAGACACACTTTAAAAATTCTATACATGCTGCAGATGTATCAGACACACTTTTTTTTTCTTTTTCTTCTTCCACAGGCTGGTGGGGTGGAATAAAACACACTTCTGACTAAGGAATCAAGTTGTTACTAAAGAATAGTCATTTTTCTCTCCTTGAGATAAGCCTTCAGAAGGTAACTTGATAAAGAAATCACAGGAGAGTAAGGGTTATTACTTATGATGTTATTTCAAAAATAAATGAGTTGAAACCATCGACTGCCTGGTTTTCAGAAGGTAACCAGCAGAGGGCACTCTAGGCTTTATAGACTGCAGAAAATGCAAGCGGATCCCTCCAGAAGTTGGGGGTCAGTGCCTTAATCTTTATCTCCAGAAAGATACTTTCAGCTTGTTATTATTATTATTATTATTATTATTATTATTATTATTATTAGACGGAGTCTCGCTCTGTCGCCCAGGCTGGAGTGCAGTGGCGCTATCTCGGCTCACTTCACTGCCACCTCCGCCTCCCAGGTTCAAGCGATTCTCCTGCCTCAGCCTCCCGAGTAGCTGGCATTACAGATGCCCCCCCACGCCCAGCTAATTTTTGTATTCTTAGTAGAGACAAGGTTTCTCCATGTTGGCCAGGCTGGTTTCTGACTCCTGACCTCAAGTGATCCACCTGCCTTGGCCTCCCAAAGTGCTGGGATTAACAGGCGTGAGCCACCCTGCCAGGCCGATGCTTTCAGCTTATTAAGAGCTCACCTGTTGGATGACTGCAGAACATTTTCTTGGTAATGTAAACCAAAGCTTCTGTATTCCCAAATAGCCACATTAATCAACATTTACAAATAATTGTAAAATAATTTCAAGAGAATGAGAAGATGAGCCACAGACTGGGAAAAACTATTTACAAAAGACTTATCTAATAAATGACTGTTATTCAAAATATATAAAGACCTCTTAAAACACAAGAATAAGAAAAATAACCCGATTAAATAATGGGCAAAAGATCAGAACAAACTCACCAAAGAAAATACACAGATGGCAAATAAGCATATGAAAAGATTTTCATATGTCACTAGGGATATGCAAATTAAAACAACAATGAGATAGGACCACATACCTATTAGAATGGCAAAAATCACAACAATGAGGACACCAAATGCTGGTGAGGATGTGGAACAACAGGAACTCTCATTCATTGCTGTTGGGAATGACAAATGATACAGCCCCTTTGGAAAATAGTTTGGCTGTTTCTTACAAAACTAAACGGCTTACCATAAGATACAGCAATTGTGTTCCTAGGTATTTACCAAATAAGTTGAAAACTTATGTCCCCATGAAAATGTGCACATCAATGTTTATAGCAGCTTTGTCCATAATGGTCAAAACATGGAAGCAATATGAAAATGTCCTCAGTAGGTGAATGGATAAACTGTGGTACATCCAGATAATGGAATACTATTCAGCACTGAAAATAAATGAGTTATCAAGCCATGAAAAGACATGGAGGCACCTTAAATCCATATTGCTAAGTGAAAGAAGCCAATCTGAAAAGGCTACCTATTGTATGTTTCCAATTATATGACATTCTAGAAAAGGCAGCCAGGCATAATGGTGTGTGCCTGTAGTCTCAGCTACTTGGTAGGCTGAGGCAGGAGGATCACTTAGGCCCAGGAGTTTGAGATAAGCCTGGGCAAACTGGTGAGACTGTCTCTAAAAAAAAAAAAGAAAGAAAGAAATTTTTTTTTTTTTTCAGATGGAGTTTCACTTTTGTTGCCCAGGCTGGAGTGCAATGGCACAGTCTCAGCTTACTGCAACCTCCGCCTCCTGGGTTCAAGGGATTCTCTTGCCTCAGACTCCCGAGTAGCTGGGATTACAAGTGCCCGAGACCATGCCAGGTTAATTTTTCTAATTTCGTATTCTTAGTAGAGACAGGGTTTCACCATGTTGGTCAGGCTGGTCTTAAACTCCTGACCTCAGGTGATCCACCCATCTCAGCCTCCCAAAGTGCTGGGATTACAGGCGTGAGCCACTGAGCCTGGCCGAAAATGTTTCAATATTAAAAATAAAGAAAAACTTAGAAAAAATTAAAAAGACAAAAGGAAAAACCAGAAATACAGGGGTTGGGGAAAAATGAGCATAGAGGATTTTTAGGGCAGTGAAACTACACTGTATGATACTATAATGATGAATACATGTCATTATACATTTGTTAAAACCTACAGAATGTACAAAACTAAGAGTTAATCTGTTTGTTTGGGTTTTTTTTTTTTTGAGACAGAGTCTTGCTCTGTCACCCAGGCTGGAGTGCAATGGTGCAATCTTGGCTCACTGCAACCTCCACCTCCCGGGTTCAAGTGATTCTCCTAGGGATACACAAATTAAAACAACAATGAGATAGGACCACATACCTATTACCTCTTAGCCTCCCAAGTAGCTGGGATTAAAGGCACCTGCCACCACACTGGGCTAATTTTTGTATTTTTTTTTTAAGTAGAGACGGGGTTTCACCATGTTGGCCAGGCTGGTCTCAAACTCCTGACCTCAGGTGATCTGCCGCCATCAGCCTCCAAAAGTGCTGGAATTACAGGCATGAGCCACTGCATCTGGCCTAAATCCTAATGTAAACTATGAATTTTGGGTGATAATGATGTGTAAATATAGGTTCATCAATTGTAACAAAGGTACTACTTTGGTTCAGATGTTGATAGTGGATAAGGCTCTGCATGTATGTCTAGGAAAGGAGTATATGGGTTATCTCTGTACTTTTTTTGTGTGTGTGACAGGGTCTCGCTTTGTTGTCCAGGCTGTAGTGCAATGGCACGATCTCGGCTCACTGCAACCTCTGCTTCCTGGGTTCAAGTGATTCTCCTGCCTCAGCCTCCTGAGTAGCTGGGATTACAGGCGTGAACCACCACAGCTGGCTAATTTTTGTATTTTAGTAGAGATGTGGTTTCACTGTGTTGGCCAGACTGGTCTCAAACTCCTGAGCTCAAGTGATCTACCCGCCTAGGCATGAGACACGGTGCCTGGCCATCTCTGTACTTTCAACTTAATATTGCTGTGAACCTAGAACTGCTCTAGACAATAGTCTATTAATGGTAGCTCACACCTGTAATCCCAGCACTTTGGGAGGACAAGGCAGGCAGATTTGCTTTGAGCTCAGGAGTTAGAGACCAGCCTGGGTAACATGGCAAATCCCTGTCTCTACCAAAAAAATATACAAATATTAGCCAAGCATGGTGTCTTGTGCCTGTAGTCCCAGCTACTCAGGAAGGTGAGGCTGGAAGATCACTTGAGCCTGGGAGGCAGAGGTTGCAGCAAGCCAAGATCACGCCACTGCATGCCAGCCTCGGTGACAGAGTGAAACTCTGCCTCAGAAAAAAAGAAAAAGAAAAAGAAAAGAAAATAGTCTATTAAAAGCAATAATCCATGCTCACTTCAACAGCATGTGTATTAAAAATTGCAACAATACAGAGATTAGCACTGACCCTGCCCAGGCAGACACACACATTTGTGAAATGTTCCATATTTAAAATAATAATGAGAATCCAATGTTCTTGTATCAGTGTTCCCCATTATTAAATTTGTTCTTTTAATGAGTCACCTAGTGATACAGGTTTCCAGGAGATAATATACCCATGATTATCAGGATTTCTTTCTTTTTTTTGAGATGGAGTTTCCCTGTGTTGCCCAGGCTGGAGTACAGTGGTGTGATCTCGGCTCACTGCAGCCTCTGCCTCCCAAATTCAAGCGATTCTCCTGCCTCAGCCTCCTGAATAGCTGGGATTACAGGTGTGCGCCACCACACCTGGCTAATTTTTGTATTTTTAGTAGAGACAGGATTTCACCATGTTGGCTAGGCTGGTCTCAAACTCCTGACCTCACGTGGTCTGCCCACCTCGGCCTCCCAAAGTGCTGGGATTACAGGCATGAGCCACTGTGCCTGGCCAGGATTTCTTTTATTATTTATTTATTTTTATTTTTGAGACAGGGCCTTGCTCTGTTACCCAGGCTGGAGTGCAGTGGCACAATAATAGCTCTGGCTAATTTTTTTTTTTAATTTTTTTGTAGAGACGGGGACGGTGGTGGTTTCCCTATGTTACCCAGGCTGGTCTTGAACTCCTGGGCTCAAGCGATCCACCTACCTCGGCTTCCCAAAGTGTGGGATTACAGGCGTGAGCCACCACATCTGGCCTACTAGGATTTCTTAATCATCAGCACTCTTGTCTGAATCCACATTCATTGCCTGAACTCAAATGTAGTGGAGACCTATTTTCACATCAGCCTTTAATTAACCCTGCAAAACACTGACATGCTCTGAGCAGCCTGGCAGGACAGCAAACCATGCTCTTTTTCACCTTTTACAACCAGTGTACAAAATAGGATTATCATTTCCCCACAGACATCAAGAAATAACTAGAAGTTTACCAGGAATAAACTGTTAGGTGCCTCAGTTGCAGCAAAGTTCTTCTGGAGGTTGGAGGAAAGCTAATATTTGCTGAAGACCTAGTATTCAGGCATTTGGCAGGTGTTCAGCACACACAATCTCATTTCATGCCTCTGTGACCATGTCTACCTTATGGCTAGGGAAACTAAAGTTGCCCAAGGATACTCAGCTAGCTAGTGGCAGAGGTAGAAAGAAGCAAACCCAGATATTTTTGGCTCCACGTGCCTTTTCTTCAGAGGAGCTACCTCGACCTGCATTCAAACACTGCCACAATTATCCCTGCCACTTGCTGGGGTATGCTTCACAGTGGGGTCCATTTGCAGTGATTTCTGATTTTCCATATTTTAGAATTTTCCTGTTGCTTGCAATATGTCTTCTGTTCTTATGAAACTGCCCAAAACCAGGGCAATGGAGGTTTTTTTTTTTTTAAGGATCTTTTTTGTAGGGGCTGGATGGTGGGGGGTGGAGGTTGGGTGAGGGCAATGAAGGGAGATTGGTTTTTTATTCTGCGTACTTCCATAATGTTTGATTATTTTATGGTTAGAATGTATTCATGCATTACTTTTTTTTTGAAAAACAGAGAAGGCACCGGGCAAGGTGGCTCACGCCTATAATCCCAGCATTTTGGAAGGCCGAGGCGGGTGGATCACAAGGTCAGGAGTTCAAGACCAGCCTGACCAACATGGTGAAACCCCGTCTCTATTAAAAATCCAAAAATTAGCTGGGCATGGTGGCGCGCGCCTATAATCCCAGCTACTCAGGAGGCTGAAGCAGGAGAATTTCTTGAACCCGGGAGGCGGAGGTTGCAGTGAGCCGAGATCATGCCACTACACTCCAGCCTGGGCAACAGAGCGAGAGAGACTCCGTCTCAAAAAAAAAAAAAAAAAAAAAAAAAAAACAGAGAGAGAAGGAAAAAAAGCAGCTTTCTAGGCAAATACATGAAAACAATGTAGAAAGAGCCACAGTGCAGTATATATTCTATTTTTATGTTATATTTATAGTAATTTGAATATAAAGACCTCTGTTGAGAGGAAAAAAAGAGGACCAAAGTTTCATTATATGAATATTTGCTTCTCTTTGTCCCTCACACCCTACACACAGAAACACAAACAAAAGCCTCTCATTGTTTCCCCTGATGGAACAACGATGACTAAGTGGCTGCATAAATCATCCAGAGTTACCAAAACTTCATTCCCAGTCATTTGACACCATTTAGGGAGGACTGTGTTGGAAATGTGCAGCTGTTAAAGGCCCCACCACCCCCACTTAAGAATTAGGAGGCGTAAGAATAGGAAAGTAGTCAATACTACAGTCTCTAAGTGGAATATGGGTGTTTCATTTAAAGTTATTCCATCAATTTGAGGGTGAAAATATAATTCTCCCTTCCTTTGTCATAACTCAGGCACAGACTGTTTTCAAAATAAATTGAAGGCGAGAAGATTGAAAATTTTAGAGTTCGACTTGCAAATTAGAACCCGATGAATTTATTCACAGTCCAGTAGACAACTCTACAGTAAGGTTTGTACTGGTAAACTGGAGTGCTGTGGGGTTAATTTCTCAGAGATGAAGAACGGGTTAATAATCTCACCCTGATTATTCAGTATCTACTGAAAAGTGTTTACCACAGAGACGCAAGACAATAGAGACTGCATGCCACGTCCCCCTCTGCTATGACATACTCACACTGCTTTCAAACCATATTAATACCATGGATTGTGAATGCTCTACTCATTCTAGTTATTCGGGCAAAAATTCTCTTGTTAGTTGGCAAGAGCACCTCAAACCTCTTTTCAACCATCAGCAGTTAGTACTTTACTTTCCCTTGCTCACACCACCTGAATAATCAGGAATGCCTCTGTATTCATCAGTGCCTCCTTCACGGGGCAAATTGTGTATACTATACATATACACACACATATATACACACATATGCCCATATATGTATATATACATATATAGAGCTATATACTTATATGTGCATGTGTGCATGCGCGTGGGTGTGCACGTGTGTGTGCATGTGTGTGCATGTGTGTGTGTGCACATATGTGTGCGTGTGTGTGTGTGTATAGTGGCATGCACCATATAACAACATTTCAGTGAACCACAAACCACATATACAACAGTGGTCCCATAAGATTATAACACCATAGGCCGGGCGTGGTGTCTCACACCTGTAACCCCAGTACTTTGGGAGGCTGAGGTGGGCGGATCACCTGAGGTCAGAAATTCGAGACCAGCCTGGCCAACATGGTGAAACCCCGTCTCTATTAAAAATACAAAAATTAGCTTGGTGTGGTGTCACACGACTATAATCCTAGCTACTCGGGAGGCTGAGGCAGGAGAATTGCTTGAACCTGGGAGGTGGAGGTTGCAGTGAGTCAAATGCACACCGCTGCACTCTAGCCTGGGCAACAGAATGAGACTCCGTCTCAAAAATAAACAAATAAATAAATAAATAAAAAGATTATAACACCATATTTTTACTGCACTTTTTCTGTTTTTAGATGTGTTTAGATACACAAGTACCATTGTGTTACCACTGCCTACAGTATTCAGTACAGTAACATGGTGTACAGGTATGTAGCCTAGGAGCAATAAGCTGCACCATATAGCCTAGGTGTGTAGTAGCCATATCATCTAGGTTCGTGGTAAGTACATTTGATGATGCTCACACAATGATGAAATTGCCTAACGATGCTTTTCTCAGAATGTATTCTTCATGGTTAAGTAATACATGGCTGTGGGGATATTTGTATGTGTGTGTATATATATATATATATATATATATATATATATATATATATATAGACACACACACACACACACACACACACACATATATATTCATGTGTCTTAAGAAACTGAGAGTTGGCCGGGCGTGGTGGCTCACTCCTGTAATGCCAGCATTTTGGGAGGCCGAGGCGGGCGGATCACAAGGTCAGGAGATCGAGACCATCCTGGCTAATACGGTGAAATCCTGTTTCTAAAAATACAAAAAATTAGCTGGGCGTGGTGGTGCGCGCTTGTAGTCCCAGCTACTTGGGAGGCTGAGGCAGGAGAATGGCGTGAACCTGCGAGGTGGGGCTTGCAGTGATCTGAGATTGCGCCACTGCACTTCAGCCTGGGCGATAGAGCAAGACTCTGTCTCAAAAAAAAAAAAAAAAGAAAAGAAACTGAGAGTTACATAAATTTTCTCTTTTTTGAGACAGAGTCTTGCTCTGTTGCCCAGGCTGGAGTGCAGTGGCAGGATCTGAGCTCACTGCAACCTCCGCCTCCGGGTTCAAGTGATTCTCCTGCGTCAGCCTCCCAAGTAGCTGGTAGTACAGACACCTGCCACCACGCCCGGCTAATTTTTGTGTTTTTAGTAGAGACAGGGTTTCACCATGTTGGCCAGGCTGGTCTCGAACTCCTAACCTCAGATGATCCACCCGCCTTGGCCCCCCAAAGTGTTGGGATTACAGGCGTGAGCCACCGTGCCCAGCCAGATTTTCCTTTTGCCTGCCTTTCTGTTTTTTTCTCTGATCTTTTAAAAATCAAATTATTCACTGACAACCTTATTCTTTTTAAACATTTAAATCTAATTATATGTTTAAGATCTACTTAACAAGGTGAGTGGATCTGCTATAATTATTGTAACTACGTTATGTTCACCTATTTGATATTTTTACTTCATTTTCTTGGCTCTTAAGACTTTTTTTTAAAACTGTGCTTTTTAAGGAGTTTCTTAATTTATTGATTTAGTTTGCCTCTTTTTTTTTCCGAACAATCCAGAAATTTATTATTTTATATAACAAGAAGTAGTACAGCAGTGGGGCAGTTTTGCAGTTGGTTAACTCAGTGGTTCAATGTTGTCAAGGACACAGATTCTTTCCATTTGCTCCCTGGTCATCCCAACCAAATTGGCTTTTGTCCTCCAGTTTGTCCCTTCATGTGCTCCTCGGCAACTTCTCTTCCTGATGATTATGCTTGGGTTTTCTCCCTCTCCACAGTTCCCAGTGCCTACTCCTGTTTGCTTACCTAGAGGAGTCTTGCCTCAGGAGATCTGAGGTCTGGGGCTTTGAGCTTCTGGCCTGGCCTCCACCCTGCCTCTCTGGAAGGTTATCTGATCTGACTCCAGCTGGCATAGCTCTGCGCCCCAATGCCCCTCTCCTGGGCTGGACTTGGAATTAATTCACATTCTTTTTTTTTTTTTTTTTTTGAGTCAGAGTTTCGCTCTTGTTGCCCAGGCTGGAGTGCAATGGCACAGTCTTGGCTCACTGGCTCATTGAAACCTCCGTCTCCTGGGTTCAAGCAGTTCTCCAAGGGAGCCTCCCAAGTAGCTGAGATTACAGGCATATGCCACAGGGTTTCATGTCGGCCAGGCTGGTCTTGAACTCCTGACCTCACGTGATCCACCTGCCTCAGCCTCCCAAAGTGTTGGGATTACAGGCGTGAGCCACAGCACCTGACCTCATTCACATCTTGAATTAAAAACCATAAGCAGTTCAGGGATGAAATTCATTGTCTATTTCTCATTATCTGTGCACCCCATTCCTTCCTCGCTTCTGAGGACACCCCACTCCCCTGGTTTCTCTGGGTCTTCAGCATACCCTGCTGCCTCTCTTCTGGCCTGGAAGTCTCCCAACATTCAGACGGGTTCTTCTCGCAAAATATTCTCTCCTCTGGGAAAAGTTACCCATTTGCGGCTTCTCCTCTCACTCTTTGTAGATCCTTCTTTACCTTACCTAGGGAGAGATTCAGGTCTCATCTCCAACCACAGCTTGTAACCTGAATATTCGGTCACTACTGTGAGTTGAATGTGCCCTTAGCTGAATGCCCCCACCTTTACTGCCCAGATCTGTCATTGTGCACATGCTGTTAACATGACAATTCTATTCAAATATTGTTTAAAGCTAAGAACTGAGAAATGGTGGGATTATATTCAATACAAGTCACTTTTTTTTCTTTAAGTACATGGATCAAAAGTGAAGACGTAAAATTACTGGGGCTTGCATTTAGTTATGAGACCCATTGAGGTGGATAAAATTAATGGGAAAACAACAGCTCTAGCTCCAAAAAGGAAAGGGCTGAATTTCAGAAATCGACTGGGTAAGACATGACAATTAAGTGAAATGTGTGATTTTTTTTCCCTTCTTTCTTCTGGATCCTGTATTTTAAAAACCTACAAAGGGTATTATTGGAATAACTGGGAAATTCTGAATAGGGACTGTATTTTCAATGCTACTATTGTATTAATGTAAAATTTCCCGAGTGAGATACTTATTTTTTTTATTTTTATTTATTTATTTATTTGAGATGGAGTTTCACTCTTGTTGCCCAGGCCGGAGTGCAATGGCATGATCTCGGCTCACCACAACCTCCGCCTCCTGGGTTCAAGTGATTCTCCTGCCTCTGCCTCCCGAGTAGCTGGGATTACAGGCATGCACCACCACATCCGGCTGCTTTTTTTGTATTTTTAGTAGAGATGGGGTTTCTCCATGTTGGTCAGGCTGGCCTCAAACTCCTGACCTCAGGTGATCCACCCGCCTCGGCCTCCCAAAGTGCTGGGATTACAGGCGTGAGCCACCGCGCCCGGCCGAGATACTTATTTTATAGTTACATAGGATGAATATTTTTATTCTTAGGAGATACACACCGAAGTATTTTTGGATGAAGTGTCACAGTGTCTATAGTTAACTCTTAAATGGTTCAGCAAATGATTTTTAAAAAATAGAATGCAAATGCAGTAAAATTTAATTGATAAATCTGCGTGAACATCTGGTGACATATGGTGTTCATTGTACTACTTGCAACTTTTCTATCTTTGAAATTTTTCAAAATAAAAAGATGTGAAAAAGCCGTGACAGGTGGACAGTCACCACTCTGACATAAGGACCGTGTGTGTGTATGTAGGAGGTATCATAGTTTAAGTTTATATTTAGAAACTTTAGCAGTATAATCATTCAAGAAAGAAGATCACATCATTTTCTATTTAAAACCTCCATTAACAGTCTAGTGGGTGAAAGGGCTGGTGAGTGATGTTGCTTCCTGAAGGCAGAGGCTGACTCTATCCCCTCTCTGAAGCCTCCACCACTTCCACAGAACCCTGTTTGCAGGGTACAGGCCCCACAGAGGAAGTTGGCCGTGACTCTCACTGCCGTAACTGCTCAGGTACAGACACAGTTCAGTTGCTTCTGTCTCTTGAGTTGGGTCATCCTAGGAGGTGGGGAGTAACATGTCAGTCCTGCCAGTTGTCAGGCTCTAGTCTAGACTTTCACATATGTTATCACATTCCAACTGCACAGCCTCCTGGTGAGGGAGGAATTATCATCCCCATCTACAAATGAGAAAACAAAGTCCAGGAGTGGTTTTCAGCCAAAGCCACAAAGCTGGTAAGTGGTGGAGCTTGGATTCCAGTGGAGTCTTTCCACCAGAGAAAACCTAATAAATACAGCAACAAAGCTGGTCTGTCTCACTCCACACATCCTAACTGGAACACAACATGTCAATCCCAGATAATTTACAAAGTTATCAACTGGGTTTCAGAACAAATTTGCCCATTTGCTATGGAGAAGCTGATGTCCTCTAAGCCTGTGTTCATCAACTAGAGGGATGTCCAGATCCCACTGCTGCCCACTGTATTTTTGACACAAGTCAAATCAGTTTGGCTGTATTGTTTGCTGCTCACTATCACCGTATTAAAGATTTGTGAGGGGCACTGCTACTGCTGCTGCACTTCAGGGTATGAATCCATTCAATGTTTGCTTTCTCACCTCTATCTAGGCTGGCAATGTTAGGTGTTTGTTGTGGTTGTTGTTTGGGTTTATTTTTAGAAAGTGATACAGGAATTAATTTCCTAAATTTCAATTACCTTGCTTCCTACAGTTGGTCCTCCAGGTCCAGTAATTTCAACAATCTGGGTATTTTTTCTTTTTTCTTTTTTGAGACGGAGTCTCGCTCTGTTGCCCAGGCTGGAGTGCAGTGGCACTATCTCAGCTCACTGCAAGCTCTGCCTCCTGGGTTCACACCATTCTCCTGCCTCAGCCTCCCGAGTAGCTAGGACTACAGGCGCCCACCACCATGCCCGGCTAATTTTTGTATTTTTAGTAGAGACAGGGTTTCACCATATTGGTCAGGCTGGTCTCGAGCTCCTGACCTCAGGTGATCTGCCAGCCTCAGCCTCCCGAAGTGCTGGGATTATAGGCGTGAGCCACCATGCCCGGCTGGTATTTTTTTTTTTTTGAAAATATAATTGAAACTAGATATGAACTTTATTTTCATTTTTTTTCTTTTCCAAGGAAAGGCTATTTTAAAAATTTAAAGTAATACATTTATTTATTTGTTTCGTTTATTTATGTATTTAATTTATTATTATTTTTTTTTTTGAGATGGAATCTCACTCTGTTGCCCAGGCTGGAGTGCAGTGGCACAATCTCAGCTCATTGCAATCTCTGCCTCCTGGGTTCAAGCAATTCTCCTGCCTCAGCCTCCCAAGTAACTTGGATTACAGGTGCCCGGCACCAAGACCAGCTAATTTTTGTATTTTTAGTAGAGATAGGGTTTCACCATGTTGGCCAGGCTGGTCTCGAACTCCTGACCTCAAGTGATCCTCCTGCCTTGGCCTCCCAAAGTGCTGGGATTACAGGTGTGAGCCACTGCACCCAGCCTATTTATTTGTTTTAATTTTTATTTATTTATTTTGTTAGAGTGGCTGCTCCTTGTGGAGCAGGGCTAACCCACAGGCAGTGAGCCCAGAGTTGCCTAAAAATTAACATTTTTTTTGTCAGATCAAAATCTATAACAAGAACTACTACTACTAATGATATGCCAGAAATTGTGCTAAGTGATTTCTATGTATTGTGTCATTTGCTTCTTGCAACAACCTTGTGGTTAGATATTCTTCTGAGCCTTAGAGGAGGTTAAGTAACTTGTCCAGGTCAGTCAGCTAATACACAGCTGAGGTAGAGCTGAGACTGGAACTCAAATCTAGCTAACACCAAAGTGTAAGTTCTTAATCACAGCTGTCTCCTAATTATAAAAACATATATATTCATTGTAAAAATATTTGGAAAATATGGAAAGTCTGAAGAAGAAATAAAATACCTCTGAAATCCTATCTACGAAAAGCAATCACCAGTAACATTGTCATTCAACCTTTTTCTCTGCACATATATCTTTTGCCTATATATGATATACATTTTTGCATATAATGTTCAGTCAAAAGCAGAAAACAAGACAACACTGAATAATCCTGCTTCTTAAAAATATGTGGAAATGATATATAAATAAGAATTTTACTCCACATTCTTCCTTCTTTCTTTCTTTCTCTTTCTCTCTCTCTCTTTCTTGCTTTCTTTCTCTCTTTCAAGATGGATTCTCGCTGTATTGCCCAGGCTGGAGTGCAGTGGCATGATCTTGGCTCACTGCAACCTCTGCCTCTTGGGTTCAAGTGATTCTCCTGCCTCAGCCTCCCGAGTAGCTGGGATTACAGGTGCCTGCCACCATACCCGGCTAACGTTTGTATTTTTAGTAGAGATGGGGTTTCACCATGTTGGCCAGGCTGGTCTGGAACTCCTGACCTCAAGTGATCTGCCCGTTTCGGCCTCCGAAAGTGCTGAGATTACAGGCATGAGCCACCACGGCCGGCCCTTCATCATGTTTTTTAAACTTAACATTTAACATAACATTTAAATTATATATATAATATATTTTACACACACACACACACACACACATATATATATATATATATATATATAGAGAGAGAGAGAGAGAGAGAGAGAGAGAGAGCTCCTACTACATGCCAGCTGAGGTGCTAGGCACAAGGAGAGTGGTGAGCAAAAGAGACACAGTCGCATCCTTCAGTGGGTGAGCAACCTAGTGGGGGAGATAAGCATTAATCCACCGATCACAAAAAAATTAATCCATACTGTGATTAGAAGGGAAGGCACATGATGCTGACAGCACACACCACTGGAGAGACCTGTCCCGGTCTGAGGGATTATGGACAATCTCTTTGAGAAAATGATCCTGGGCTTGAGATCTGAGTGAAATGTAGGAGTTAGCTGAGCAAAGAGGCTGCATAAGAGCATTGTCGGCAGTGGGAACAGTGAGTGCAAAGGTCCTGTGCCAGGAAACAGCACAAGGCATTTGAGGAACAGTCAGTGTTGCTATAGCAGCTGTAGCCCAGAAAGCAAGAGGGTATAGGAGCTGGGAGGCAGAAGGAGTTCCGGATTAGCCCCTGCAGACCTCATTGAAGATCTTGATCTTTATGCTAAAACGCAAAGCAATTGAAGGATTGTAAACAGGATGAGCTCTGAGCTTGGGAAAGATTTCTCTGCCTACAGTGTGGAGAACAAGCAGGAGGTGGGCAAGACTATAAGAACCGTAACAGCCCTGGTGAGAGATGACAGCAGCCCGGACCAGGGGGATGAAAAAAGTAAAAAGTCTGAGATATGCTGGAGGATAAAATTTTGAGGACCGGTGATCAGTGGCTAAGGAAGGGTGAGAGTGAGGAAGAAGGAGGTGGCAGGATGCTAACTGGTTTCTGGCTTGCAGGACTAGAGACAGTCTCTGCATCAGGAATACTGGCAGAGAAGCAAGTTTGGAGGAGGGGGTCCAATCATGAAGCTGGGTTAGAAAATCTTTTTTTTTTAGACAGTCTCGCTCTGTTGCCCAGGCTGGAGTGCAGTGGTGCGATCTCCATTTACTGCAACCTCTGCCTACCGAGTTCAAGTGATTCTCATGCCTCAGCCTCTCAAGTAGCTGGGATTACAGGCATGTGCTAACACGCCTGGCTAATTTTTAGTATTTTTAGTAGAAACAGGGTTTTGCCATGTTGGCCAGGCTGGTCTTGAACTCCTGGCCTCAAGGCTGGTCTCGAACTCCTGGCCTCAATCCCAAAGTACTAGGATTACAGGTGTGAGCCACCATGCCTCGTCCAGTTTTTACAATCTTGTTTGTTTGTTTTGAAATGGAGTCTTGCTCTGTCCCCCAGGCTGGAGGGCAGTGGTGAAATCTTGGGTCATTGCAACCTCTGCCTCCCAAGTTCAAGTGATTCTCCTGCCTCAGCCTCCTGAGTAGCTAGGACTACAGGCATGTGCCACCATACCGGGCTAATTTTTGTATTTTTAGTAGAGACGGAGTTTTGCCATGTTGCTCAGGCTGGTCTTGAACTCCTGACCTCAGGTGATCCACCCACCTTGGCCTCCCAAAGTGCTGGGATTATAGGTGTGAGCCACTGTGCCTGGCCTCAATCTTGGTTTAATTAAAAATTAGAAATGTAGGAGTTAGGCCAGGTGCGGAGGCTCACGCCTGTAATCCCAGCACTTTGAGAGGCCGAGGCAGGTGGATCACCTGAGGTCAGCAGTTCAAGGCCAGCCTGTCCAACATGGTGAAACCTGGTCTCTACTAAAAATACAGAAATTAGCTGGGCGTGGTGGCGGGAGCCTGTAGTCCCAGCTACTCGGGAGGCTGAGGCAGGAGAATCGCTTGGACCCAGGAGGTGGAGGTTGTGGTGAGCCAAGATTGCGCAATTGCACTCCAGCCTGGTCAACAAGAGCAAAACTCTGTCTAAAAAAAAAAAAAGTAGGAGTTAATTTCCAAATATTTGTGAATTTCCTAAATTTCATTCTATTATTCTAATTTCACTCCAGCTGATCAGAGAACATTGTATGATTTCAATCTACTGATTCAAACCAGAAAAGAAAAGATAATTATTTAGTTAGTTAGTTTTCCCTTTAATCTTCCAGGTTGTAAACACGGCACATGGTGGTGGTAAATAAAAGGACCAAAGGGCAGTCCACAGATTAGTTTACTGGTCAAAGGGGAAAACACAACTTTGTAATGGGAGAGATCAGACTGTGACCATTTGACTGCACTGATCAATCTTGGCCTCACTGTCAGTGGAGCAACCAGATATTTTGTGCACCTGATGTGATTCAGTAAGAAGGACACAGCATAAGCTATAAAATTTCTTACCAAAATTGTGTAACCTGAATCTAAGCAACCGTTTAGATCTAACTACCAGCTTATAGGAAATACAAGAAATAGAGGAACAGAGGCAGGCCATCACAAGGAAACCATCAGACAAATCCAGAAGGTAGGACATTCTACAGGACAAACTGACTTAGTTTCTTCATCAAGTCAATGGCATTAAGAAAAAGTGTGTGTGTGGGGGCGCTGGGGGTATTTAAGATTGTTCTAGATTATAAGAGACTTAAGAATAAAAAACAAACAGTGTGTGGACTTTGCTGGACTCTAGTTTGAACATACAAGCTGTAAAATGACATTATGGAGACAATTGGGAAAATTTAAATATAGATTAGGTATTAGATTAGATTAAGAAATTGTTAATTTTGCTAGAAGTGATAATGGTCTCTTTCTGATGCACAGCCAGGGTTCAGAATGTCTGGTCTGAATCTAGTAGGACTCAGGCAGCACAACTGGGTGTTTGCAAGACCAAAAGTATTCATAATCTCACTAGATTTATTTCAGCAATGGGGAGAAAACCTCTGCTACAGGAATATCTCTGGATAAGAAGTGGCTGCTAAAGGTCTGATGCCTGAAAATTATGATTGGCAGGTTTGGAATTCATAAAAATTCCAGTAAGCCCAACAGCTTCTTGTAAGCATGTGGATTTCACGGGAGTGAAAGTTGTTCTGGGGACCCCAAGGATCTAAAGTTATGGTTGATTATTTTCAAAAATCAGTGAAAAGTAGAGTAATGAGCTGCCATACTTTTCACCTGCTCAATATCACTGTCCAGAAAGAAACTGACCCTTTCTGTTGGTGTTTTGGTAAAACTTCAGCACTGGTCAGTTCACTTACACAGTTCCTTCCTTATGTCCAGGCACTCAGTGGGAGGGATGTGAAAAAGTCTGCATTAGCACATGAGATTTTAAATTTTGCTTTAGAATAGGTTTGTTTGCATATGTGTGAGCTGAAGTTCCTGCTACCTTGAAATAAAAAACAGTTGTGATGGTTGGACTCTTTTTTTCCCCCTGCTAATTTATCTATTCATAGAATATATTTTGCCCTTCCTAATTATCTCACCCTAGTAAAATCAACCAGCAATTGAACCCCTGAATCATCACAGTTTGGATGGCCACTTTCCTAGTTCCACTGACCTTGGTCCAGGAACACTGCGGACAGGGAGGTTCATGAATCTAATTCAGTTTTCACTTCTCTTATCTTGATGTAGAGATAAGAGCTCCAGATCCTATATTTCTAAGTATTGAGGAAAGGAGGAGAGGACGGAATTTATGTTATTGAGTAGCCATTATTGGCCAAGGATTATACTATTTTACCTATGTTCATTCATTCAATTGGGGACAAATGTAATTTAGTAGTTAAGAGTGCTGGCTCTAAAAAATGAAATCAGAGAGAGAAATGGGGATGTGAATCTGAAAATATGTCAAAAATTATTGACTTTAAATGGAGAGATACAGGTACTCTGTACCATTCTTTCAGCTTTTGAAAATTTTCATAATAAAAATAATGTCCTCAAACAGTTAAACAGGCCAGGCACGGTGGCTCACACCTGTAATCCCAGCACTTGGGGAGGTCAAGGTGGGAAACTCACTTGAGCCTAGGAGTTGGAAGCTGCAGGGAGCTATGATTGTACCTCTGTACTCCAGTCTGGGTGACAGAGCAAGACCCTGTCTCTTAAAAAAAAGTTAAACATAATTATCATATTACTAGCATATGACAGATAGGTACATATATTTTTAAGAAAAATGAAAACATACAACCACACAAACAAACTTGTACACAAAGATTCATAACAGCATTGTTTATGTATTTATGTATTTATTTATTTTGAGACAGAGTCTCAAAATAAACAGAGTGGTTTCGGCTCACTGCAACCTCCACCTCCTGGGTTCAAGTGATTTTCCTGCCTCAGCCTCCCGAGTAGCTGGGATTACAGGCACACACCACCACACCTGGCTAATTTTTTGTATCTTTAGTAGAGACAGGGTTTCACTATGTTGGCCAGACTGGTCTTGAACTCCTGACCTCATGATCCACCCTCCTTGGCCTCCCAAAGTGCTGGGATTACAGGTGTAATTGCACCACCGTGCCCGGCCGTATTTATTTTTTAACATTTAAAAGAGACAACGGGCTGGGTGCAGTGGCTCATGCCTGTAATCCCAGCACTTTGGGAGGCTGAGGTGGGTGGATCACCTGAGGTCAGGAGTTTGAAACCAGCCTGGCCAACATGGTGAAACCCCATCTCTACTAAAAATACTAAAAATAGCCGGGCATGGTGGGGCACATCTGTAGCCCCAGCTACTTGGGAGGCTGAGGCATGGAGAATTGCTTGAACCCGAGAGGCAGAGGTTGCAGTGAGCCGAGATCATGCCATTGCACTCCAGCTTGGGCAATAGAGTGGGAATCCGTCTCAAAAAACAAAAAACAAAACAAAAAACAACAAAAAAAAGTTGATTTAAAAAACCCCACAAATAAACAAAAAAAACAGTGGCACCATCTCAGCTCACTACAGCTTCAACTTCCTGGCCTCAAGCAATCCTCCCACCTCAGCCTCTCCAAGTAGCTTGGACTACAGGTGCACGCCACCATCCTCAGCTAACTTTTTAACTTTTTGTAGAGACGGGGTCTCTGTATGTTCCCCAGGCTGGTCCCCAACTCCTGGGATCAAGTGATCTTCTAGAGTCTGCCTCTTGAATTGCTGGGATTACAGCTGTAAGCCACGGCAGCCAATGTGTCAATTTTTTAAAAGGCTATTATTGATTATCCAACAACCCTAGAGGTAGTACTATTTCTGTTTTCAGACGAGGACTCTGGCACCCAGAAAAGTTGACACTTTGTCCAAGGTCATGCACCTAGTATAAAGCAGGAGCAAGCATTCTTTTTTTTTTTGAGACAGAGTCTCGCTCTGTTGCCCAGGCTAGAGTGCAGTGGGGCGATCTCGGCTCACTGCAAGCTCCACCTCCTGGGTTCACGCCATTCTCCTGCCTCAGCCTCCCTAGTAGCTGGGACTACAGGCACCTGCCACCGCCCGGCTAATTTTTTTGTATTTTTAGTAGAGACGGGGTTTCACTGTGTTAGCCAGAATGGTCTCGATCTCCTGACCTCGTGATACACCCGTCTCGGCCTCCCAAAATGCTGGAATTACAGGCGTGAGCCACCGCACCCGGCCAAGCAGGAACAAGCATTCTAATAACACATCTGACTGCAAAAGCCAGGCTTTTCTACCATGTAATTTTGCCTGCCGGTGTAGACATGTCTTTTGTGGTATAATAAGCCTTCATAGAAGGTGCTCTAAGAATTAAGCAACTGCATGTGAGAAATCAATATGTTACAAAAATACACTTTTAATGTGACATAGCCTTTTATGCCAAAGTGATATTTATTTAATATTCCCCCAATTTCTCTAGCTTGATCATTTGCTACAAAGGGGATCAATAAGATCCCAATTTGTCTTTGTGAAAAGTAAATGAAGTGGACTTTCCCTCTATTCATGTGGTATTTCTAAATGGCCTTGAGCTATTTACAGTCAAGTTAATGGAATTAATACTATACCATCAAAAACATACAGCGTCCTTATCTAAAGTGCAGCACGAACACTTTCCTCTTTGTGGTATGGCCATTGACATATACAGATGTTCCTCCATTTACGATGGTGTTATGTTCAGATAAACCCATCATAAATTGAAAATATCGTAAGTCAAAAACTTTCAATTTATGATGGATTTATCTGGATGCAATACCATCATAAATCTAGAAGAGTTCTGAATGCATGTCATTTTCACCATCGTAAAAGTTGAAAAATCGTTTAGTCAAACCATGGTTAAATTTTGACCATCTGCATTTCGTTTCTTCTCCGAAAGCTCTTTTAGGGCAGTTGAGGATGCTACATAATGTATTCACCAAATTGTTTCTAAATGAATGGACAAATACATGCACACCACACACTTCAACAATCATCACCTCTAATGTGGCAATACATTTTTCTTTTCTTTTCTTTTCTTTTTTTTGAGACAGAATCTCGCTCTGTCACCCAGGCTGGAGTGCAGTGGCGCGATCTCAGCTCACTGCAACCTCCGCCTCCCAGGTTTAAGAGATTCTCCTGCCTTAGCCTCCAGAGTAGCTGGGATTACGGGCGTGCGCCGCCACCATGCGCAGCTATTTTTTGTAGAGATGGGGTTTCGCCATGTTGGCCAGGCTGGTCTCGAACTCCTGACCTCGTGATCTGCCCGCCTCGGCCTCCCAAAGTGCTGGGATTACAGGCGTGAGCCACCGCGCCCAGCCCAGAGTAAGTACTTTATGCTAAGGACCAGATGCAGAGTAAAGGTTGAGGTCTTCCTTACCCCAGAACAGGGCAAAAAAGCCAAAATAACCCTTATTGATTAAGCCATAAATTCAACCACCACTTATTTCCAAAAAGTATGAAAGTTAGCATTTAATCACCTTCCACCACCCCTTTCCCAAACCACACACACACACACACACACACCCCGCTGGGATTTTCCTGTTTTCCTGCTTCTTCTTTAAACCTGTTAAACAATGTCTGTTTAAGGTTAAAAATCTACTATAGGATGTGCTTTAGCTATGTAAGTGGTACACGCTGCAAAAAGTCTTCCAGTTGCTTTGGTTGAAAAAGTCCCTCTGAACACTTAAACATAGAAACCAATCCTGGCACATCTGACTGGATTTGAGTTTTATGTGTCCCTGGAGGGAAACCACACACTTGGAAGTCAGTGCTGTGTTTGGTACATACTAAGTATTCAACAAATGTTTTCCCAATGACTGAAATTGTCCACTTTTCTTTGACTCCTGATCGTGTTGCCTACACTGTATGTATGTACGTATGTATGTATGTATGTATGTATGTATGTATGTATGTATGTATTTACTTGAGACAGAGTCTCACTCTGTTGCCCCAATTTTCGTATTTATTGTAGAGATGGAGTTTTACCATGTTGCCCAGGCTGGTTTC
This sequence comes from Homo sapiens, assembly GCF_000001405.40. Classification (NCBI taxonomy): domain Eukaryota; kingdom Metazoa; phylum Chordata; class Mammalia; order Primates; family Hominidae; genus Homo; species Homo sapiens. The sequence goes on from NC_000014.9 coordinate 34,692,848, forward strand.
GAACTCTTGAGCTCAAGCGATCCACTGCTTCAGCCTCCCAAAGTGCTAGGATTGCAGGCATGAGCCACCACGTCCAGCCATTGCTCACATTTTATGTCACCATTCTCATTTTTTCCAGGGACAGATTTGAGTTCCACTGCTTGGGCTAGGGGCAATGCTTTAGATGAGAAAAGAAGAGGGATGTTTGAAAATCAGTCCAGTTAGAGAAAGAAGAAAGTGAAGAGATTTATGAACCACTAGAGTTCTTTCATGCTAAAATATTTTACGCTAAAATATTAAGGTTTGAGCTCTGTGGAGGTAAATTCTCTTTCTTCTGTGGTTATGGTGATATGGAAGGAGAGTGCTGGCAAGGGAAGAGCTTGGTCCCTTTAAATGACACAGAAGAAGGGAAGGGAAGTGCTCCGAAGAGGAGGGCGTGGTCCCTGGCTAGGGCTCCACCCCCAGGGACCAAGGTGTAGTCAGGCATTTCCTGCCCAAATGTTGCATTTCTTAAGACCACCTGGGCCTGCCACGCCCTCATTCTGTGCCTATAAAAACCCGGGACCCTAGCAAGGCAGAGACAGAAGCAGCTGGAGCTGGAAAGGAGTACCTCGGTGGAGGAATACACAGGCAGCTGGACGTCTAGAGGAACGCACCGCCAGGCACCAGCATGCAGGCTGGCCACTGACCAGCAGAATAACGTGGAGTTTGGCTAGGGTAATCGAAGGAGCGCGTGTCTGATTCCAGGGGAAAACCAGCTCCCCCATCTGCTGAGAGCTACTTCAACTCAATAAAACCTTGCACTCATTCTCCAAGCCCACTTGTGATCCGATTCTTCCGGTACACCAAGGCAAGAACCTGGGATACAGAAAGCCCTCTGTCCTTGCCACAAGGTAGAGGGTAGAGGGTCTAATTGAGCTGGTTAACACAAGCTGCCTAGAGATAGCAAAACTAAAAGAGCAAAACTAAAAGAGCATCCTGTAACACACGCCCACTGGGGCTTCAGGAGCTGTAAATATTCACCCCTAGACACTGCTGTGGGGTCGGAGCCCCACAGCCTGCCCATCTGTAGGCTCCTCTAGAAGTCTGAGCATCGGAGCACTGAAGAAGCGAGCCACACCCCCACTGCACGCCCTGCAAGGGGGGACAAGGGAACTTGTCCCGTTTCAATGGCATGGTCCCAAACCTGATAGTCCTTTGTTAATGTATGCCCTCGAAGAGGGAAAGGAAGGTAAACCCAGAGGCAAATCCGTTACCAATTTTGAAAGAAAAACCTCAAAGTACAGTTCCTATTGAGCAAAGGTCAGTGATATAATTTTTGAAAACAGGACCCTTTTCACAAGATGGCGCCAAAAGCGAAAAAGGAAGCGCCTGCCCCTCCTAAAGCCGAAGCCGAAGCCAAAGCAAAGGCTTTAAAGGCGAAGACGGCAGTGTTGAAAGATGTCCACATCCACACAAAAAAAGAAGACCCGCACGTCACCCACCTTCCGGAGGCCCAGGACACTGCGACTCGAGGCCACCCAAATATCCTCGGAATAGCGCCCCCAGGAGAAACAAGCTTGACCGTTATGCCATCATCAAGTTTCTGTGGACCACTGAGTCCGCCATGAAGAAGATAGAAGACAACACCACACTTGTGTTCACGGTGGATGTTAAAGCCAACAAGCAGCAGATCAAACAGGCTGTGAAGAAGCTCTGTGACATTGATGCGGCCAAGGTCAACACCCTGATTCGGCCTGGTGGAGAGAAGAAGGCATATGTTTGACTGGCTCCTGATTACGATGTTTTGGATGTTGCCAAAAAATTGGTATCATCTAAATTGAGTCCAGCTGGCTAGTTCTAAATATACGTGTATCTTTTCACCATAAAAAAAATTTTTTTTTTGAAAACAGAGGGGAACACTTTAATGCACTCAAAGACTATGAAAAGATGATGGGCCTCCCAGATGATTTCTCCCTGAGAAATCTCTGCCTAGAGGCAAAATAAAGAGGCTAAGTAAGGCAGGATTTTCTACTGTAAAATCTAGAAACAGGACGTCTTCCTCCACCGTTCACATGAAAGTTCATTCATTTCTTCAAAAACCTTTTAATTTGAATGCCTTCTATGTACCAAAAACTATTTTAGGTGCTGGAGATCCAAATTAAGGGTTGAAAAGAATGCAAAGCATGAAGAACATTAGGAGATACGCAGAGAAAGTAGTCACCTGGCGTGGTGGCTCATGCCTGTAATCCCAGCACTTTGGGAGGCCAAGGTGGGAGGATCACTTGAGGTCAGGAGTTCAAGACCAGTCTTGCCAACATGGTGAAACACTGTCTCAAAGCTGGGCACAGTGGCTCATGCCTGTAATCCCAGCACTTTGAGAGGCCGAGGTGGGTGGATCACCTGAGGTCAGGAGTTCGAGACCAACCTGGCCAACATGGTGAAATCCCCATCTCTACTAAAAATACAACAAATTAGCCAGGCGTGTTGGCAGGCGCCTGTAATCCCAGCTGCTCGGGAGGCTGAGGCAGGAGAATCGCTTGAACCCAGGAGGCGGAGGTTGCAGTGAGCCAAGATTATGCCATTGCACTCCAGTCTGGGCAACAAAAGTGAAACTGTCTCAAAAAGAAAAAAAGAAAGAAACCCCAGCTCTACTAAAAATACAAAAATTAGCCGGGCATAGTGGTGCACACCTGTAGTCCCAGCTACTTGTGAGGCTGAAGCAGGAGAATTACTTTAATACAGGAGGTGGAGGTTTCAGTGAGCCGAGATTGTGCCACTGCATTCCAGCCTGGGCGACAGAGCAAAACACCATCTCAAAAAAAAAAAAAAAAGAAAAGAAAAGAAAAAAGAAACCTCTCTTCCTTCCAAGGCCCTGGAGAGTACCTGTTGCTCTCTCTTCCCTAACAGATAAGCTTATTGGCGGGGCGCGGTGGCTCATGCCTTCAATCCCAGGACTTTGGGAGGCCGAGGCGGGTGGATCACCTGAGGTCAGGAGTTCGAGACCAGCCTGGCCAACATGGTGAAACCCCATCTCTACTAAAAATACAAAAATTCTTCGGGAGGCCGAGGCGGGCGGATCACCTGAGGTCGGGAGTTCAAGACCAGCCTGACCAACATGGAGAAACCCCATCTCTACTAAAAATACAAAATTAGCCAGGTGTGGTGGCACGTGCCTGTAATCCCAGCTACCCAGGAGGCTGAGGCAGGAGAATCGCTTGAACCCGGGAGGCGGAGGTTGCAGTGAGCCAAGATTGCACCACTGCACTCCAGCCTGGGCGACAGAACAAGACTCCATCTCAAAACAAAACAAAGAAACCCAACAGATAAACTTCTTAAAATAAAACCTCTCCTACTGTACAGAGTTGACAATAAGCATTTAGAAACTTTTACAGCCATTTGACCTGGCCATGACATCCAAACCTGGAACCAGTGGACTTGTCAGGTTGAACAGACTATAGACCAATCTGGTTGTTGCCCAGCTCTAGGGATGCATTGCATCTGGTGCAAGCTGCATACTAGTCATGAACAGTAGGACCCTGTTGTCAATCTATGACAGATTGAAAATTAAATATGTGCTTCATCATAGACGTTTGAAAAGCACTGGTTTATACCACACTGTTCTGCTTCATCTCTTATTCAGTCTTCAAGCCATTTCCATTTGGTATCTGCCCTTCACCTGCTGAAAATGCCACAGGAAAGGTCACTGACCTTCATAGGGCCAAATTCAGTGTATTATTTTTTTGTCCCCATTATATGTGACATCTCTGCAGCATTTGGCACCCTCTGCTTTGTAACATCACAGAAGGTATGTTCTCCTCCTACCTCTTTGACAATTCTTTCCTTTTTCTAGGCTTCTCTTCCTTTGCCCACTCTTGGACTGTTTCTCTTCTTCTACGATACTCACAAATTTTTGCTGGGCGTCTTATTGATGCTCCATGGTTTTAACTGTATGCTACTGATTTCCAAGCTCTATTTCCAGGGTTATAAACTTGATGGTATGTTAATGTGCTTAAGACAAAATAAATCAGTTTAAAGGTGCTTTTTTTTTTCAAGATAAGCAGAGAATCAGTTTTTTTTTCATTTATCTATTTAAAAAGTGCTTATTTATTTTTTAAGAGAAGGGGTCTCACTCTGTCACCAACGCTGGAGAATAGTGTTGCACTAAGCAACACTATTTTTAATGTAAAAAATGTATATTATTCAAAAACATTACTCTGAAGAGGAGTTCGTAGTCTTTACCAGATGCCCAAAGAATCTTTGGAAAAAGGTTAGGAAGGCCTGTAGAAACTCATGCCTCCATGACAATACCCATGTGGAACACAGAGCTCCCAGTTGGTTTTTACTTTGGCCCTAGGCCTTCTCCCAAATGATTTAATGGAAGTGGTGATAAAAAGGCCCTTTTTGTTCTTGATATTAAGGAGATTCTTAGTGAAGAAAGCCTGTTGGAACATTTCAAATAACAATTCTAGGCTGGGCTCAGTGGCTCATGCCTGTAATGCCAGCTCTTTGGGAGGCCAAGGTGGGTGGATCACTTGAGGCCAGGAGTTCAAGACCAGCCTGGCCAACATGGCAAAACTCTGTCTCTACTAAAAATACAAAAATCAGCTGGGCGTGGTGGTGCACGCCTGTGGTCCCAGCTACTTGGGACGGTGAGGCATGAGAATCGCTTGAACCTGGGGGACAGAGTTTGCAATGAACCAAGATGTAGCCACTGCACTCCAGCCTGGGGGACAGAGTGAGACTCTGTCTCAATAAATAAATAAGTAAATAAATAAATACTCGATATTTGAAGAGAAATGCCATTTATTTCCTCTAAGTGCTGTTTAACACTCACTTCTAGGCTGGGTGCGGTGGCTCATGCCTATAATCCCAGCACTTTGGGAGGCTGAGGTAGGAGGATTGCTTGAGCCCAGGAGTTCAAGACCAGCCTGGGCAACAAAGTGAGACCCCATCTCTAAAAAAATAAAATATAAAATTAGCCAGGCATAGTGGTGGACTTATAGTCCTAGCTACTCAGGAGGCTGAGGTGGGAGGATCACTTGATCCCAGTTTTAGGTTGCAGTGAGCTGTGATGGCACAACTACACTCTGGCCTGAGTGACAGAGCAAGACCCTGTTTCAAAAAATAAATAAATAATAAAATAAAACTCACTTCTAGAAAATCTTTTCTCTTTTGGATCCGTTTTTTTTCTTGCATTCCGTTACTGCTTATTCAATTGCTTATCACTGTATACTTATTAGTTTACAGGTCTATTTTGTCTCTGCAACTGGATTATAAAAGTGCCCTTGAGAAGTTTATTTCTCAGGATGACCAGGACAGTGTTCTACAAATAGACACTCAATAAATGGTTCCTGATGAGTGCAAGGCCTCTCAGAAAAGTGAACTTATTTATCATAAAAGCAAGATGAAAAAACAATATGGTTAATTACAAGGAGGTAAAAAAGAGGAATCTTTGATTCTGGATGGTACTTGCGAAAGGAATTGTGTATTTATAAACATTGTGTTGTAAACATTGTGTTTATAAATAGCTTGTATTTACTAGTGAGGATTAAAAATCATCTTTAATAGAACGTGATCTTTTAAATGACCTGAAAATTCCATTTTCTATCACCAGCGAAGAGTAGGCCAGGTTTTCTCTAACGAGCAGATTGTGTGATAAAAGAACATTGCTAAATTAATTTCTTTCTAAAATATTTGATACAGGGGCTGGGTGTGGCGGCTTGTGCCTGTAATCTCAGCACTTTGGGAGGCCAAGGCAGGTGGATTACTTGAGGTCAGAGTTCGAGACCAGCCTGGTCAATATGGTGAAACCCCGTCTCTACTAAAAATACAAAAATTAGCTGGGCATCATGGTGGATGCCTGTAATCTCACCTACTTGGAAGGCTGAGGGAGGAGAATCACTTGCATCTGGGAGATGGAGGTCGCAGTGAGCCAAGAGCAGGACACTGCACTCCAGCCTGGGTGACAGAGCAAGACTCCGTCTCAAAAAAAAAAAAAAAAAAATCAAGTTTCTGAAAATTCCACCAGATGGGGAAATGCTGACAATATGCTAGTTAAATTTAGTATTCATCTCAATGTAGAATCTGTATTAATCTCCATGATATTAAAAATGCATAAAAAAATTTGATAGAGGAATTTGGCCATGGCTTATATGTGGACAGACAAGTTTTACAGTAAAAGCAAAAGCATAGAATAACAGAAAATATAACCATGACTTTTTAAACTATAGGATATTCCATTTCAAAGATGCTATAGTTATGGTAGTTTTAAAAATTTCTTATCTATTGAAACCATTGTTACATGTTGCTGCAAAGCGGCTTACAAATCTAAATTCAGATACGACACATGATTTTCCTAGTCAATGATTTATTTCATGCTATCAAAATGTTATCTTCATTAAAAATGTTTTTAATGCCGGGCATGGTGGCTCACGCCTGTAATCCCAGCACTTTGGGAGGCCGAGGCGGGTGGATCATGAGGTCAGGAGATCGAGACCATCTTGGCTAACACGGTGAAACCCCGTCTCTACTAAAAATACAAAAAATTAGCCGGGTGCGGTGGCGGGCGCCTGTAATCCCAGCTACTCAGGAGGCTGAGGCAGGAGAATAGCATGAACCCGGGAGGTGGAGCTTGCAGTAAGCCGAGATAGCACCACTGCAGTCCAGCCTGGGCAAAAGAGCGAGACTCCATCTCAAAAAAAAAAAAATGTTTTTAATATATTTTTCTTTCCACATTTATAAATTTCCTGAGCCAATTCTGAAGCTTAAATGATCCTAAATGTCTACAATACTAAAAATATAGTCAATATTTTCCAAATAATTATTAAAGCTCTGCATTCTTTCATTTAATTTTGAAATTAATCAAGTCCTGTCATTTCTCCTACATACCTCTCAAATCCACCTACCCCAAATGTATTTGCCACTGCCTTGATTTAGGCATCTTAATCGCCTCCAATTTCTTTCTCCTTACACATATTCTTATCATGGTCATAAAACAATCAGGTTTGTGTTTCAGAAAGATCATACCACTCCTTTGCTTAAAACCCTGCACCAGCTCCTTAGCACAAAATTTCACATGGTATCCAATGCCCTCAATGATCTAGCTCATACCCACCTCTCCTGCACTTCTCTCATCACAGTGCCTCACGCTTGACTCAATAGCAGCTGTAATGAAACATTTGCAAGGCATCTGCGGTTTTTTTTTTTCTCTAGGACAATCCTTTCATACAGATTTCTGGTGAACTCTATCATCCTTTACAACCCAGCTCAAACATTACTTCTGGAAGGCCTTCTCCAAGCCCATTTCAACTCCAAAGTTAAGCACTCCCTCTTCTAAATCTAGTAGTAACATATGGTTGTATTTATCACATTGTATTACATCATAATTATTTGTTTATGTGCTTGCTTGCCTTCCCTATATCATGGAAAGCTTTTTGAGCCTAAGAAAGGTGCTTCGTGTTTGTTGAACTGAACTGAATTTGATCTAATGGTCTGAGCTGAGTAATTGGGAAACAGATGGGATGTTTCCAGAGTGATTCATAGTAGCCAGGATGATCATGTTTCTCCACAGCAAACATAAATCATGTTTCTTTAATCACAAGGATTACCAGACTTTGCTGGAATAGCAAACAAAATGCAAACTCTCTCTTAGTTAAATGAAGACTAAATATCCACGAGCTAATTAGTCAATGTATGATCTGCATAATTTGAGCCAAATTAGTAAATATCACTTTTTCATCAAATATAGATTGAGTGCTTCTGGCTTAGTGCAAAATGTATACATTATGTTTTATCTTACATCTTTATATGAAAGGGACAAAGTAGATTAGAGGATGGATTATTTACACTGTGCACCAGGAACTAGCAACTATTAAACTTTATCATACAAATACAAGGGGAAAAGTAGAATCCTGATATATTGGAAACTATTTATTTTGTAAAATAATTCCTTTGGGGAACAGTAAAAATCATGTCTATTATCAATTCCCAGTGTAACAAAAAACAAAAATGTCTATTATCAATTCCCAATGGCACAATAAACAGAAGAAAATTTTGTGGTTTCAGATCTTAATGGTAGATGGCACTAAGTCATGCAGCGAGCACTTAGGTAGGTGCAATGCATAATTTTCAAGATTCAAATCTGTTGTGACTAGAGCCACAACAGTTCTTTCTGGGATGAAAAATACCAAGGAATCTGCACAAACAATATTTGAGTAAAGTTTCCCTCTTACCAGCATATATTGATAACTTAAAACCAGTTTTAACTACAGGAATCTTCCTATTAGTCATAATAGCTTAACACAAGTAATTTGTAGTGTTTAAAGCTAACTCATGATTTAGCTTTCTTATTTGTTCTTTTCTATATTTTGCAGAGGTTCTCTATAAAACATGTTATTTTTGAAATAAAAATAAATACAATTTTCTGAGAGTTAGCCAGAAGAATATCATTCATATTACTTAATGATAGTAATCATATCAGTTAGCCCATTTTTAGGATGTTCTTATGAGAATATAATTTTTTTTTTTTTTTGAGATGGAGTCTCACTCTGTCACCCACGCTGGAGTGCACTGGCATGATCTCAGCTCACTGCAAGCTCCACCTCCCGGGTTCACCCCATTCTCCTGCCTCAGCCTCCTGAGTAGCTGGGACTACAGGCACCCGCCATCACGCCCAGCTAATTTTTTGTATTTTTTAGTAGATCTGTCTGCCTCGGCCTCCCAAAGTGCTGGGATTACAGGCGTGAGCCACCGCGCCCGGCCTAGGCTGTGTTTTTAACCCAAGGGTCATTTTCTTTTTTCTTTTTTTCTTTTTTTGAGACAGAGTCTCTCTCTGTCGCCCAGGCTGGAGTGCAATGGTGCAATCTCGGCTCAATGCAACCTCTGCCTCCTGGGTTCAAGCGATTCTCCCACCTCAGCCTCTTGAGTAGCTGGGATTACAGGCGTTCACCACCACGCCTGGCTAAGTTTTGTATTTTTAGTAGAGACGGGGTTTCACCATGTTGGCCAGGCTGGTCTCGAACTCCTGGCCTCAGGTGATCTGCCTGCCTTGGCCTTCCAAAGTGCTGGGATTACAGGTGTAAGACACCACGCCCGGCCCATTTTCTAGAATTCTATTTACTTATTTAATATATTGCAAAGAGGAAATCAGAAAGAAAGAAAACATCCAGCTCAGAACAGGAAGCTTTTTTGTTTGTTGTGGCAATGTTACTGAATGACACTTGCATTAATCCCAAAACATTTTTTTTCACAGCCAGAGCATGACACCTATCTAAATCAGTCACATGGTATTTCTTAAGAACTGCTATACTGTGATAAATATAATATAAAACAAAACATTTTTCTCTAGCAGGTAGATAAAAACAAAACAATGAAGTATTTAAATGCTTTCAAAATAAAAATAAACAGGATCTGCTTTGAAGTCAAAAAAATAAGGAGAGGGCCAAGCGCCGTGGCTTATGCCTGTAATCCCAGCACTTTGGGAGGCCGAGCTCAGTTGGTGGATCACTTGAGGTCAGGAGTTTGAAACCAGCCTGGCTGACATAGTGAAACCCCGTCTCTACTAAAAAATACAAAAAATTAGCTGGGCATGGTGGTGCGCGCCTGTAATCCCAGCTACTCAGGAAGGCCGAGGCAGGAGAATCACGTGAACCTGGGAGGTGGAGGTGGCAGTGAGCTGAGATCATGCGACTGCACTCCAGCAAGGCTCCATCTCAAAATAATAATAATAATAATTAATAATAATAATAATAATGAGATGGCCGGGTGTGGTGGCTCATGCCTGTAATCCCAGCACTTTGGGAGCCCCAGGTAGGTGGATTGCTTGAGGTCAGGAGTTCGAGACCAGCTTGGCCAATATGGTGAAACCCTGTCTCTACCAAAATACACAAAAATTAGGCAGGCGTGGTGGTGCGTGCCTGTAGTCCCACCTACTCGGGAGGTTGAGGTGGGAGAATTGTCTGAGCCCTTGGAAGCGAAGGTTGCAGTGAACCGAGATCACACTATTTTACTCCAGCAGCCTGGGTCACAGAGTGAGACTCCGTCTCAGAAAAAAAAAAAAAAAAAAAAAAATGCTGGGCGCGGTGGCTCATGCCTGTAATCTGAGCACTTTGGGAGGCTGAGGCGGGCAAATCATGAAGTCAGGAGTTCGAGACAAGCCTGGCCAACATGGTGAAACCCCATCTCTACTAAAAATACAAAAATTTAGCTGGGCATAGTGGTGGACACCTGTAATCCCAGCTACTCGGGAGGCTGAGGCAGAAGAATCGCTGAAACCCAGAGGGCGGAGGTTGCAGTGAGCTGAGATGGTGCCACTGTTCTCCAGCCAGGGGGACAGAGTTAGACTCCATCTCAAAAAAATAATAATAATAATAATGAGAGAAGTTTTGCAGTCAACTTCCTAATAATAAATAATTCTATTATGGCAAATATTGAAAGTAGACACATGACTCAATATATAATAGTATTTTTTAAAATTATTAATCAACAATTTTGTTTTCCTTTTAAGCCTAAAAAAAAGAAACCCAGGTACTTCTTTTGCTATTTAATTTTTTTTTTTTTAAGACAGTCTCACTCTGTTGCCCAGGGTGGAGTGCAGTGGCGCCATCAAGGCTCATGGCAACCTTCTGCCTCCCGGGTTCCAGCGATTCTTGTACCTCAGCCTCCCGAGTAGCTAGGATTACAGGTGAGCACCACTGTGCCTGGCTAATTTTTGTATTTTTAGTAGAGATGGGGTTTCGCCATGTTGGTCAGGCTGGTCTCAAACTCCTAGCCTCAAGTGATCCGCCTGCCTTGGCCTCCCAAAATGCTGGGATTACAAGCATGAGCCACTGTGCCTGGTCCCCAGGTACATTTTTAAATCTTTTTTTTTTTTTTTTTTTTTTTTTGAGACAGAGTCTTGCTCTATTGCCCAGGCTGGAGTGCAGTGGCGTGATCTCGGCTAACTGCAACGTCCGCCGCCTGGGTTCAAGAAACTCTCATGCCTAAGCCTCCTGAGTAACTGGGATTACAGGCGCGTGCCACCATACCCAGCTAATTTTTGTATTTTTAGTAGAGACGGTGTTTCACCATGTTGGCCAGGCTGGTCTTGAACTCCTGACCTCAAGTGATCCGCCCACCTAGGCCTCCCAAAGTGCTGGGATTACAGGCCTGAGCCACCGCACCCGGCCACATTTTAAAATCTCAATATAACCAGGCGCAGTGGCTCATGCCTATAATCCCAGCCCTTTGGGAGGCCTAGGTGGGTGTATTGCTTGAGCTTGGGAGTATAAGACCAGCCTAGGCAATATGGTGAAACCCCATCTCTATTAAAAAACAAAAAAACAAAAATAATAAAATCTGAATATATTTCAAATTAGGAAAATGGTTAACACCTGTTTTGTTAGCCTATTATCGCTTTCCCTCTCATGTATCTATATATTCCTTCGTAATATAATTGTCATCAATAAGCAGTCATGAGTAAAGGGAATCTCACTTTTTCTCTCCATGTTTGATCTATTACTGTTTTACATATAAAAGGTTAAAACATTAATCTTCACATAAAACTCTATTCCACTTATTTCATGAATCAGGACATAAGACACCTTTCGTATCATCTTATTTCTTGTGTGGTATAGTTAAGTTTTATGATTTCTGGAACAAAATACTCTGCTGCCATTTCTACCTTTTATATTTATTTATTATATTTATTTATTTATTTATTTTGAGACAGAGTCTCACTCTGTGGTCCAGGCTGGAGTGCAGTGGTGTGATCTCGGCTCCCTGCAACCTCCACCTCCCAAGTTTAAGCGATTCTCCTGCCTCAGCCTCCTGAGTAGCTGGGATTACAGGCACAAGCCACCACACCCAGCTAATTTTTGTATTTTTAGTAGACACGGGGTTTCGCCATGTTCACCAGGCTGGTCTCGAACTCCTGACCTCAGGTGATATACCTGTCTCCTGAGTAGCTGGAATTACAGGCATGAGCCACCACGCCTGGCCCAATTTCTACCTTTTATAAAATTAGGTCTAGGCCGGGCATGGTGGCTCACGCCTGTCACCCCAGCACTTTGGGAGGCCAAGGCGGGCGGATCACCTAAGGTCAGGAGTGGTGGCGTGCACCTGTCATCCCAGCTACTCGGGAGGCTGAGGCAGAAGAATCACTTGAACCTGGGAGGCAGAGGTTGCAGTGAGCCGAGATTGGGCCATTGCACTCCCACCTGGGCAACCAACAAGAGCGAAACTCCGTCTCAAATAAATAAATAAAAATTAAAAAAATAAAAATTAAAAGTAAAACTAGGTCTAATTATGCCAATTTGAGAACTGCCTTTCTCTTTGCCTGGTGATTTAGTTTGTAATTAAAAAAAAATAAAGTCCCCATCAGCTCACAGGAACACATATTAAGGAGGCTTTGGGCTACATACCCAAGAATTTTGTAATTCACTCAGTAACTATCAAGTTTCAAGGGAAATATTTGAAATTCCACTATTAAGAATAAAATGAGAGAAAATGTGCCCCAATAATATACCATTAACATAAGTGCTTTTTCACATGTAAGGGAAAAATGACTACTCATTTGAATGAAAATCTGTTTCAAATTTTTCTGTAATGCCAGATAAACTACTAAATTGCTATGTATGCATAATCAAATTAGCTGTCAGAAGTCAAGAGTAAATGAAAAATGTCTAGATAAAGGGTAATCAAAGCTGCTTCCTGGTGAACATGTCTAGAGTACATGTAAGAAAATCTAGGCTGGGCGAGGTGGCTCATGCCTGTAATCCCAGCACTTTGGGAGGCTGAGGTGGGCGGATCATTTGAGGTCAGGAGTTCGAGACCAGCTTGGCCAACATGGTGAAACCCCTTCTCTACTAAAAATACAAAAATTAGCTGGGCATGGTGGTGGGTTCCTGTAATCCCAGCTACGTGGGAGGCTGAGGCAGGAGAATTGCTTGAACCTGGGAGGCGGAGATTGCAGTGAGCTGAGATCGCGCCACTGCGCTCCAGCCTGGGCAATAGAGCAAGACTCGGTCTCAAAATAAATAAATAAAATTAATAAATAAAAATACAAAAATTAGCCAGGCGTGGTGGCGCACACTTGTAATCCCAGCTACTCCAGAGGCTGAGGCATGAGAGACGCTTGAACCTGGAAGTGGAGGTTGCAGTGAGCCAAGATCACATTATTGCACTCCAGCCTGGGCGACAGGGCGAGACTGTCTCAAAAAAAAAGAAAGGAAAAGAAAATCTAATAAACTAAACGAAAAAAATAAAGTCAACTGGCATTTTTTTTTTTTTTTTTGAAACAGGGTCTTGCTCTGTCACCCAGGCTGGAGTGCAATGGCACAATCTGGCTCTCCTGGGCTCAAGTGATCCTCCTGGCTTAGCCTCCCAAGTAGCTGGGACCATAGGTCTGCGCCACCTCACCCAGCTAATTTCTGTATTTTTTGTAGAATGGGGTTTTGCCATGTTGCCTATGCTATTCTTGAACTGTGAACTCAAGCAATCCATTCACCTTGGCTTCCCAAAGTGCTGGGATTACAGGTGTTAGCCACCATGCCCAGCTGGCATTTAATTTTTTAAGAGTACTTTGCTTATCAAATTCTTGTTCTTATAACTTATTACTTGTTTCAATAATCTAAAAAAAAAAATAGGTCAATAAACCTTCTCTTGGCCAGGCATAGTGGGTCACACCTGTAATTCCATCACTTTGGGAGGCTGAGGCAGGTGGATCACTTCAGGTCAGGAGTTCGAGACCAGCTTGGCCAACACGGTGAAACCCTGTCTCTATTAAAAATACAAAAATTAGCTGGGTGTGGTGGCGGGCACCTGTAATCCCAGCTACTCAGCTACTCACGAGGCTGAGGCAGGAGAATCGCTTGAACCTGGGAGGTGGAGGTTGCAGTGAGGTGAGATTGCACTCCAGCCTGGGTGACACAGCGAGACTCCCGTCTCAAAAAAAAACAACAACAAAAAAAAACAGGAACAAATTTCTTTGTGAGCCTTTAATGATACAGGTACTGTCAACAGCAAGTATGATTTCCTTAAATACTAATAATACTGCAGACACCTCCCTGAGATACAGTAATACCTATTTACAGTTCAGCTCTTTTACATACCTTTTATTAAAACAAACAAAAAACAACCCAAACCCTGAAAGTACATCACAAAGTTATTTAAACAGCCCCCAAAAATAAGGTGCATGTGTTCAGGCATTTTGCTCTCAAGTCTTCACTCTGGGCCTATTTATTTGCTTATACATAATTATAACAAACCTGGTTTTCCAAATCCACGAGATGAAAAGCAACTATTAGCAGAAGCTGCTATAGACAAAGCATACTGATAGTAGCAAAACATAATATCTGACAGTTTACAAGTATGAAAGTCAAAAGGAGGCTCATGCTTGTAATCCCAGCACTTTGGGAGGCCAAGGTGGGCGGATCATGAGGTCAGGAGATGGAGACCATCCTGGCTAACACGGTGAAACCCCACCTCTACTAAAAATACAAAAAGTTAGCCGGGCGTGGTGGCGGACACCTGTAGTCCCAGCTACTCGGGAGACTGAGGCAGGAGAATGGCGTGAACCCAGAAGGTGGAGCTTGCAGCGAGCCAATATCGCGTCACTGCACTCCAGCCTGGGTGACAGAGGAAGACTCCATCTCCAAAAAAAAAAAAAAGTCAGAAGGAACGCTATTAAAAAGGCTTAAAAAGCCAAATTCGATCTCTCTGAGGTTTACTTAAGACCACTCATATACTTCGTGAGATCCTCAAGTCAGTATGCTAATACATTATATAATTAAAATTAATAAATGATGATCTTGAGTCTTTCATACAGTTCATTGTTTAAGTATTACATTTTAATATTAGCCTATACTTCTGGACAACACCTCCTGGTTTGCTTGGGATTGGCCTATCTCAAGCCTGTTGTCTTGGCATAATTAATAGCTCTCCCTTTCATTTTCAAAAAGTGTTCTGGTTTGGCCTGTAAATCTTATAGGATCATCCTACTGAGCCCTTATTATGTGCTAGGAACTATTCCAAGTGCTTTCAGTTATGCTCACAATCCTATGAGACGGAGTACAATCATCCCCATTTTATAGATGTAGTAACTAAGCTTCCAAGAGGTTATACGATTTGTCTAAGACTATCCAGTTACTAAGTGTTAAAGGGCTCTATGTAAACAACCAAGCAATCTAATGCCAAAGTCCTAGGACTTACCCACTATAACATAAAGTACTATCTCTTCTTAGAAAGATGGGTAGGGGAGGGATATATCCAAGTTTCTGGAAAAGGATTAAGAGACACCAGCTTTCTGTGTCTATACAATCCTCGTTTGGCACAGATTCCATAAGTTTACAATACTGAAATATTTCAGAACATCTTTGAAATATACAACTTTTTAGATTTTTATGAGCATGAGCTTTTTTAGAAAACAATCTTAGGATTGTTTTTCAAATATTCTTGAAAGATGCTACTTTAAAAATATACTAAATAGGGCCAGTGCAGTGGCTCAAGCCCATAATCCCAGCAGTTTGGGAAGCCAAGGTGGGCGGATCTCCTAAGGTCAGGAGTTCAAGACCAGCCTAGCCAACATGTTGAAACCCCATCTCTATATACACACTAAATAGGCTCAGCCCAGTGGTTCACACCTATAATCCCAGTGCTTTGGGAAGTTGAGATGGGTGGATTGCTTAAGGCCAGGAATTCAAGACTAGCCTAGACAACACAGTGAGACCCCGTCTCAACAATTTTTTTTTTTTTAAATTAGCTGGGCAGGCCGGGCATGGTGGCTCATGCCTGTAATCCCAGCACTTTGGGAGGCTGAGGCAGGCAGATCACCTGAGGTCAGGAGTTTGAGACCAGCCTGGCCAACATGGTGAAATCCCATCTGTATTAAAAATACAAAAATTAGCCAGGTGTGGTGGCATATGCCTGTAGTCCCAGCTATTCGGGAGGCTGAGGCAGGAGAATTGCTTGAACCCAGGAGGCAGAGGTTGCAGTGAGCCGAGATCACACCACCGCCCTCCAGCGTGGGTGATACAGTGAGACTTTGTCTCAAAAAAAAAAAAAAAAAAAAAATTAGCTGGGCATGGTGGTGTATGTCTATAATCCCAGCTGCTCAGGAGCTTGAGGTGGGAGGATCACTTGAGCCCAGGAGTTCAAGGTTATATTGAGCTATGATTGTGCCACTGCACAGCAGCCTGGGCAATAGAGTGAAACCCTGTCCAAAAAAGAAGAAAAAAATGTGTGTGTATGTGTGTATATATACATATATATATACATATATATATGTACACACACGGAAGTTACAAAAATAGAGGTTCAATGATCTGTAATACATCTTTTAACAAAAACATTTAATATTTATCTACTTACATACAGTAATTAAGAATGAATAGTTTAAACAGATTATTGCATTTACATAGCATTTTCCTGTTTTCAAAAACCATTTCCATATTTAGTACTCAGGAAACATGGTAAACAGATATTACCGTTCCCATACTATGGGTTAAAAAACTGAGATTTAGAGATTTAATTTGCCAAATTGCATTATGAGAGGAAATTTAAGTGGAGGGATGATTCCTCTACTTCTACATGGAAATAAAGCAATTAGTTGGATGTTCCAGAGCAAAAGAAAAGCCTCAGACTTCTTTATGGGCTGAAAGGAGACAGAACATCCATAAACTCATGCTGTCTTCAAAAGCAGTATTTGAGCTTTTGAAGTGGTGGCTCATGCATGCAATCCTAGCACTTTTGGGAGGCGGAGGTCAGAGGACAGCTTGAGCCCAGGAGTTGGAGATCAGCCTAGGCAACATGGCCAAACTCAGTCTCTACAAAAGAGATACAAAAAAAAAAAAAAAAAAAATTAGGCATGGTGGTGCATGCCTGTAGTCCCAGCTACTTGGGAGGCTGAGGTGGGAGGATCATCTGAGCTGGGAAGGTTGAGTTTGAAGTGAGCTGAAATTTTGACACTGCACTCCAGCCTGGGCAACAGAGTGAGACCCTGTCTCAAAAAAAAAAAAAAAAAAAGGCAACATTTACTGGGACCTGCCTGCCCACCTCTAGTAGCTTTAATACTATTCATAAAAAAATGAACATTCACGTTGTTTTGCATCTCCACCTACTATTAAATGTGCAAGCAAAAACAGGACCTATGAAGAGCAAAATGAGACTGTTTTTTCTGAGTGGCAAACCTAAGAGTCTTCTCAACCTCTTGATGATTTACCATTGTTGAGATTATTCCTTAACAAGAAAACACTTTTAAAAGAATTTCCTCCCAAAGCTTATTTGCCAGATTCCATAAATTAGCTGCTACAAATGTTCTGTATCAGAGAAACTCAAACCCAGTAAGAGGCTTCTCTTCCAATGTACGAAAAAGGCACATTTCAATACACAATGCTGGCCACACTATTTTAGATAATGATGGAAAACAACAGCTGATAGCCAGTTTGGGACACATGCCAACTGTTCCCATTTGTCTGAAAATGCTAAAATTAATTGCTGTAACACTCAGTTTTTAAAGAAAATTGTTATTGATAAATGAGAAAGTATTACCAACTAAAATCCTGAAAAACAGAATAAAGATAATGATGCCTCTTTGATCTGAAATACCAGTTTTTAAACTTTTAATGTTCTGAAGTATAAGTAAACACATCTCAACAGCTTTACATATTTTCATATATTTTATTTTTTAAACTCTCATAACTTTGCAAGCTAGCAGTAAAATATTGCCTTCAATATTTTACTAATTAGCACCGTATACCTTTTAAAGCTAACTGGAACATTGATTCATTATAAATGATTGTAAAATAAAATGATCATTTCAAATGCCAAATTAATCTCAAATAACAAGTGAACTATTATTAATTTTATCTCTTTTTTTGGCTCTACGCACAAAGATGTATTTCAAAGATGAACTTAATTATATTAGTATCAGTTTTGTCAATCTAGCAAATCAAAGTATCACAGTTTAAAGCAATATTTAATCTCTGAAATTACTAGAGGCATACAAGAAAGTTAAGGAATCAGCTACAAAAACAAAAGATACTACATAACTGATTTATAGTCCCTTATTTTTTAAAAGAATGAGGAAATAACTCAATGAAAAATTCCATGGTGCCAAGTATCAGTTACACATATGGTTAAGTATACGTCAGTATTCTCTGTTTTGCTTATCAGAGTTTGGCCTTACCAAAAACCATCGAAATGTCCAGGATAACTCACAGGGACAGCTGGAAGCCTGAAATAAAATTGCTCAGTGCAAAAAGATCCCAAACCATTCATATAATTTTAAATGGAAGCCTAGACATTTAATCCCTATTTTTAATGTTCACATCTGAAAAATCTTTCAAAAATATGGAAAAAATCTAATTATACTAAAATTACTTCCACACATTCAAAAAAAATTTTTAAGGGATATTTTCTTTCCTGTTTTCTGCTAAAAGCATTCCTCTGAGCTATGGGGTTAAGTTCTGAGCCACGACTGACTGCTTACTAGCATGCCTGTTTTGCATACCAGTAGAATCAAGTCCAGTTTTGCCATTTGTGGATAACTATGACAAGATACAAAAGCATGTGTTTGCCATAAATAGCCCTGGCTAACAGCAAACCGCTCACACTGAGCAGATCAAATTCTCTATAAGGAGCACAGTCTGGACCATAGCCAAATCCCACTACTAATGTTTAAGACTGCTATTATCAATTCCTATTCCAATTCAATTTGCAAAATATATTCAGAAATAGTAGGTGAAATGACTGTTCCGAAACATCAGAAGTATCATTAAACTTTTAAAGGACATTTTACAAATTATTTTCATTACGACCAAATAAGCAATAAGAGCTTCCTGCTTCTACTATACAACTACTTAGAAATGTAAATGTGAATAAAAAAATAACTATGCTAATTTATCCAGAGAACAAATCAGATATTGAAAAGTATTTATGCCAAAGTGCAAAAAATAATTTCTGATCTTCATATTAACACATAGGAAATAAATACACTAATGTTTATAAAAGTACCATTCTTTAACAATGGTATTTTATATTAGTTGGCCTTAAGATAGAATACTTTTTAAACCAAATAGATCCAACAAATCTGGAAAATATCACACATGAATGCTGTACAAAAAAAATTCTCAAATGACCAGTGCAGAGATTAGTAATAGCTGTTTTTACCCTAGAAGTTGTTTCACATAACATTTTGCAAAATTTCCAAGGAAAACAAGGCAACGTTCTGTAATATGCCACAATTTTTATTGCAACGTGGCCATTTTTGTGAGGGTGGGGAGTTTGATCTCAAAACAATGTTCCATTTAAGGCTCTTTTATACAGAAATTGCCATCATGACTGATATTCAAAATATCTTTAGTGTTGCAGGACTCACATGGTAAACATAAAACTCCTACACTTATTCAGTAGTGTACACTCAATGGAAAACAAAAAGGCATTAATAACAGCTATTTCTTTTAAGAAGATATGCAGGTAACAGGAATGAACACTGAGGTACTAGGATAAGTTGATGACACAGTTAACAAAACTTAATTGGCATTCCTTTTAGGATATTAAACTTATTACAAAAAGTGCTTTTAATGCATAGTGTTATATCCGTGCTGCCATATCACTAAAATAGGCTTGCCAAGGCAGGTGAGGTGTATGAATGCTCAAGCCTCACAGAACTGCAATCAAGTGCCAACTATAAATAATACTGAAAAAAGTTGACCATCTGACCAGTGGATAATACTTTCAAGGCATTCAATTAGCTTATCCTTTGCAGTATTCTAAGCTATTCACATTGACGATCACATACATTGTAGTGCTTGCTGCAAGGGAGGCATATAACCAGTTGTTTTGGCTAAAATATGACAGGAAGGCATTCCTTGGGTTCTATATAAAAGTAACAGTATTCAACAGTCTAATGGCAATCACTGATAGGCTGCTTAAATAAATGATATTTCCTTCATTCATTGTGTTGGAAGGGCCCAGTGGAAAGGGGGAAATACAACAAAAAACCAAAACCTAATACTATTCCAATGGACTGAGCTGGAGAAATGGAAGCTCCTTAAGATCCAGATGGCACTTGACTGTCATTTTATAATGGTTTTCCTTCAAGTGAAACTACTACATTGCCTCCCAATTTCTCTCCAAGTGTCGAACGGTCCTTAATATCATCCAAGCCATTTACTTGCCACTCATGTTTAATACCTAAAAAGAAAAAACATTATCCTATTACTTTATTATAATTAATAAAGAATAATTTCTCTGCCCCAAATATTCAAGTTTGTACCTGTAAATTTCTTTTTAATGGCATCTTTAGAGCTAGCATAAATCATCTTGCTTTTTAAAGGTGCACTTTCAGGAGCCCTACAGAAAAAAAAAAAATTATTGAATCCCATTTATAAGAAAAACAAAGGTAAGACTGACTATGATAATAATAATCCTTGCATTTTAAAAGTACTTTTTTCTTTTGTTTTTACACACCAGAATATAAATACTAGGTCTTCTTTCTTAGACTCTTTTGTTTCGTATGTGGCATCGTACAAAGCATATCGGCAATCATTCAGAGGTAGCAACTTCACAAAAGATGTGTAGGGGTCCTCTACAGTATCACCAATGTCACCCACCAAGATCTGCTTTGCTTCCTCTACAATTATTTGTCTTTTGTCATCGCTTAAACAGAAGAGAACTGCTTTCTTTCTCTTTTTGATCTCCTCTTGTGTAGAAGATTTCCTTACTTTCATATCATTAAAAACTTTGATGACTTCATCATTCACTGTAACTCCAGAAGCCTGAAAATAAACACAGAACAGTAATTCAGAACACGTATTTTGGTTTTAACCAAAATTACTGTTTGCCTAGAGAAGACTCACTTTAGTCTGGACATCAAAAATTGCACCGTACCATGTAAGTCGTCCAATCAGATTTGTCACATTTTAAGAATCAGTAGACGATACAGCGAAGGAGTCTAACTCATCCTGCCCATTCATCCTTCTTAAAGGGGTTTGGACGTGGAAGCGAAAGGGACAAATACAAGTTGTCCCATCCCTGAAATGTTTCCTATTTCACTGGGTGATGTCAGAGCTTCAGGAGTGGCAGCAAAAATACCTTCTGTATTGTGTCAACTCGGCTGGCCTTAAAAAAACACTTTTGGATTTCAGTTAATGCTTCTACTATTTTTTTCTTTAAAGTCATCCTAGCCACTGACGTTTCCTCATAAGGAAAGAGAATCAAGTGTAAACTCCAAACCGCCCACGGCCCACACACAGCTCACATGCAGACACTCCAAAACTAACTGATCGAGTGTAAAAGCTTTTACGGCGAGAAAGCATTTTAAAAAGTGTTTTCCCTCTTCCTTAATCTCCCCGTAAGGGTTTTATTACAGGCCGTCCAGACCCTGACCCACACAGCGTTCGCAGCACGTACCAATTTTAAAGCCTCGCGTGTTAAGTAAAATTAGGAAGCGAAGGGCAAAGGCGGCGCGAGCGGCTGCAGTCCGCAGACCCTCTCGCGCCCCCGCCCGCCCGGCCCCGACCCCCAACCTGCGCCGACGCCCGGGCCCTCCCCGCCCCCCAAAATCCAAAGAGCAGCAGGGCAGGGCCTGACGGCCGGAGGGCAGGCCGGTCGGCTGGAGAGCAGCGGAGCCGCAGAGCAGAAGCGCCCACCTTGGAGGCCAAAATCAGGTTAAAATGGCGGCCTCACTCCCGGGGCCGTGCGGGGGGCTTTTCTCGCCTCGCCGCGGCCTCCCGGCCAGCGCGCTCGTCTTACCATAGTGCCCTCGGCTGTGGCTGCGGCGGCAGCTCGGGCTTCGGCTCTGTGGCACTGGGAGGAGAAGGAGGGGCGGGCGAGCGGGTGGGCAGCGGAGAGTGCGGGGCACGCCGGGAGCTGCAGCCCGAGGGAGGTGGCGGGGCTCGGCGGGCCGCAGGCAGCGGGCGGGGCGGTCACGTGGGCACGCCTGGTCCCCAGCCGGCGCCACCCGCTCCCAGGCCGGCCCTTCTGTCTCGCGGCCCCGGCTCCCCGGCTGTCCGCGTCCTCGGCCTGACCTCAGAGCGCGAGCCCTGCAGGCCGGGGGGGGCGACGCGGTGGTAGCGGAGCCCGGGAGCCTGGCAGAGCCGCCTCCAGCCCCCGAGCATCACCCGTCAAGCCGGTGGGAGAGAGTGCTGGGCTCCCAGAGGGGCGTTTCCACCGCCTCCGTAGGGCCCTGCGCCAGGGGTGGGTGCGTGTGAGGGGAACTCCTGCGAAGGTGTCTTTCCTTATTTACCTGTGGTTTTCCCGAAAGAGGCTGGATTTCGACATTTTGAGTCTTTTTGGAAAACCCCCAGTTGTTTAGAGATAAATGAGAATAAATACTACACGAGATTGCTCCAGTTGATAGTACTTAGCAAAAACAAAATGATACGCAGTGTTGGTAAATCACTTTTCAAAACTCTGGTTGAAATAATAATTATGATTAAAAAATTACGTGGTAGCATTCCTTAGTAATATCCTTTTACATTTTAGACTTCATAGGAAATGGATTGTACTCTCTCTTAGAGATTTCATGAAGCTCCAGCTATGACAGCTGATATCAAATAAGCCGACGCAGCCTCTTCTAGCAAAGCCCATATAACTGCGCCAAGGCAGTTTCTCTTTTTTTAATCTTAACTCCTCCATACCTCAGGGTTCTTCATGTGTAAAACAAACTGTTATTAAATTATCGTTAAGGCCCTTTCCAGCTTTAGATTTCAGTTTCTGAGTATATCAATGTTCAGTAGGAAATGGTGTGTTTTTGGTGGTCTCAGGATTGAGGTTAGGCAGGAAAGTCATGAGATGGTGTTTGCCCTAGATTGCGTGATAAGTTCTTTCAGCCCAAATTTACTGTATTTTAAATGGAACATGCTAGGCATTGAAACAGACCTATTTTTCTGTCTATATCTTGGGTTTGTTTTCTTAATTGGAAGATAGACTTCGTTTAGAGACAAAAATTGAGAAGGGATTTCCCAATGTCTAAGCATGAATCCCAAGCAAGTGGATAATACTTTATATCTAGCTGGTACATTACAATTTATGGAACCTTTCACTTTATCTGTTGAACTTCCAAGAAGTCATGGAGAATGTCTCTCCAGAGCTCTGATCATCTGCTATGTGTAGGTATTAGCAAATTCCTGTTCGCTTCATCTTGCGGTTACCTTCCCTTCCCAACCTCAGAGATTTGCAGCAGCCCCAGCAGAGACCAGGTCTGATGACACTGGGGCCTAAAGTGGGTGTCAGAACCTTACCCACCAAAGCTGGGGATTCCAAAGATGCTAGTCACCCCCTAGCTCGGACTCCAACCCCTTTCCATGCCTCCCATTCTCTCTTACCCTCCCCAAACAGAGATGGTAATTCACATGTTCTAAGATTCTTTTCCTGAAGTTATTTTTGTCTTGCATATATTTTGTTACATTATAATAACTTGTTTATGTCTTCTGCCACCCTACTGCGCTGTAAGCTCCTTAAGGATCTGAGTCCTGGTTATCTTTGAATTTCTGGAACCTGACAGATAGTAGGTGCTTAATAGGTGCTGAAATAATACATTTAAGATGCTTTAGTGCTGTAAAGAGAATGAAAAGGAAGCTTCTGAAAATTGTGAAGCCTTTCTACATGCCCTTGTGAGCATGGCACTGAGAATGTCAGGGCCAGTAGCAGCTTCCTGCCTTCACCTCTGTGAGTTATAACCAGAACTTACCACCACTTGGTAAAGGGGCAGCATTGCCAATCATTGCTGCATGAATTTTGGTCACTGTGTAGTGGAGGGGGATCTGAGTGTCAGATACCACATGTATTAGCGTTCGACTGTTGCTATAACAAATTACCATAAAATTACTTGTTTAAAACAACACAAATTTATTATTTATGGTCTTACAGAGTCAGAGAAACAAGTCTCTCTCTCTATATATATATATTTAAGAGATAGTCTCTGGTTCTGTTGCCCACCCAGGTTGCTGGAGTGCAGGATGTGATCATAGCTCACTGCAGCCTCATACTCCTGGCCTCAAGTGAGCCTCCTGCCTCAGCCTCCCGAGTAGTTGGGATTACAGGCATGAACCACCACAACTAGCAGAAATAAGCCTGATGGGGCTAAAGTCAAGAGACTGTAGTGGGAGACTCCTTTGCCTTTTCCAACATCTAGAGGCTGCCCATCATTTTTTTTTTTTTTTTTTGAGATGGAGTCTCACTCTGTCACCCAGGCTGGAGTGCAGTGGTGCTATCTCGGCTCACTGCAAACTCCGCCTCCTGGGTTCACACCATTCTCCTGCCTTAGCCTCCTGAGTAGCTGGGACTACAGGCACCCGCCACCATGCCCGGCTAATTTTTTGTATTTTTAGTAGAGATGGGGTTTCACCGTGTTAGCGAGGATGGTCTTGATCTCCTGACCTTGTGATCCGCCCACCTTGGCCTCCCAAAGTGCTGGGATTACAGGTGCGAGCCACCACACTCGACCTGCCCATCATCTTTGGCCTGTGGCCCCAGGCAGCAGTCGCATCACTCTGACCTCTGCCTCAGTCATCACATTTCCTCTGACTCTCTCTCTCCTGCCTCCGTCTTCCACTTATAAGGACCATTATGGTTACTTTGGACCCCACTTGGTAGTTTAGGATAATTCCCCCTCTCAAGATCCTTAACTTAATCACATCTGCAAAGTCTGTTTTTTCGTACAAGTTAACATTCAAAGACTTTGGAGGTTAGGACAGGAACACCTTTGTGAGGAGGGGTTGCATTATTCTGCCTACCATACAACTGTTCTGAGCAATTTCAAGCTCAAGCAAACAATTAATAGGTGTGACAGAGGGACCCCGAACAATGTGGTACTAGATACTTTTGTGCTGTAAACATCTAAGCTATAATTATCCATTTACTAGACCACACATAGATGGCAGTGACAACTATTAGGAACTTAGTGAGAGTAACCTCTGAATGTAATCTCAGCTCAGACACTAGTAGCGGTGCAATTTCAGGCCATTGATTTAGCTGCCATAAGGCTCAGTTTCCAAATCATGTGTAAAATAGGGATTATATGACCTCTTCCCTCTCAGGATTATGGGGAGGATCAAGAGAGATAATGTATGTAAAGCCCTTGTCCAGCACAGAAATAGGAACCCTGGAGCTGTTATTACCACCAGCAGAGTGAAGATGAAGGCACTGATTTTATCAACTCATAGGCAATAGCGTGAAGCCGTCCCAATCCTCATTGATTCTGAAGACTCAGCTAAAGTTTGTTTACTCAGGATTCTTTAAAAAATTGGAAAGGTGATCATCCCTTAATATATATAATCTATTCCCCCAAGAAACAATCTATTATGTATATATTTACTTACTCACTTACAGAGATGGGGGTCTTACTATGTTGCCCAGGCTGGTCTCAACTTCTGGGCTCAAGCAGTCCTCCCGCCTTGGCCTCCTAAAGTGCTGGAATTACAGGCATGAGCCACCACACCTGAGAAACAATGTGGATGGAGGTTCTGTGGCATGTAAAAGTTTGAAAGAACTATCTAAAACAGTGAATCTGGAAGATTATGCAGACAAACTGTGTGTAAGCCCTACTCCCTGTCAAGAGACATCACATTCTCAGCTCCCACAGCCACTTCCTGACAAAGACAAATGTAAGCATAAAGACACTACCACTTCAAAATGTACCTTTCTACCGACATGCCTTCCTAACTCTGACATATCCTTCCTAACCCACGCCTGAGCTAAAGGACTGATGAGGGGCCGGGCGCAGTGGCTCACGCCTGTAATCCCAGCACTTTGGGAGGCTGAGGCGGGCGGATCATGAGGTCAGGAGATCGAGACCATCCTGGCTAACACGGTGAAACCCCGTCTCTACTAAAAATACAAAAAGTTAGCCGGGCGTGGTGGCGGGCGCCTGTAGTCCCAGCTACTCAGGAGGCTGAGGCAGGAGAATGGCGTGAACCCGGGAGGTGGAGCTTGCAGTGAGCCGAGATTGCACCACTGCACTCCAGCCTGGGCGACAAGTGAGACTCATCTCAAAAAAAAAAAAAAAAAAGACTGATGAGGAGTCAAGTCGTATATTTTTCTAAATCCAAGTTTGAATTTAGAACTAGAAAATAAATACAGTAGGAGGTGTTTTTTTGGAGTCTGATCTCTGTGACTCACTCTCATCCACAAACTCACTTTGGGTCTTACATATGCCATCTCTGGTTCTTTCTAATTTAGGAGAATGACCTCACAATAAAGGAATTTATCAGTAATCTGTGTCACATGAAGTGGTAATGAAGAGGTAGCAGTATTGAAATGCAATAATTAGTGAAATGTAGTTCAAAATGGTCTCAAACTATAATTACCAACTTCAATGGTGTAAAACATACCAGCTTCAACTTATTAACTCAGACACAATTTATCAGATTCACCCGCCAGTTATTTGTAAAACCTCAATCACAATGTTAATTAATAATGCATTGATAGTAATTGAATTGTGATAGTAAATAGCAACTGGTTACCTAAATTATACAAACCATATAAAACGTCATCTGAGAAAAGAAACTTGCTAGTAATTTATTAAACACTCCTTTGTTTAACTTACTTTATTACAAAAGCAGTAGATTTTGGCCGGGCGTGATGGCTCATGCCTGTTATCCTAGCACTTTGGGAGACCAAGGTGGGTGGATTGCTTGAGCTCAGGAGTTCAAGACCAGCCTGGGCAACACGGTGAGACCCCATCTCTACAAAAAATAAAAAAAATCAGGCGGGTGTAGTGGCACATGCCTATAGTTCCAGCTACTTGGGAGGGCTGAGGCAGGAGGATGGCTTGAACCCAGGAGGTGGAGGCTACAGTGAGCTGAGACTGAGCCACTGCACTCCAGCCTGGGCGACAGAGTGAGACTTTCTTAAAAAAACAAAACAAAACAAAACACAGTAGATTTTATTTTTGTTTTTATTTTTTAAATTTACTTATTTATTTATTTGAGACAGGGTCTCACCATCATCCAGGCTGGAGTGCAGTGGCACGATCATGGCTCACTGCAGGCTTGACCTCCCTGGGCTTAGGTGATGCTCCCACCTCAGTCTCCTGAGTAGCTGGGACTACAGGCATGTGCTACTACGCCCAGCTAATTTTCATATTTTTTGTAGAGATGAAGTCTCCCTATGTTGCCTAGGCTGGTCTTGAACTCCTGGGCTCAACAGATCCTCCTGCCTCAGCCTCCCCAAGTGCTTGGATTACAGGCATGAGCCACTACACCTAGCCAAAAGCTGTAGATTTTAAAACCATAGGCTAATCATACAGACATGAAAAATGTAACATATAAAAACTATATGTTAAGAGACATGAATAAGAGTTGGAGAGAGATCATAAAATGAATACATGCATGGAGAGTTTATTCATTCCATCCATTAATTCCTTTATTTCATTTATTGAGCACCTCTGCTGGGTGTTGGGAATGCAAAGATAAACATAACATAGTCCCTGCCTTGAAGAAAGTCAGTCCTGTGGGAGCACAGCAAGGAAGCTGACCTTTATGAAACAATCCCATGCATGCTACAATGGCATATACACAGGATGTCTTGTGAGCACCAAAGAGGGCCACCAGTGCAGTATGGAGTGAGTTGGGTCTTAAGGAACAAGTGGGCATTTACTAGGCAGATGAAGGAAGGGTACTCAAAGCAAAGAGAACCAAATGTACAAAGCTACAGTGCACGAGTGATGTACAAAGCTACAGTGCATGAGTGAAGCAGAAGAAACCCCAAGTAGTTTGTTGGAGCCTCTGGGTTTGGAGGGAATAACGGAGTGGTAGGAAGCATCAGATCTTATGAGCTTTATAGACAATCTCACAGTCAGAACTTTATTCTGCAGATGATGAAGGAGACATAATTTTTCAAATGTTTTTAAAATAATAGGTATATTGAGATATTCACAGACCAAGAAATTTGCCCTTTTAAGTGTACCATTCCATGTTTTTCAGTATATTTAGTTGTGCAACCATCACAACTATCTAATTTTGAACCTTTTTATCACCCCCAAAAAGAAAACCCCATACCTATTAGCAGTCACTTTACATTCTGTCTTCTTCTGAGCTTCTGGCAACCATTAGTCTACTATCTTTGCAGATTTCCCTGTTCTGGACATTTTATATGAGTGGAATTTTGTAATATGTGATCTTTGTGAGTGGCTTCTCTGACTTAGCCTAATGTTTTCAAGGTTTGTCCAGTTTGTAGTATGTATCACTACTTCATTTTTATAATCAAATCACATTCTGTTGCCTAGAAATACCGCACTTCCTTTATCTGTTCATCAGTTGATGGGCATTTCAGTTTTTTGTACTTTTTGGCTATTATGAATAATGCTGCCATGAACATTCATGTACAAATTTTTGTGTGAACATATATTTTCATTTCTTTTGGGTATATACCTGCTGGGTCATATGGTAACTTTATGTTTAACATTTTGGAGAGGTCTCAAACTGTTTTCCAAAGTGGCTGCCCCATTTTATAATCCCATTCATACATTTTATAATCCCATTCATACGTTTTATAATCCCAATGTATGAGGATTTCAATTTCTCCACATCCTTGACAACACTTGTTATTGTCTGTCTTTTTTATTTTAGCCGTCCTAATGGCTGTGAAGTGGTATCTCATGGTGGTTTTGATTTGCATTTCCCTGATGTCTAATGATGCTGAGCATCTTTTCATGTGCTTCTTGTATCTTCTTTGGAGAAATTCCTCTTTGCTCCATTTCTAAATTGAGTTATTTGTCTTTTTATTCATTTGTAAGAGTTCATCATATATGCTGGATACAAGTCCCTTACTGGATATATAATTTGCAAAAAATTTTTCCATTTTGTGGGCTGTCTTTTCACTTTCTTAATGGTGTCCTTTGAAACTAAAAAGTTTTAAATTTTGATGGAGTTTATCTAATTTTTCTTCTGTTGCTTGTGCTTTTGGTGTTACATCAAAGAAATCATTGCCTAATCTAAGGTTATAAAAATTTACTCACATATTAAGAGTTTTATAGTTTTAAGTCTATAGTCTATTTTGCATTAATTTTTTAATATGGTCAGGTAGTGGGCCAACTTCATTCTTTTGCATATGGTCCAGTTGTTCTAGCACCATTTATTGAAAAGACTGTTTTTTATCTAATTTTTTTTTTTTTTTTTTAAGAAGGAGTCTCACTCTGTTGCCCAGGTTGGAGTGCAGTGGTGGGATCTCGGCTCACTGCAACCTCTACCACCTGGGTTCAAGTGATTCTCCTGCGTCAGCCTCCCGAGTAGCTGGGACTACAGGCACGTGCCACCGCATCCAGCTAATTTTTATATTTTTAGTATTTTTAGTTGAGATGGGGTTTCACCATGTTGGCCAGGCTGGTCTCGAACTCCTGGCCTCAAGTGATCCACGCACCTCGGCCCCCTTTAGTGTTGGGATTACAAGCATGAGTCACTGCGCCTGGCCTCTAATTTGTTTTTTAAAATGTCATTATAAGTATGCTAGCAATCACATTCTAAGATGTCATCAATTTTTAGATTTATAATTGCTTACTGATGAACTGAAGTGCTAACAAGAAAGGAATTTCTCTTGTATTTCACAACTGGATTACTTGTGCATCTGAAGATTAACTTATTAATGAATGTCAATAGAAACATATTTTAATTAATTTATTTTGTTTTTTTTTTTGGAGATGGAGTCTCGCACTGTTGCTCAGGCTGGAGTGCAGCGGCATGATCTTGGCTCACTCCAACCTCTGTCTCCTGGGTTCAAGCGATTCTCCTGGCACAACCTCCCAAGAAGCTGGGATTATAGGTGCATACCACCACTCCCAGCTGATATTTTGGATTTTTAGTAGAGACGGGGTTTCACTATGTTGGCCAGGCTGGTCTTGAACTGCGGACCTCAGGTGATCCACCCGCCTCGGCCTCCCAAAGTGCTGGGATTACAGGCAGGAGCCACTGCGCCTGGCCAGAAACATATGTTTTTAAACCACTTGAGTTTCTACTATGTGCCAAGGACTGTGCTAGACACTGGGTGTAAGATGATGTAGAAAACAGACATGGTCCCTGCCTTCGTGGAGCCTGTAGGCTAGTGAGAGAATAACAAGGGTCCCTGATATAAACTAGGAGAAATAAAGAAGGCTTCTCCAGTTGAAAAGTCCTCCACATGAAGGCAAAGCATGAAAAAAAGACTAAGAAGGAGCTTGGCTCTTTTGGGAAAATAAAAGGCCAGTAGAACTGTAGTGTAGTGAGCAGGGAGAACAGTGGCAGATAAGGCTGAAGAAACGGTCAGGGGCCAGTTAATACAAGGCCATATAAACCATGTCCCGAACTGTGTTTTGAGGCTCCCTGGGGTGCACCAGCAAACTCACCAGGATGCCTTGGATATTTTTAAAATTTGAGGGAAACACAGCGACATCTGTCGAACATCACAGGAACTACTACCTCGAGCTATTTTCCACTTTAAATCCAGCTACGTTCCTTTGGATGTGTTTTTCCCTCCTTGCTGTGATAAAAAGCAAGACCTAAGGGAAAATCGGTGTGGAGCACGAGATGTGGATGGCTGTGCCCAATACAGTTCTAAGGTTTGAAAAGTTATGCAGTGCCCAGTAGATGCTAAGTTGTTAGGACATGAATATTTATTGTTTGGATCTAACTACTTATTAGACCAAAATGTTAGTTATTTCTTTTGGCCTGAGTGGAACTTGAAAAAAACTGCTGAGACATTAAGGCCACCTTGAGCCAAGAAAATGTGGGAGTCTTTACTGTTAAGGATTTTGGGGTTTTGTTCCAAGGGTTACAGGACGTTCTGGAAAGGTATATATGTATGTATGTTTTATTTATTTGACAGGGTCTCACTCTGTCACCCAGGCTGGAGTGCAGTTGTGTGATCTTGGCTCACTGCATGCAACCTCTTCCTCCTGGGTTCACGCCATCCTCCCACCTCAGTCTCGTGAGTAGCTGGAATTACAGGCGAGCGCCACCATGCCCAGCTAATTTTTGTATTTTTAGTAGAAACAGGGTTTCGCTATGTTGCCCAGGCTGGTCTCCAACTCCTGGACTCAGTGATCTGCCTGCCTCGCCTCCCAGAGTACTGGGATTACAGGCGTAAGCCACCATGCCATGCCTGGCCTGGAAGGGTTTTTAAAACAGGAGAGTGCTGTGGAGGCTTTAATATTTTCTAGTAAAACAATATTTTAAAAATCTAGACATTTTACCTAAAGTGATTTTTTCTTTCACTTACTTGTTCAATTATCACAATGTCTTACTTAGGCTTGAATTTCAAAACTCTAATTAAAGGCTGTAATGTTTTCCTCCCTAACAGATCATTTTGCCCCACGGCTAGTTAGAGACCAATCAAGAATGGAAGCAGAGTTGACTTAAGTGGCTTTTAAATTGTTTCTCCTTCCACAAACTGCCTACAAAAGGGTGAGGGGGGTGCGGGAAGGACGCACTACTTTTCTGATGTCCCTGGGATCACTTTAAGTTGGAAAGGATGGAACAGATTTCCTAGGTAGATGAGGCCTATAAAGCTGTCTCCTTTCCAAGGTGCTTGAAATTTTTATCCTCTCAAATGGGTTTTTGTTTGTTTGTTTGTTTGTTTTGAGACAGAGTCTTGCTCTGTCGCCCAGGCTGGAGTGCAGTGTCGCGATCTCAGCTCACTGCAAGCTCCGCCTCCCGGGTTCACGCCATTCCCCTGCCTTAGCCTCCCGAGTAGCTGGGACTACAGGAGCCCGCCACCACGCCCGGCTAATTTTTTTGTATTTTTAGTAGAGACAGGGTTTCACCGTGGTCTCGATCTCCTGACCTTGTGATCTGCCCGCCTCGGCCTCCCCAAGTGCTGGGATTACAGGCGTGAGCCACCATGCCCGGCCACTGTTTTTTTTTTTTTTTTTTTTTTAAAGGCAGGGTCTTCCTATGTTGCCCAGGCTGGAATGCAGTGTTGTGATTATACCTCACTGCAGCCTCGCTCTCCTGGGCTCAAGTAATCCTCCCACATCAGCCTCCCCCGTAGTTGGGACTACAGGTACATGCCACCACGCCTGGCTAATTTTTAATTTTTCGTAGAGACAGGGTCAGGTCTTACTGTGTTGCCCTAGCTGGTCTCAAATTCCTAGTCTCAAGCAATCCTCCCACCTGGGCTCCCAAGGTGCTGAGATTGCAGGCATGAGCCACTTTGCCCAGCCTTTCTCACATCGGTTTGAAACATTATAGCAGAGATTGCCGGGGCCGCCAATGTCCATTCTTCCCTTGCACTTTAGTAAAAGAATGTCAGTCCCCACTTTATTTGGAGCTTATGTCCCCAGCTAAAAGACTGAATTTTTCATCCTCTCTGATAAGAGATATGGCTATGTGACTAATTCTACCAATATCGAGTTGACTTCCCAGGAGGCTGCTTAAAAGGAGCTGACTCAGGCCGGGCACAGTGGCTCACACCTGTAATCCCAGCACTTTGGGAGGCCGAGGCGGGCGGATCACAAGGTCAGGAGATCGAGACCATCCTGGCTAACATGGTGAAACCCCGTCTCTACTAAAAATACAAAAAAAATCAGCTGGGCATGGTGGCGGGCGCCTGTAGTTCCAGCTACTCAGGAGGCTGAGGCAGGAGAATGGCGTGAACCCTGGAGGCGGAGCTTGCAGTGAGCCGAGATCGCGCCACTGCACTCCAGCCTGAGCGACAGAGCTAGATGCAGGTGTGTTCTCTCTTGCCTTTCCGTCCTTCCTTCTTTTGGCTTGTGTCACAGACTTGATGGTTAGAGGGCCACCAGCCCTCTTGGACCATGAGGTGATCTTGAGAATCAATGCCAGTTGTTAGGATGATGGAGCAGAAAGAGAGAGGGGACCCTGGATCTCAGATGATTATGCAGCCACCATGCGAGTCCTGGACAGCCTTCCTGTGGACTTTAATATGATAGGGAAATTTCTTTTCTTTTTTTCTTTTTTTTGGGGGGGAAGGGTGGAGGGCAGGGAGGACAAAGTTTCACTCTTATTGCCCAGGCTGGAGTGCAATGGCACAATCTCAGCTCACTGCAACCTTCACCTCCTGGGTTCAAGCGATTCTCCTGTCTCAGTCTCCCAAGTAGCTGGGATTACAGGCATGTGCCACCACACCTGGCTAATTTTTTGTATTTAGTGGAGATGGGATTTCACCATGTTGGCCAGGCTGGTCTTGAACTCCCGACATCAGGTGATCTACCTGCCTCGGCCTCCCAAAGCGCTGGGATTACAGGCATGAGCCTCTGCGCCCAGCCAGGAAATTTCTTTATTTTTATTTTTTTCACTGCTTGCAGAACTTCCAGTCTATGAAAGATAAATTTCTGTCTCATTCAAGACACTGTTACTTGGCTTGAACTACTCTTCGTTTTATGTAAGCAGCTCTGTCTTAATCGTTGTGATATATGATTACCTGAAATAAGGTTCTAGCCATTGAGCCCTCTGTCCAGGGTGGGGACTGACACCTGAACAGATGATTTATTTTGTATTAAAGGATAATTTTTTCTTTGGGCACTATTTCAGCCCCAAATTTATTCTCAACATTTTTAGCCAGGGCCCTTCTTTGGCATTACTTAGGCAGTTTAGCAGAGTAAATTTTTTTTCCTCTCTCTTCCCCACCCCCATTTATATATATACTGACTATAGAAATAATTTCTCAATTTATAGATTTTATAATCCATGTTCAATAACAATAATTCTGTAGCACTCTTGAACCAGAAATGGAATTATAAATTGTCATGGATAGGAAAGGTGGATAGAGAGAGATGTAAATATTTATCAGTATCATGTGGAAAGTAAAAAAGGAAAAATAAGTAAAGAACAGCTA
This sequence comes from Homo sapiens, assembly GCF_000001405.40. Taxonomy (NCBI): domain Eukaryota; kingdom Metazoa; phylum Chordata; class Mammalia; order Primates; family Hominidae; genus Homo; species Homo sapiens. The sequence goes on from NC_000014.9 coordinate 34,726,553, forward strand.
AGGTAATCTCAAAGTGAGCACATTCAATCTTAACAAGGTAAATATTGTTATTTCCATTTTTACAGATGAAGAAACAGGCTCAGGCAGTTAACTAACTTGTCCATAAGATAAATGTCCATAAAAATCTTAAACTCAAGACTTGTTGGTTCTGAAACCTATGAACTTTTTTTTTTTTTTTTTTTGAGGCAGAGTCTCGCTCTGTCGCTCAGGCTGGAGTGGAGCGGGGCGCAATCTCGGCTCACTGCAAGCTCCGCCTCCCAGGTTCACACCATTCTCCTGCCTCAGCCTCCCGAGTAGCTGGGACTACAGGCGCCCGCCACCACGCCCGGCTAATTTTTTGTATTTTTAGTAGAGATGGGGTTTCACCATGTTAGCCAGGATGGTCTCGATCTCCCAACCTCGTGAGCCGCCCGTCTCGGCCTCCCAAAGTGCTGGGATTACAGGTGTGAGCCACTGTGCCCGGCCTAAAACTTATGAACTTTTAAATGTTTAGTCATGTGTTTATAAAAATATATTGAAAGATTTTGTCATTAATTTCGACCCCTCTGTGGAGGGCTACAGAGATTATTCATGAGAATAAGGTGTTAATTCCCTCAGTTGGTCGATTGGTACCCTCCCCAAATCTCATCCTGACAGGCCCACCAGGGAATGGGAAGTGATAACATCCTGAGGCTGGAGGGGATCAAAGACAGGAAAGAGCATATTTTATGTGGTACTGAGTGAAATCAGTTCTGTTTTATCATAGTCCACCCAAATTTAGAATGTGTCATGGGTAAGATCTTTCAATAGGAGTGCTGATGATGAAGCCTCTATAGGAATGACATTTTAAGAACATTTGTGTGTGAGACAAAAGGAGAAATCTATTCCCTCACCTAAAACATGCCAAAATGGCAATTTGTCTGTTCTCACGCTGCTAATAAAGACATAGCTGAGACTGGGTAATTTATAAAGTAAAGAGGTTTAATTGACTCACAGTTCCACATGACTGGGGAGACCTCACAATCATGGCCGAAGGCGAATGAGGAGGCAGGTGATGTCTTACGTGGCGGCAGGCAAGAGTTTGTGTGGGGGAACTCCCATTTATAAAACCATCAGATTTGGTGAAACGTATTCACTACCCCGAGAACGGTATGGGGGAACCACCCCCCCGTGATTCAATTATCTCCACTTGTCCCTGCCCTTGACACGTGGGCATTATTACAATTCAAGATGAGATTTGGGTGGGGGACACATCCAAACCGTGGTAGCAATCAAGTGTTGGTCCAATGTTTACTACGAAAAACAGACATTTGCTCTGAATCATGGAGCATTTGACATTGTATTATATTCCCTCAGAAAGCAAGTATCTTTTCCCATAATGCATTTTTATCTCTGAAAGAATAATTTCAGTCCTAGAGATAGTTTTAACCTGAGACATACAGGCCACTGTTGAATTTCTGAGGTCTTTATATTACATCCAGGTTTACTGATTGTAGTGTAAATATTCAGTATAAAACAGGGTCTTGCTATTTTGCCCAGGCTAGACTCAAACTCCTGGGCTCAAGTGATCCTTTTGCCTCAGCTTCTCAAGTAGCTGAGACTAGAGCCAGGCATCACTGTGCTCAGCTTCAATATTATTATTGTTGTTGTTTTAACGAAGAACAGTCTATTATCTTCTAGTCTGCGGCAGTTCGTATCATTTAAACATTTCTGGCGAGGCACAGTGGCTCATGCCTGTAATCCCAGCACTTTGGGAAGCCGAAGTGGGTGGATCACTTGAAGTCAGGAGTTCAAGACCAGCCTGGCCAACATGGCAAAACCCTGTCTCTACTGAAAATACAAAAATTAGCCAGGCATGCACATGCCTGTAATCTCAGCTACTCAGGTGGCTGAGGCAGGAGAATAGCTTGAACTCAGGAGGTAGTGGTTGCAGTGAGCTGAGATCATACCACTGCACTCCAGCCTAGGCAACAGACTGAGATTCCATCTCAAAAAAAAAAAATTCTAACTAAACATTTGAATCTTTTAAAATTAGAAAGTAAACTTATAATACTTTTATGAGATTAATATAATCCATATCACTAAACCGTATTCTTCCAGTCTAGCTGAAACTTTGTACCCTTTGATCATCATCTCCTCTATCCCCATTCCCTTCACCCACCCCCCCTACCTCTGGTAATAATTTTTTTCCTCTGTTTTTATGAGATCAACTTTTTTAGATTCCACATATAAATGAGATCATACAATATTTGTTTTTCTGTGTCTGGCTTATTTCACTTAACATAATGTCCTCCAGGTTCATCTATATTGTTGCAAATGACAGAATTTCCTTGTCTTTTGAGGCTAAATAGTATTCTTTTGTGTATATATGCACCACATTTTATTTATCCACTCATCTGTTGATGGCCACTTAGGTTGGCTTCTGTATCTTGGCTATTGTGAATAATGCTGAAATGAACATGGAAGTGCAGATATGTCTTCAACATACTGATTTCAATTCCATTGGATATATACCCGGAAGTGGGATTGCTGGATAATAAGGTAATTCTATTTTTATTTTTTTTTGAGGAACCTCAATATAGCCCGTCTAACAGGTGTGAGGTGATAGCTCATTATTTTATTTGCATTTCTCTATGTCTAGAGGTGTTGAGCATTTTTTTCAAACATCTATTGGCCATTTTTATGTCTTCTTTTGATATACGTCTCTTCAGGTCCTTTGCCCATTTATTAATTGGGTTATTTGTTATCTTGTTATTGAATTGAGTTCCTTATATATTTTGGATATTAGCCCCTTTTCTTTTTTTTCTTTTTTGAGACGAAGTCTCACTCTGTCACCCAGGTTCGAGTGCAGTGGCTCACTGCAACCTTCACCTCCTGGGTTCAAGTGATTCTCCTGCCTCAGCCTCCCATGTAGCTGGGATTACAGATGTGCACCGCTATGCCTGGCTAATGTTTGTATTTTTAGCAGAGACAGGGTTTCACCTTGTTGGCCAGGCTGGTCTTGAACTCCTGCCCTCAAGTGATGTGCTTGCCTCAGCCCCCCAAAGTGCTGGGATTACAGGCATGAGCCACTGGGCCCAGCCTAGCCCCTTTATAAATGTATGGTTTGAAAATACTTTTTCCCAATCCTTGGGTTGTCTCTGCACTCTGTTAAAAGTTTCCTTTGCTGTGCAGAAACTTTTTAGTTTGATATAAGCCATTTTGTCTATTTTTGCTTTTGTTGCTTATGCTTTTGCAGGCCTAGTCAAGAAATCATTGCCCAGACCAATATGCTGGAGCTTTTCTTCTATGTTTTTTTCTAGTAGTTTTACAGTTTCAGGTCTTGTGACCATAAGTCTTTAATCCATCTTGAGTTTTTGTTTGTTTGTTTTTTGTTTTTTTTTTGAGACAGGGTTTCACTGTTGTCCAGGCTGGAGTATAGTGGCAGAATCACAGCCCACTGCATCTTCAACCTCCCGGGTTCAAGCAATCCTCCTGCCTCATCCCCACAAGTAGCTGTGATTACAGGTGCACACCACCACACCCAGCTAATTTTTGTATTTTTTGTAGAAACGGTTTTGCCATATTGCCCAGGCTGGTCTCAAATTCCTGGGCTCAAGATATCTGCCCACGTTCGCCCCCTAAAGTGCTAGGATTACAGGTGTGAGCCACTGCACCTGGCTTTGAGTTGATTTTTGTATGTGGTGTGAGATAAGGGTCCAGTTGCAGTTTTCTGCATGTGGATATCCAATTTTACCAAAATTTATAAAGAAACTGTCCTTTCCCCATTGTGTGTTCTTAGCACCTTTATAAAATATCAATTAACCATAAAGAGTTGGGTTTATTTCTGAGCTTCTGTTCCAGTGTGAGTGTTTTTATGCCAGTACCATGCTGTTACAACAGGTTTATAACATGTTTTGAACTCAGGGAATGTAATGCCTCCAGCTTTTTTTTTTTTTTTTTTCACTCAAGATCGCTTTGGCTGTTTGGGGTCTTTTGTGGTTCCACCTGAATTTTAGAATTTTTTCTTCTATTTCTGTGAAAACTGGCATTGGAACTTTAATAGAGATTACACAGAATCTGTAGATTTCTTGAGTGGTGTAGACATTTTAACAATATTCTTCTAATCCATGAACATAGGATATCATTCCATTTATTTTTATCTTCTTCAATTTCTTTATCAATCTTTTATTGTCCTCAATATACAGGTCTTTCATCTCTTTGGTTAAATTTACTCCTAATTTTTTTTTTGGTGCTATTGTAAATGGGATTGTTTTCCTATTAATTTCTCCTTCAGATAGTTTTTAGTGTATAGAAATGCTACTGATATTTGTATGTTAATTTTTTTTTTTTTTGAGACAGAGTCTCACTCTGTTGCCCAGGCTGGAGTGCAGTGGTATGATCGTGGCTCACTGCAACCTCTGCCTTCTGGGTTCAAGTGATTCTCCTGCCTCAGCCTCCTGAGCAGCTGGGACTACAGGCGTGCACCACCAAACCCGGCTAATTTTTGTATTTTTAGTAGAGATGGGGTTTCACCATGTTGGCTAGGCTGGTCTCGAACCCCTGACCTCAAGTGATCTGCCCGCCTCGGCCTCCCAAAGTACTCTCTTTGGCCTCCCATGCCTGGCCGTATACCAAACATCTAAAGAAGAACTAATATCAACCCTTCTCAAACTCTTCCTAAAAACTGAAGAGGAGGGAATACTTCCAAACTCATTTTAGAAGGCCAGCACTGCCCTTATGCCAAAGGCAGACAAGGACACTATAAGAAACCTATAAGCCAGGCTGGGTGTGGTGGCTCACGCCTGTACTCCTAGCACTTTGAGAAGCCAAGGCGGGTGGATCACCTGAGGTTAGGAGTTTGAGACCAGCCTGGCCAACATGGTGAAACCCCATCTCTACTAAAATTACAAAAATTAGCCGGGTGTGGTGGTGCATGCCTGTGGTCCCAGCTACTCGGGAGGCTGAGGCAGGAGAATCACTTGAACCTGGGAGGCGGAGGTTGCAGTGAGCCTCAGTCGTGCCACTGCACTCCAGCCTGGGTGACAGAGCGAGATTCCGTCTCAAAACAAACAAGCAGAAATCCTCGACAAAACATTAGCAAACCAAATTCAACAGCACATTAAAAAGTTTATTCACCATGTTCAAGCATGATTTATCCCTGTGATACAAGAATGGTTCAACATACATAAATCAGTAAATGTGATACACCATATTAACAAAACGAAGGACAAAAACCACATGATCATCTCAATAGTTGCAGAAAAAGCATTTAACAAAATTCAGTATCCTCTTATGATTAAAAACCCTCAACAATTAGGCATAGAAGGAATGTACCTCAACCCAATAAAAGCCATATATGAAAAGCCCACAGCTAACATCATACTTTCTTTTTTTTGAGATGGAGTCTTGCTCTGTCGCCCAGGCTGGAGTGCAGTGGTATGATCTCAGCTCATTGCAACCTCTGCCTCCTGGGTTCAAGCGATTCTTCCGCCTCCGCCTCCCAAGTAGCTGGGATTACAGGCATGCGCCACTACACCCCAGCTAATTTTTCTACATTTAGTGGAGACGAGGTTTCACCATGTTGGCCAGTCTGGTCTTGAACTCCTGGCCTCAAGTGATCCGCCCGCCTCAGCCTCCCAAAGTGCTGGAATTACAGATGGGAGCCACCGCATCAGGCTGCCTTTTTTTTTGTTTGTTTTAAACGTGGGCATTTGTTGCTATAGACTTCCCTCTCACGACTGCTTTTGCTACATCCCTTAAGTTTTGATATGTTGTGTTTCCATTTTTGTCTGTCTCAAGACATTTTAAATTTTCCTTTTAATTTCTTCTCTGACCCACTGGTTGTTCAGGAGCATGTTGTTTAATTTCCATATATTTGTGAATTTTCCATGTTTCCTCCTATTATTGATTTCTAGTTTCATACCATGTGTTCAGAAGGGACACTTGATATGATTCACTCTTCTTAAATTTGGTAAGACTTGTTTTGTGGACTAACTTGTGGTCTATCTTGGAGAATGTTTCATGTATAATTGAGAAGAATTTATATTTTGTTTGCTAATAGAATCTTCTTTATGTCTAGGATTAGAAGCAATTTATTAGGCTGATGGAACTATGGGGTTTTTGTTTAAGTTTTTAAACTTTTTATGATACAAATTGGGAGAAAAAAGCTGTTTTTTATAGTATTAAATGATACACAGAGATTTTGCATTTACATTTGGAACTCTTTTAAGAATTTCAGAGCGTAAGCGTGAATGAGGCTTGTTAAAAAAAAAACAAACCTTAGACAAATTAAATTTAACATAGTTTAATTGAACAAAGAACTATTTGTGAATTGGGCAGCCTCCTGAACCAGAATAGGTTCAGAGAGACTCTGGAGCTAATGGGTGGTCGAAGAAGATTGATGGACAGGAAAAGGGAAGTGACATACAGAAAATGGAAATGAGGTACAGAAACAGCAGGATCGGTTATAGCTCGGTGTTTGTCTTATTTGAACACAATTTGAACAATTGGCCTCCTGTGATTGACTGAGACTTGGTGATTGGCACAAGAGTCGGTTGTGGTCTGTTTATACATTTAGTTAGGTTACAGTTCACTCTGTATGGAGCAACCTTTAGACCAAACTTAGGATATGGAAGGAGACAACTTTAGGCTAAACTTAATTTAACAGGTTCTACTGATGTCATGAGATTAAAAAAAAAAAAAAAAGAGCTATGTTCCCTGTGTTCTTTTCTCATGAATATAGTTTAATATAGGCTATTAGACCATTCATTCAGAGATACTGGCTGCCTATGTGTATTGTACTTATTTTTCCAAAGGGCTCACGTTGGGTACTCATTTTTGGCAGCCTCCCTCATTACAGGACATCCCTTCAAAGTTACCCATTGACCAGATTCCATTTTGGAATCTGCAGTTATAAACCGGTCTTACTAGTGTAAGGATAAACTGCATTCCAAGAAGCTGAGCCACAGTAATAAAGGAATCCACAGCTCTTTGTTTCCCCAGATTTGTAAATTTTCTTGGATTTCGGTGAACTCATAAATAGGATCTTTAGTTCTCCAGCAAAAAAGATTATGAAATGAAAACTATTTGTTGGCTTTAGTACCTGGGAGAGTGTGTTAGAGAGTTCAGTGTGGAGTGAATATTATCAACTCTTGCAAAAATAATTATGTTGTTAATTATGGCATGAGCTTAATATCCATTGAATTTTATATCAAAATGCATTTTCCTGGCCCTGAAAGTTTTTCTGCACTGGATTTGGAATTGAAGTACAGTTGACCCTTGAACAACATGGGGATTAGGGGCATCAACCATCAACCCTTCACACATTCAGAAATCCACATAGAACTTTTGACCTCAAAAGCTTAACTACTAATAGCCTACTGTGGACCAGAAGCCATACCGGCAACATAAACTGTCACTTTTTTTTTATATATGTGATATGTATTATATACTGTATTTTTACAATAAAGTAAGCTGGAGGAAAGAAAATGTTATTAAGAAAATCATCTGGGGCACAGTGGCTTATGCCTATAATCCCAGCTCTTTGGGAGGCTGAGGCAGGCAGATCACCTGAGGTCAGGGGTTCGAGACCAGCCTGGTCAATATGGCGAAACCCTGTCTCTAATAAAAACACAAAAATTAGCTGGACGTGGTGGCGTGCGCCTGTAATCCCAGCTACATGGGAGGCTGAGGCAGGAGAATCGCTTGAACCCAGACGGGGGAGGTTGCAGTGAGCCAAGATCGCACCACTGCACTGCGGCCTGGGCAACAGAGGGAGACTCCATCTCAAAAAGAAAAAAAATGTTATTAAGAAAATCATAAGGAAGATAAAAATATATTTACTATGTATTAAGTGGAAGTGCGTCATTATAAAGCTCTTTATCCTCCTTATCTTCGTGTTGAATGGGCTGGGGAAGAGAAAAAGGAGGTATTGGTCTTGCTGTCTGTCTCAGGGGTGGCGGAGGCAGAAGAAAATCCATGTCTAGTAGACCCACGCGGTTCAAACCCATGTTGCTCAAAGGCCAGCTGTATATACTTCCTGTGAGTATTTTTAATTAAGAAATTCGTTTTTAAACTGACTGACTTACATTTTACAAATTTGCTTGCTAGAAATTTCTGCTGATAAAAACTCCACACCATACCTGCCGTTACTTATTCCAAATCCTTAGCCCTGTTTGGTCTGTTGAATTTCTCTGATTTTGATTTTTAATTTCTGGGCAGATCACTTTCCCACAGTTGGCAACACACGCGCGCACGCACACACAGACACGCGCGTGCGCGCGCACACACACATATGCACACATACATAAACCCAGACAGACACGGACACACACACATACACATACACACATATACACATACACACACAGACACACACACATACACACAGACACACGCACACACATATACACAGACATACACAGACACATACACACGCACACACACGCACACACAGACACACGCGCACATGTGCACACAGACACACACATACACGTACACACATACGCACATACACCCACATACACACACCCACACATACATGGGCGCGCACATACACATGCGCACACACATACACACGCACACACGTACACACACGCACACACATGCACACACATAGACACGCACACACAGACACACAGACAGGCACACACACACACGCACATACACGCACACACACAGACGCACACATACACGCACACATGCGCACACACGCATACACGCACACACACGTGCACACACATATGTGTATACATACATTTATGTATATATTTTATATACGTATGTTTATATACACACATATATAAATATACTCACACGTATATTTTTATATATTTTTTCCTGCTGCTTGAATCAGCATACAACTTACATTTTTAATGAAATATTGCACATACAGGGAAATAGGATAGTACATAGTGTTCTCCTATTTTTTCATATTTTCATGGGAAATGGAGAGGGGTACATTTGCATTTTCCATATTTCCTTTTTGTCATATTTGTATGAGCTTTCTTTTTAACTACAGGTACAGTTGAAGTCCACTTTGTACCTCCTCTAATCACAGAGGCAAATATATAATCTTCCTGTCCTTGATTTTACACTTTTACTACAAATGTATTTTGTCCCTAAACAGTTATTACAAATGCATTTTGCCCCTAAACAGTATGTAAAAGTAGCCATTCACAGTGGCTCACACCTGTAATCCCAGAACTTTGGAAGGCCAAGGTGGGAGGATCACTTGAGCCCAGGAGTTTGAGACCAGCCTGGACAACATGGCGAGACCTCGTCCCTACATAAAATCCAAAAATTAGCCTGACATGGTGGTGGGTGCCTATAGTCCCAGCTACCCAGGGGGCTGAGGTGGGAGGATCTCATGGGCCCAGGATGTACAAGCCACAGTGAACTGAGATCCCGCCACACGCCACTGCACTCCAGCCTGGGCGACAGAGCCAGACACCGTTTCCCTACCACCATCCCCCTCACCAGCCCTCTACCCCCCAGCGCCAACAAAGAAAATATGTAGAATTGTTTGGTTTAGTTAAAAATTCTACGTACACATATATTACCTGCAACCCACTTTTTCTATTCAATATTAAGTCCTGAAGAGTCATCTTCATCTACATGTACTTTTTTTTTTTTTTTTGAGATGGAGTTTTGCTTGTTGCCCAGGCTGGAGTGCAGTGGCGCGATCTTGGCTCGCTGCAACCTCCGCTTCCCAGGTTCAAGCAATTCTTCTACCTCAGCCTCCCGAGTAGCTAGGACTACAGGTGTGTACCACCACACGCAGCAAACATTTGCTTTTTTTTTTTTTTTGAGATGGAGTCTCACTCTGTCGCCCAGGCTGGAGTGCAGTGGTGCTATCTGGGCTCACTGCAACCTCCGCCTCCCAGGTTCAAGCGATTCTCCTGTTTCAGCCTCCAGAGTAACTGAGATCACAGGTGCATGCCACCACGCCGGGCTAATTTTTTGTATTTTAGTAGAGACAGGGTTTCACTGTGTTGCCCAGGCTGGTCATGAACTCCTGAGCTCAGGCAATCCACCTGCCTCAACCTCCCAAAGTGCTAGGATTACAGGTGTGAGCCACCGAGCCTGGCCTAACTTTTATGTATTTTTTGTAGAGATGGGGTTTCTCCATGTTGCCCAGGCTAGTCTCGAACTCCTTACCTCAAGTGATCTGCCCACCTTGGCCTCCCTAAGTGCTGGGATTACAGGCATGAGCCACTGTGCCCAGCCCTGTATACACATTTCAATACATCATGTAATATATATATAATTTATATTAATTAAAAAAATAAAATCGAAAAGAACCACTGTAAAAAAGAAAAAAGATTATGACTTTTGAATTTCTCCCTTCAAAGTGACATACACATTTAGAGAGACTAAGAGCTTCTTCTGAATTTGGGAGGTAGAGTGACATACATTTTTTTTATTATACTTTAAGTTCTGGGGTACATGTGCAAAACGTGCAGGTTTGTTACGTAGGTATACATGTGCCATAGTGGTTTGCTGCACCCATCAACCCGTCATCTACATTAGGTATTTCTCCTAATGCTATCCCTCCCCTAGCCCCACACCCCCCGACAGGCTCCAGTGTGTGATGTTCCCCTCCCTGTGTCCATGTGTTGTCATTGTTCAATTCCCACTTCTGAGTGAGAACATGCAGTGTTTGGTTTTCTGTCCTTGTGTTAGTTTGCTGAGAATGTTGGTTTCCAGCTTCATCCATGTCCCTGCAAAGGACATGAATGCATCCCTTTTTATAGCTGCATAGTATTCCATGGTGTGTATGTGCCACACTTTCTTTATCCAGTCTATAATTGATGGGCATTTGGGTTGGTTCCAATCTTTGCTATTGTGAATAGTGCCGCAATAAACATACGTGTGTATGAGACTTTATAGTAGAATGATTTATCATCCTTTGGGTATATACCCCGTAATGGGATTGCTGGGTCAAATGGTATTTCTGGTTACATCCTTGAGGAATCGCCACACTGTCTTCCACAATGGTTGAACTAATTTACACTCCCACCAACAGAGTAAAAGTGTTCCTATTTCTCCACATCCTGTCCAGCATCTGCTGTTTCCTGACTTTTTAATGATCGCCATTCTAACTGGTGTGAGATGGTATCTCATTGTGGTTTTGATTTGCATTTCTCTGATGGCCAGTGATGATGAGCATTTTTTCATGTGTTTCTTGACTGCATAAATGTCTTCTTTTGAGAAGTATCTGTTCATATCCTTTGCCCACTTTTTGATGGGGTTGTTTGATTTTTTCTTGTAAATTTGTTTAAGTTCTTTGTAGATTCTGGATAGTAACACTTTGTCAAATGGATAGATTGCAAAAATTTTCTCCCATTCTGTAAGTTACCTGTTCACTCTGATGATAGTTTCTTTTGCTTTGCAGAAGCTCTTTAGTTTAATTAGATCCCATTTGTCAATTTTGGCTTTTGTTGCCATTGCTTTTGGTGTTTTAGTCATGAAGTCTTTGCCCATGCCTATGTCCTGAATGGTATTGCCTAGGTTTTTTTTCTAGGGTTTTTACGGTTTTAGGTTTTTTTTTTTTGAGACGGAGTCTCGTTCTGTTGCCCAGGCTGGAGTGCAGTGGCACAATCTTGGCTCATTGCAACCTCCGCCTCCCAGGTTCACGCGATTCTCCTGCCTCAGCCTCCTGAGTAGCTGGGATTATAGGTGCACACCACCATACCTGGCTAATTTTTTGTGTATTTTTAGTAGAGACAGGGTTTCACTGTGTTGGCCAGACTGGTCTCGAACTCCTGATCTTGTGATCCTCCCACCTCGGCCTCCCAAAGTGCTGGGATTACAGGCATGAGCCACTGCGTGCAGCAGGTTTTAGGTCTTACGTTTAAGACTTTAATCCATCTTGAGTTAATTTTTGTTTAAGGTTTAAGGAAGGGGTCCAGTTTCAGTTTTTTGTGTATGGCTAGCCAGTTTTCCCAGCACCATTTATTAAATAAGGAATCATTTCCCCAATGCTTGTTTTTGTCAGGTTTGTCAAAGATCAGATGGTTGTAGATGTGTGGTGTTATTTCTGAGGGCTCTGTTCTGTTCCATTGATCTATATATCTGTTTTGGTACCAGTACCATGCTGTTTTGGTTACTGTAGTCTTGTAATATAACTTGAAGTCAGGTAGCGTGATGCCTCCAGCTTTGTTTTTTTGCTTAGGATTTTCTTGGCTATACGGTCTCTTTTTTTTTTGGTTCAATATGAAATTTAAAGTAGTTTTTTCTAATTCTGTGAAGAAAGTCAGTGGTAGCTTGATGGGGATAGCATTGAATCTATAAATTACTTTTGGCAGTATGGCCAGTTTCACAACATCAATTCTTCCTATCCATGAGCATGGAATGTTTTTCCATTTGTTTGTGTCCTCTCTTATTTCCTTGAGTAGTGGTTTGTAGTTCTCCCCCTTGTAAGTTGTATTCCTAGGTATTTTATTCTCTTTGTAGCAGTTGTGAATGGGAGTTCACTCATGATTTGGCTCTCTGTTTATTATTGGTGTATAGGAATGCTTGTGATTTTTGCACATTGATTTTGTATCCTGAGACTGCTGAAGTCGCTTAACAGCTTAAGGAGATTTCAGGCTGAGACAATGGGGTTTTCTAAATATACAATCATGTCATCTGCAAACAGAGACAATTTGACTTCCTCTCTTCCTGTTTGAATACGCTTTATTACTTTCTCTTGCCTGATTGCCCTGGCCAGAACTTCCAATACTATGTTGAATAGGAGTGGTGAGAGAGGACATCCCTGTCTTGTGCCGGTTTTCAAAGGGAATGCTTCCAGTTTTTGGCCATTCAGTATGATATTGGCTGTGGGTTTGTCATAAATAGCTCTTACTATTTTGAGATACATTCCATCAGTACCTAGTTTATTGAGAGTTGTTAGCATGAAGGGGTGTTGAATTTTGTCAAAGGCCTTTTCTGCATCTATTGAGATAATCATGTGGTTTTTGTCATTGGTTCTGTTTATGTGATGGATTACGTTTATTGATGTGCATATGTTGAACCAGCCTTGTATCCCAGGGATGAAGCCCACTTGATCATGGTGGATAAGCTTTTTGATGTGCTGCTGGATTCGGTTTGCCAGTATTTTATTGAGGATTTTTGCATCGACGTTCATCAGGGATATTGGTCTAAAATTCCCTTTTTTTGTTGTGTCTCTGCCAGGCTTTGGTATCAGGATGATGCTGGCCTCATAAAATGAGTTAGGGAGGATTCCCTCTTTTTCTATTGTTCGGAATAGTTTCAGAAGGAATGGTATCTGCTCCTCTTTGTACCTCTGGTAGAATTTGGTTGTGAATCCATCTGGTCCTGGACTTTTTTTGGTTGGTAGGCTATTACTGCCTCAATTTCAGAACTTGTTATTGGTCTATTCAGGGATTCAACTTCTTCTTGGTTTGACTTGGGAGGGTGTATGTGTCCAGGAATTTATCCATTTCTTCTAGATTTTCTAGTTTATTTGCGTAGAGGTGTTTATAGTATTCTCTGATGGTAGTTTGTATTTCTGTGGGATCAGTGGTGATATCCCCTTTATCATTTTTTATTGCATCTATTTGATTCTTCTCTCTTTTCTTCTTTATTAGTCTGGCTAGCAGTCTATCTATGTTGTTGATCTTTTCAAAAAACCAGCTCCTGGATTCATTGATCTTTTGAACGGTTTTTCATGTCTCTATCTCTTTCAGTTCTGCTCTGATCTTAGTTATTTCTTGTCTTCTGTTAGCTTTTGAATTTGTTTGCTCTTGCTTCTCTTCTCTAGTTCTTTTTTTTTCACCAGTTGTCAAATGATTCTTTACTGAAATATTTTCCTTTGTGCTTAACTGGCTGGGCATTCCACAGCACCAATGTTGATGTGATCTATGATGTCATGAGGGTGGCGGCCATCAACGTTACAGCCCACAGACTGGGCAGTCCCCAGGATCTCTTTAATGGTTCCAGAGAGTTCTCTGGCTAAGGATCAGTGCCGCATCTGTCAAGCAATGTTGACGATCTCATCAAAAGTGATATTCCCACGGTGTTTAATGTTTTTCTATTTCTTTCTGTGTCTTGGTGGTTCCTTAAGAGCTTTGATGATTAGGGCAGAGGCAGAAGGCACCACTTCAATCTGGGCCTGTCTGTTCTGAATGGTCAGTTTCACTGTAATCCTCAGGCCCTTCCAGTCACCCGTTGCCTTGGCAATGTCATCACCAACCTTTTTTGGAGACAGACCCAGGGGGCCGATCTTGGGGGCCAGGGCAGAAGTGGCACCGACTTCACCTCCGGTGCACCTCAGGTATACGACTTTGATTTCGTTGGGGTCGAACTTTGGCGGCATGGTGGAGGCGGCTGGTGCGGAATGACCAAAGAAAGTTGCACCTTGGCCTCCTCCAAGCCGAAAGCCGAGAGCTCTCTAGTTCTTTTAATTGTGATGTTAGGGTGTCGATTTCAGATCTTTCCTGCTTTCTCTTGTGGGCATTTAATGCTATAAATTTCCCTCTAAACACTGCTTTAGATGTGTCCCAGAGATTCTGGTACATTGTGTCTTTGTTCTCATTGGTTTCAAAGAACTTACTTATTTCTGCCTTAATTTCGTTATTTACCCAGTACTCATTCAGGAGCAGGTTGTTCAGTTTCCATGTAGTTGTGTGGTTTTGAGTGAGTTTCTTAAGGGAATTGTTGGCAAGATGGCCAAATAGGAACAGCTCTGGTCTGCAGCTCCCAGCGAGACTGATGTGGAAGGTGGGTGATTTCTGCATTTCCACCTGAGGTACCTGATTTATCTCATTGGGACTGGTTGGACAGTGGGTGCAGCCGACAGACAGCAAGCCGAAGCAGGGTGGGGTGTTGCCTCACCTGGGAAGCACAAGGGGTTGGGGAACTCCCTCCCCTAGCCAAGGAAGTCCCACTAAGGGACTGTGCCATGAGGAACACTGCACTCCAGGCCAGATACTGCGCCTTTCCCATGGTCTTCACTTTTTTTTTTTTTTTTTCCAAGACAGGGTCTTGTTCTGTCACCCAGGCTGGAGTGCAGTGGCGTGATCTCGGCTCACTGCAACCTCTGCCTCCCGGGTTCAAGCAATTCTCCTGCCTCAGCCTCCTGAGTAGCTGGGATTATAGGTGCATGCCACCACGCCCAGCTAATTTTTGTGTTTTTAGTAGAGACGGGGTTTCACCATGTTGGCCAGGCTGGTCTTGAACTCCTGACGTTGTGATTCTCCTGCCTTGGCCTCCGAAAGTGCTGGGGTTACAGGCGTGAGCCACCGTGCCTGGCCGAGTGACATACATTTTTAGCTCTACTAAGAAAGAGTTCAAGCTAAGAGTCTTTGATCTTCTAGGATTTCTAACACATGTGAACTCTACATGCTTTCTGTAATTCTACCAGATGTAGCCAAATTGTTCATAGTGAGTCCATCAACTTATAACTAGCTTTAGTTACAGATCTCTTGCCTTCTACTATTATACAGGGTGGATTTTCAGATGCGGATGTTCTTTTGATTTGTGGTTTGCCCATTTCCTTCCAAGAAGTTGTCAAAAATGGCCTGGACTGGTGGAACCTTTACCATAGTTTATGCTGAGATAGCATTATTATGCCAGTTAAACAAATGCAATACTTTGAAGACTCTGACCTAGTTAGTTTAGACTTTAGAGTGAAAAAACCTGAAATGAAATAGAGGAAGAGTATTAAGGTAGAAGCATATAGCTTGGGGGAAAATATATCTATTTTTTCATTTTGTTTATTGTATTCTCTTTTTTTTTCTCAATTTTTTTTACCTCCTCTTTGACCCATGGATTATCTAAAAGTATTTTGTTTAGTTTGGAGATTTTCCTGTTATGTTTCCATTATTGATTTCTAGTTTGATTTCATTGTGGCCACAGATTACATTTTACATAATTTCAGTTCTTTTAAATTTAAGGTTTGTTTTATGGCCCAGGATATGATCTGTCTTGGTGTATGTTCTGTTGTTGTGTTCTGTTGTTGGGTGGAGTTTTTCTAAGCCTGTATGTTACTGGTTGATGTTATTGTTTAGTTCTTTTATATCATTGCTGATTTTCTGCCTAGTTGTTCTAGTAATTGTTAAGAGGGAAGTGTTGAAGTCTCCGTCTGTAACTGTAGGTTTGTCTATTTCTCCTTTCAGTTCTATCAGCTTTTGCTTCATATATTTTGTGGCCCTAAACGCATGCACACTTCAGGTTAACATTCTTGGCTGGGTGCCATCATTGCAGCACTTTGGGAGGCCAAGGCAGGTGGGTCGCTTGAGCTGAGGATTTCGAAACCAGCCTGGGTAACATGGCGAAACCCCATCTCTACCAAAAATACAAAAATTAGCCGGGCATGGTGGCGTGTGCCTGTGGTCCTAGCTACTCAGGAGACTGAGGTGGGAGGGTCACCTGAATCTGGGGAGTTTGAGGCTGCAGCGAGCTGAGATTGTGCCACTGCATTCCAGCCTGGTGACAGAGTGAGACCCTGTATTTAAAAAAAAAAAATCCCCTGCACTCTTATTTATTCAGCCCTCCCTACCCACAACTCATAGTTCTTGGCCAATCTCTCTCTCTCTCTTTTTTTTTTTTGAGACAGTGTCTCTGTCTAGTGTCCAGGTTGGAGTGCAATGACCAGATCTCAGCTTATTGCAACCACTACTTCCTGGGTTCAAGTGATACTTCTGTCTCAGCCTCCCAAGTACCTGGGGCCACAGGCATGAGCCACCACTCCTGGCTAATTTTTGTATTTTTTGTAGAGACAGTGTTTCACCATATTGCCCAGGCTGATCTCGAACTCCTGAGCTCAAATGATCATCCTAACTCAGCTTCCCAAAGTGCTGAGATTAGAGGTGTGAGCTACTCCACCCAGCCTAGATAACTTCTTTTTTTTAATTTTTATTTTTAGATGGAGTCTCGCTCTGTCGCCCAGGCTGGAGTGCAGTGGCATGATCTCGGCTCACTGCAACCTCTGCCTCCCGGGTTGACGCCATTCTCCTGCCTCAGCCTCCCAAGTAGCTGGGACTACAGGTGCCTGCCGCCACTCCTGGCTAATTTTTTGTATTTTTAGTAGAGATGGGGTTTCACCGTGTTAGCCAGGATGGTCTTGATCTCCTGACCTCATGATCTGCCCACCTCAGCCTCCCAAAGTGCTGGGATTATAGGCGGGAGCCACCACGCCTGGCCTTTTTTTTTTTTTTTTTTTTTTTGAGAAAGAATCTCACTCTTGTTGCCCAGGCTGGAGTGCAGTAGTGTAATCTTGGCTCACTGTAACCTCTACCTCTGGGTTCAAGTGATTCTCCTGTCTCAGCCTCCTGAGTAGCTGGGATTACAGGTGCATGCCACCATGCCCGGCTAATTTTTGTATTTTTAGTAGAGATGGGGTTTCACCATGTTGGCCAGGCTGGTCTCGAAATCCTGACCTCAAGTGATCTACCCGCCCTGGCCTCCCAGAGTGCTGGGATTACAGGCGTGAGCCACTGTGCCCGGCCAACAGTTTTGTTTTTGAACAAAACTCGAACAGTTTGTTCCTGAAAAATATTGCGCCACTTCTTTCTCCCACCATTTTCTAGTGTGTTCTAATTGATTTCCCCTTATACGTAAAATGTCACTCATTTTCTGCTGGCTATTTTCAAGATTTTTTTGTCTTTAGTTTTCAGAAAATTAATTATGATGTCTTGGCATGGATTTCTTTGGGTTTATCCTTTTCAGAGTTTGTTCACCTTCTTGAATCTGTGGGTTGTCTCTTGGGGAATTTTGAGTTATTTCTTTGAGGGCTTTGTTAGTCCCACCTTTTTTCTCCTCTGCTTTGGCAACTCTGATGACATGAATGTTAGTTTTTTTTTTATTATAGTTCCCTAAGGTCATGTTCAATTTTGTTCAATCTGTTTTTTCTCTGTTGCTCAGATTGGGTAATATGTATTCTAGTTTACTGATTCTTTCCTCTCTCTCCTCCATTGTCCTGTTGGGTCCATCCACTGAGATTTTTCTTTTGGTTACTGTGCCCTAAATTTTCCATTTGGTTCTTCTTCATAACTTCTGTATTCTGAGACTTTGTATTTCTTTGCTGAGTGCAGTAGGCAGAATGGTCCTCCAAAGATGTCCATGTCTTAATCCCTGGAACTGTGAATATGTTACTCTACATGGCAAAATAAACTTTAAAATAATGTGCTTGAGGATTTGAACAGGGGGATTAGCTTGGATTGTCTGGTGGGTGCAATCTAATTACATGGGTCCTTAAAATCAGAGAAACTTTCCTGCTTGTGGTTAGAGGAAGATGTGACAGAAAGGCACAGAGATGTCATGTTGCTGGCTTTGAAGATGGAGGAAGAGGGCTACATGCCGAGGAATGTGGGTAGAAGCTGGAAGGAGCGAGGAAATAGATTCTCCCTTAGGGTCTCTACAAAGTAACAGCCTTGTGGACAAATTGATTTAGCCCAGTTAAGACCCATGTCAGACTTCTAACCTACAGCTAACGAATCTGCATTAAGCTGGTGAATTTGTGGTGATTTGTTATGGCAGCAATAGGAAACTAGTACACTGAAGCTACTTTATTTGTTTCAGGGATGTTCATAATTGCTCATTGAAGCATTTTCATCATGGCTGCTTTAAAATCTTTGTCAATTGTTCTAACATGTCATTTTGGTGTTGACATCTTTTTTTTCATTCAGTTTCAATCTTCTTGGTTCTTCGTATGAATGATTTTTTATTGAAATGCGGACATTTTCGTATTGTTATGAGCCTTTTATTTTTTGTTGCAAAAAAATAAAAATAAAGTCTCATAACAGTATAAAAATGTCTGGGTCTCAATCTGTCATTCAGGCTGGAGTGCAGTGGCTTGCTCTCGGCTCACTGCAACCCCCACCTCCCACACTCAAGCGATTCTCCCACCTCAGCCTCCCGAGTAGCTGGGACCACAGGCATGTGCCAGCATGCCCAGCTAATTTTTGTATTTTTTGTAGAGACAGGTTTTGCCATATTGCCCAAGCTGGTGTCGAACTCCTGGGTTTGGCCGGCTTTGGCCTCCCGAAGTGCTGGGATTCCAGTCATGAGCCACCATGCCCAGCCCATGATGAGACTTAATACCTTATTTAAACCTAGTTTTAGCTGGCTTTCTGTGACACCATTCTGGCAAAGAAAGCTGGGTTGCTTCCTTGTAACTGCCAGATACAAGTAGAAGTCCAAGTTCTCCTGCCAGCCTCTTTGACACCAGAAAGGGGGTGCTCCTTGCTATTGGTGGGCAGATGTGTGAATCAGCCCCCCAGACGGTCTGTACTGACACTGGGAGGGATTGGGGGTATCTCATTTCTGCCAGCAGGGATGAAAGGCCAGGTTCCTTACTTTGCCTTTCTTGTTCCTTACTTCTCTGACACCACTCCGGTGGGTGCACTGTACCGCCTCATTTTATCCTTCTGGGGATGGAAGTGTAGACTCCCTGCTTGTTCTTTGTTGGTGTGGATATGGGTAGGGCCAGGGTTGGTTGGTT
Source organism: Homo sapiens (assembly GCF_000001405.40). Lineage (NCBI taxonomy): Eukaryota > Metazoa > Chordata > Mammalia > Primates > Hominidae > Homo > Homo sapiens. The sequence goes on from NC_000014.9 coordinate 34,745,961, forward strand.
GGTTTGTTTTTTGTGGTGTTTGGCTGGGATAGTGGTTATTGTCTAGGTTTTCTGTCTTATTAGGCTGCCCCTGTCCTAGTTCTTTGGCTAGAGAGGCTTTTGTTGTGGCTTTACACTTCGTCTGTGCCACTTGGCATTTTCAAGTTTCCGCTTCTTTAGCATCAAGTCTGATATATAAGTCAAAAAGAAAACCTAGGGAACTTACCACTGTCTTTCCTCTGGTCCCAAGGTCCTTTAGTCAGTCTGACTTATTGTCACCTTTCAGTCTTATTTTTGTTTTATATAGAACGTCCAGGGTTTTTAGCTATACTGAGTGGGAGGAATAGGAGAGAAGATGCCTGCTTCGTCTTACCAGAAATGGAAGTCTGTCTAAAGACCACTTATTCTTTTTTTTTTTCGAGATGGAGTCTTGCTCTGTCACCCAGGCTGGAGTGCTGTGGTGCGATCTCAGCTCACTGCAACCTCTGCCTCCTGGGTTCAAGTAGCTGGGATTACACAGGCATGTGCCACCACACCCGGCTAATTTTGTATTTTTATTAGAGATGGGGTTTCACCATGTTGGCCAGGCTGGTCTCGAACTCCTGACCTCAGGTGATCTGCCTGCCTCGGCCTTCTAGTGATGGGGTTACAGGCGTGAGCCACCACACCCTGACCTGGGACCATGTTTTTTTTTTTTTTTTTTGCAGTGAGCCCAGAGTAGCCAGGACCACTTTTTAAAGCAGATTTTTCTCCTAGGTTTTTGGATTACATATTGGCAGATTTTTTTCCAGCCCACATTTTCAATAAAGGTATACTCCTACGTGGGTTACAGCTTTATATGGGTTTTCAGTTCAATCCTGATTTGAGTGAGCCCAAGGGCCTATCTCCTGTCTCCACATAGGTTTTAAAACCTAAGTCCCTGGAGTGTTGAGACTATCTAACTCTCCTTTATGGGCTGGCACCTGCCACTCCACAACCAGGAGAGCATCGGCTTCAGCTCATGTGACTACCAGAATAGTTTTAGTCTCTCAAGTGTACTTAGCTATGAATTTAATCAGATAAGATGCCTGTAGTATTTTACTTAGCATTTCTAGGTATTTAAAAAATTTAGGCTGGGTGCGGTGGCTCATGCCTGTAATCCCAGCACTTTGTGGGGCCGAGGCAGGCAGATCACCTGAGGTCAGGAGCTCGAGACCAGCCTGGCCAACATGGTGAAACCCTGTCTCTACTAAAAATACAAAAATTAGCCGGGCATGGTGGCGGGTGCCTGTAATTCCAGCTACTCGGGAGGCTGAGGCAGGAGAACTGCTTGAACCCGGGAGGCAGAGGTTGCAGTGAGCCGAGATCACGCCATTGCACTCCAGCCTGGGGGACAAGAATGAGACTTCGTCTCAAAAAAAAAAAAAACTTTAATTCAGGCTGGGCATGGTGACTCATGCCTACACTTCCAGCACTTTGGAAGACTGAGGTGGGAGGACAGCTTGAAGGCAGCAGTTCAAGACCAGCCTGGGCAACATAGCAAGACCTCATCTCTACAAAAAATCTTAAAATTAGCTGGGCATGGTGGCATGCACTTTAGTCCTATTTACTGGGGAGACTGAGGCAGGAAGATTGTTTGAGCTCAGGAGTTTTGAGGCTGTAGTGAGCTCTAATTGAGCCACTGCACTCCAGCCTGGGCAACAGAGACCCTGTCTCATAAATAAATCAATACATTTACCACTTTAATTATCTTTTTTTAAAATATATTTTTTTGAGATAGGGTCTTGCTGTGTTGCCCAGGCTGGGGTACAGTGGCACTGTCATGGCTCACTGCAGCCTCAACCTCCCACGCTCAAGCAATTCTCTCACCTCTGCCTCCTGAGTAGCTGGGACCACAGGTGTGTGCCACACCGGGCTAATTTTTTGCAGAGACAGGGTTTCGCCATATTGCCCAGGCTGATCTCAAACTCCTGGGCTCAAGTGATTTGCCTGCCTCAGCCTCCCAAAGTGCTAGGATTACAGGTGTGATTTAATCATCTTAAAGTGTACAATTCATTGGCATTAAGTATACATTGTTGTGCAACTGTCATCACTATCCATTTCCAGGACTGTTCATCATCTCAAACAGAAACTCTCTTCTGGGTATTTTTAACAGGTTTTTAGGTTATTTGCTTCCTCCTGGTGAAGTGGAGGTAGAAAGACATTTCAGGCAGAAAGCACAGCAAGTGAGAGGGCATAGAGTCTTACAAAACTCTCAATATCCAGAAACAATAGAGTCCAGTGTTCAGGAACCAATACATAGGTGATATGGTGCAAGGTGATAGATGAGGCCTACAGAACGGTGGCAGATCATGCAGGACAAGATAAATCCCATTTAGGGTAATGGGGAAAAGAATTTTACAAATAAGTTGAGACCAGGTGCAGTGGCTTATGCCTGTAATCCAGCACTTTGGGAGGCCGAGGCAGGTGGATCACTTGAGGTCAGGAATTTGAGACCAGCCTGGTCAACATGGCGAAACCCCGTCTCTACTAAAAATACAAAAAATTAGCTGGGTGTCGTTGCGCATGCCTCTGGTCCCAGCTACTCAGGAGGGTGAGGCAGGAGAATCGCTTGAACCTGGAGGTGGAGGTTGCAGTGAGCCGAGATCGCGCCACTGCACTCCAGACTGGATGACAGAGACTCCGTCTCAGAAAAAAAAGAAAAAAAAATTGAGTTGCTTGGTTTTGTTATTTAGGAAGGTGACAGGGAAATCTTGTAGTACTTAGTCTTGCTGACTATTGAGAATTGCCTATTGTCCATAGTTAGTTATTTTGTCCAGTTTTTTAGTTGTTTACAGCAGGATGTCAAATCCTATCCCAATTCCTCCTTCATGGGGAAGTTCATAGGATGAGGCAAAAGAACAAATACCAGTCACAAAAAGCTAAGGGAGGGAAATATTTAAAATCAAATGCCAATCAGCTGGAAAAATGCTACACTGCTTCATCCAGTTTTAGTTTGCTACTCTTCAGATCATTAGATCAGAAACAGCTGTCATATACATGAAAAATATTACTAATGTGTGAGTTAATTATAGTAGCCAGAGTATCCCAAGGAAATTATAATTTTGTACCATCTAAATGTCATTAGAGATGACTTCACATTGAAAAAAAGATGTCATTTGATAACTGGTTAAATAAATGCAAGACTGGGATATCTGAGAGAAGGGTTCCAAATGAGGTGAGACCTAGATAGACTGGAGTACTGGACAGCTCAGAAATAGAGGCATCCACAATACATTGCAGAATGAAAAGAGCTGTTTAACATAGGATTTGTACACCATGATCCCATTTTGCTGAAGAAAGGAATCCAGAAAATTATACACTGTTTATTTCTATTTTATATATTTGTTGTTTTCTATTTTTATGGGCAATCACCATTTATTCATTTTATAACTAGAAATAAAATTTTCATTTTACTGGGGAAAAAAGTAATATAGCTCTAATAATGGCTACAATAAAGGCTTAAATCACAATATTAAAATTTACAGAGATTTGTGCATCTATACTCAATATATTTTCTCAAAATTTTTTGATAGAGTTGCTAGCTCCTAAGACAAAACGTTCACTCAGAAAAGTAAGAAATGAAGATTAGGCTGAGAGCAGTGGCTCACGCCTGTTATCTTAGAGCTGTGGGAGGCTGAGGTGGGAGGATTGCTTGAGCCTAGGAGTTTTAGGTTACAAGGTTACAGCGAGCTATGATAGTGCCACGGATTGCACGCCAGCCTGCGTAACAGAGCAAGACCCTATTTCTAAATAAATAATAGCTTGGTCATTTGCATACCAGTAAATAACTTGTATACTGTTGTTCCTGTATTTTTTCCCCCTAATCTAGAGGTTTGCTTTAATGCTCTTAAAAGTGTAAACTTTTTTTTTTTTTTGAGACGGAGTCTTGCTCTGTCACTCAGGCTGTAGTGCGGTGGTGCAATCTCGGCTCACTGAAACCTTTGCCTCCTGGGTTCAAGTGATTCTCCTGCCTCAGCCTCCCAAGTAGCTGGGATTACAGGCATGTGCCACCACACCTGGCTAATTTTTGTATTTTTAGTAGAGACAGGGTTTCACTATGTTGGCCAGGCTGGTCTCGAACTCCTGACCTCAAGTGATCTGCCTGCCTTGGCCTCCCAAAGTGCTGGGATTACAGGTGTGAGCCTGGCCATAAGCTTTCTTGAATGGCAAATATAAACAGCTAATGGGGTTAGTGTGGAATATAGCCTGAGCACGATATTCCTCACGTTATTACTGAAGTTAACCTAAGTACTCTGCTGAATTCTTGAAATCAAATAGTGTACTCAAATCTGTGCAACTAACCATGTCCCCTTCTCTCTCTAGAAAAAAACATAACATTTTAACATATCAAAAATGAACAAATGAGAAAATGGACTATGTCTTATCTTCTGGGAGGTACCCTGATGTAATGGAAAGGCGAAGTTTGATAGAACTGATGTAATTTACTCTGTGATCTTGGGCAAGTGTTTAAAAAAATAAAATCCAGCCAAGTGCAGTGGCTCACACCAGTAGTCCCAGCTACTCTGGAGGCTGAGGTGGGAAGATATCTCGAGCCCAGGAGTTTGAGTCCAGCCTGGGCAACACAGTGAGACCCTGTCTTAAAAACAAAAATCCATCTGAGTCTTAACCTTAACTGAAAAATTGAGAGAATACCAAAATCTTAGAGAACTGCCTTGCTTAACATAAAAAAGCATTTTACATAGTTTTTGGGTACAAAAGCTATAAACTTTTGCATTAAAGGGCTTGGCAACACAATGGGATATATTAATTTATTTCCCTTCTGGTACTCTCTTTTACAATTACAAATCAAGTGCTTTTAGAAATACAATTTATCTGGGTTTAGAGACTAAACTCAGTAAGAGGTGCCCAGCTGATTTAAATGTCTCTTTCATCATACTGGACTCCAGTTCTCTGACTCATGTTTTTGTTTCTCTCATTCCATTATGTAGTCCTTTCTCCTTGAAGAAAAACATGAAAGAAAAGTAGGAGTCAAATAATGCTGATTGCTTTCTTGGTCATGTTGACATTACATTCTCAGCCACTACCATATATCCCTTGTCAATCATGTTGCTGTATAAAATTTTTGAGATGGAGTCTTGCTCTGCCACTCAGGCTGGAGTGCAATGGCGCGATCTTGGCTCACTGCAACCTCTGCCTCCCAGGTCCAAGAGATTCTCTTGCCTCAGCCTCCCAAGTAGCTGGGATTACAGGCAACTGCCATCACACCCAGCTAATTTTTGTATTTTTAGTAGAGACAGTTTCACCATGTTGGCCAGGTTGGTCTCGAACTCCTGACCTCAGGTGATCCGCCCACCTCAGCCTCCCAAAGTTTTGGGATTACAGGCGTGAGCCACCGTGCCTGGCCTAAAATTTTTAATTACTATAGATGTGTATGGGAATAAATGATGAATTTGGCATATAAGACAATTTGGCTGAGCAGATTGCAAGGTAATGTCTTGGCTGGTGCGGTGGCGCACGCCTGTAATCCCGGCACTATGGGAGGCTGAGGTGGGCAGATCACCTGAGGTCAGTAGTTCGAGACCAGCCTGGCCAACATGGTGAAACCCTGTCTCTATTAAAAATACAAAAATTAGCCAGGTGTGGTGGCGCATGCCTGTAATCCCAGCTACTCGGGAGGCTGAGGCAGGAGAATCACTTGAAACCAGGAGGTGGAGGTTGCAGTGAGCTGAGATCATGCCACTGCACTCTAGCCTGGGTGACAGAGCCAAGACCACATCTTAAAAAAAAAAAAAAAAAAAAAAAAAAAGGTAAGGTCTTATTTTAACTCAGTCTGAGAAATGGTAAATAAATTGCAAGTTTTATGACTGACTTGCAGATTGAATAATTCCATAATTAGTTGGTTGGAAATGGTTCCTTTGTGTTAACTGTGTAGAAGAAAAGCTAACATAAAAATTGCTTGTTATTAACATTAAAAAATGAAGAATATTGGCCGGGCACAGTGACTCACACCTGTAATCCCAGCACTTTGGGAGTTCAAGGGCAGGCAGATCACTTTGAGCTCAGGAGTTCAGACTAGTCTAAGCAACACAGCAAGACCTTGTCTCTATTCTATAAAATTAAAATTTTATTTAAAAAAAGAATATTAAGTAATCAGATAAATTACTATTAAAATGTAATTGTATTTTCAGAATTGTCTTGGTATTTAAATGTTATTAATTTCCAAGAAATTTAGTTATGGCATATAAAATTTATACACATTTACCAAAAGTTACAGTTATATTCATGTGAAGAATCTAGAAAATTGATAATCTCAAACTATATGAGAAAGACAGGTAAACTTCCAAGTAAATTAATTAAATAATAATGCAGTACCCTCAGGATTTTAAGGAAATAGAGGGAAGGTTCTCTCCCGCCTACCAAAAAGTCCTAGAGAATAGGGAAGACACCTGCCTTTTGCATCCTAAAAAGGAAAAGTATGCTACAAAACTGAAGCCCCTGTATGTCTTCCATACCTAAGAAATAGCTCCTTTTATGTGTATATATGCATAAAAACTTTAATTAATTATTTCCAGATTCTCAACTAGGTGAGTGTATTCCAAACTTTCTCTCCTCTTTTTAATGAGAATCCATGCACATCATGTTACTGTTTTTGATGAAATGAAATGGATCTTACTCCTCAAGGGTTTCGGCAGAAAAAGCAGCAAATTACTGCTATAGAGACTCAGGTACAACAAAAAGTTGGTTCCTATGGTCTGTTTTTATCACGAGCAAAAGTCCAAAGCTGATTGTAAAAATTAGAGAATTCCAGATTATTTGAAAAAATGTTATTTTATTTGTACAGTTAAAAAGTTATACATAGAAACTTATAATACAGTTCTGTAAAGCTGAAAGAACTGTCAGGAAAAAGGGAGGGTGTTACTTTTTTTGATTGATCATTAAGGAAGTTAGAGGAATAAAAACACAGTAAAAGGTTTAAAACATTAAGGAACATTTTTCAGGTATAAATTTTATAAATACAAAACAAATTCACAAATTACTCTCAATACTAAATAAATATCTAGTTAATAAACTTGGACTTAATACCTGCAGCCAGCACTGGTACAGCACTTCAAGGTTATAAGATTGGATTCATTCATGTGTAGTGTTGAAAGAATGTACTCAAACAATTAATTAAGACATAAACACCTTTTCTAAACTGTGCTATAGCGGAAGACTCATCCATGTAGATAACTCTCCCTTAATACCACCACTTTAAAAAAAAATCATCAATAACAAAATAAATCGTGGGTGAAAAAATATTTTCCAAGATCTCTGGACACATGAATGATCTCAAAAATGTACAAAAACCTCTGTAAACCAGTACTGTATCCAATACATCTATCAAACTTATTAGATACTGAACAAAACTGTAGCAAAGGATATCTTTCCTACATTCTCCTGAGTGCTTAATATTAAAATTGAGAATATAGTGCAGGCCACACTTTCATGTGGTCAATCAATTGTTATTGCTTTATACAGCATGATTTAATGTTCCATTTTCATGAACAATTTGTTTTTCTTCAAATATATCCTTTAGAAGGACAAAGTCAGATTCGTGACTTTTTCGCAGCCGGTGGTGTGCTAACTTGGTCCACATTACTGGGTGTGACGTGGAGTCCAAGCTTTTGAGCCTGAATATGAAAAAATGCTTGAAGCCTAGTTCCAGCTTTTGCTTCACTTGTGTTACGAGGGTTGTATTCAAAGCAGTTCGAAAACATTAACTCAATGTCATCAATAAACTCAGCTAGAAAGGGAAAGAGACAAAAAGATTAGAATGAAAGTACATAAATTATAATAAATATAATTCTTGTATCATATCTGGAAATTTTATTAAGAAAATGGAAGCCCACTTTTTTCTTTAGAAAGAGAAGACTCTGGCTAGGCATGGTGGCTCACATCTGTAATCTCAGCACTTGGGAGGCTGAGGCAGGAGGATCACTTGAGCTCAGGAGTTCGAGACCATCCTGGGCAATATAGCAAAACCCCATCTCTACAAAAAATACAAAAATTAGCCACTTGCGGTGGTTCAAGCCTGTAATCCCAGCACTTTGGGAGGCCGAGGCAGACGGATCACCTGAGGTCAGGAGTTCGACACCAGCCTGGGCAACATGGTGAAACCCCATCTCTACTAAAAATACAAAAATAGTGGGGCGTGGTGGCGGGCATCTGTAATCCCAGCTACTCGGGAGGCTGAGGCAGGAGAATCACTTGAACCCAGGAGGCAGAGGTTGCAGTGAGCTGAGATCGCACCACTGCACTCCAGCCTGGGCCACAGAGCAAGACTCCATCATCTCAAAAAAAAAAAAAAAAAAATTAGGCATGGTGGCCTGCACCTGTGGTCCCAGCTACTTGGGAGGCTGAGGTGGGAGGACAGCTTGAGCCTGTGAGGTCAAGGCTGCAGTGAACCAAAATTTTGCCTCTGCACTCCAGCCTGGGCAACAGAGTGAGACGTATCTCAAAAAAAAAAAAAAAGAAAAAAGAAAAAGAAGAAAGAAAAAAGATTCTGAAACAAGGTAGCAGAACTGAGGCTTAAAACTGTTTAACTGTAAATACTTTAAAATTGTTTTATTGAAACTATCCAATTATGTGATCATATACATTATGTGATTATAAAGAACTTCTTTGAGTAAGATCAGATCTATAAAGTATCTTTAACTTACTTGATCCTAATCCATCTTTCATCCCCACATACACTAATAAGTACTTGTGGAACCTCATGGAATGCCATCTACACAACTACATCAACACACATCCTTTTAGTAACAGAAAAACAGCCTCTACCTCTTTAAACAAAAATAAATATCAAAGATGCTATAACAAAATGCCTTAGAAAAATAAATATCAAAGAAAAACATAAATTACTTACATGCTAATTTATATTCACACTTATTCACTTTTTCACGAATTATATTTAAGGCAATGGGCTTTTTGATGATGTCATAGTAGTCTGGGACCTGTAAAATAATTCAAATATCTCTGTCCACACAGAAAACTTAACTGGAAAGAAGTGTTCAAATAACTAAAAGTTTTGCACTAAAAAGCAACTCAATATGCAATTGCAATATGGTCTTGCTCATGACTCTCTCCTCTCTATATAGATATATATGTCTATATAGATGTGTCTATACAGATATATATCTATATAGATATCGCGCTCTCTCTATATATACACACCATTGTCAGTTGTGACCAGAAGAAAAAAAATTCTTCAATGAGCATTATTGCATTTGTAATAATGAATAAAATGTATGTAACAAAGTGTACTTTAGGACAAAAATTACCCAGGCAAAATGAGTCAAGTCAAACTAAGATTTAATTTTTTTATGCTATTCAATATTAATTAATCCTTCTCATTCTTGCTCTAGAAGTCTCAAAGTAGAATTCTGATGATGTCACTTCTTCATTCAGAAACCTTTACCTCACACTGGTGAGTGAGACCCTTTATAATACAGTTGTGTGTCTGAGACTTTCTAACCCAACCTCATTCAAACCATCCACCATTCACCATATTCTCATTTCTGGGTGTCTACCGTATAGCATATTCCTTTCTCCCTGAAACATCCTTACTGCATTTCTTAGTGTTGAAATTCTATCCTTCTTCAATGACCAGTTCCAAATAGTTCTCCTTAAAAAGCGTTCTAATTATTATTTTGTCCCTCTGAAATGCTCAAATCAATCTCTGTCTACTCTACTTCTGTAATACCATGATAACTTCTATTCCAGTACCATAACTTTGTTCTATCTTTGCTATATAAGAGATCACATTCTGCCATATATATATATAACCTAACTACAACACCATCTCATATCCTTCAGTTTGATTAGGCCATCACTGTTACCTAATACCTATCTTTTTTTTTTTTTTTCCTTTTCCTTTGGAGACAGGGTCTTGCTCTGTCACCCAGGCTGGAGCGTAGTGGTGTTATCTCGGCTCATTGCAACCTCCACCTTCCAAGCTCAAGTGATCCTCCTGCCTCAGATTCCCAAGTAACTGAGACTAAAGTCATGCACCACCACACTCGGCTATTTTTTTTCTTTTTCTTTTTTTTTTTGTATTTTTTGTAGAGTCAAGGTTTGACCATGTTGGTTAGGCTGGTCTCAAACTCCTGGGCTCAAGCGATCCACCTGCCTCAGCCTCCCAAACTGGTTTTTTTCTTTTTTTTTTTTTTTTGAGACAGAGTCTCACTCTGTCACCCAGGCTGGAGTGCAGTGGCACGATCTCGGCTCACTGCAAGCTCTGCCTCCCGGGTTCAAGCGATTGTCCTGCCTCAGCCTCCAGAGTAGCTGGGACTACAGGTGTGTGCCACCATGCCCGGCTAATTTTTTGTGTTTTTTTAGTAGAGACAGGGTTTCACCGTGTTAGCCAGGATGGTCTCAATCTCTTGACCTCGTGATCTGCCCACCTCGGCCTCCCAAAGTGCTGGGATCACAGGCATGAGCCACTGTGCCTGGCCCTAAACTGTTGAGATTACAGGCGTGACACACTGCACCCAGCCAGAATACCTATTTTTTTTTTTTTTTTTTTTTTTTTGAGACAGAGTCTTGCCTAGGCTGGGGTGCAATGGCGTGATCTCGACTCACTACAACCTCCGCCTCCTGGGTTCAAGCGATTCTCCTGCCTCAGCCTTCCGAGTAGCTGGGATTACAGGCATGCACCACCATGCTCAGCTAATTTTTGCATTTTTAGTAGAGATGGGGTTTTGTCATGTTGGCAAGGCTGGTCTTGAACTCCTGATCTTAGGTGATTCACCGCCTTGGCCTCCCAAAGTGTTGGGATTACAGGTGTGAGCCACTACGCCTGGCCCAGAATAACTTTTATATCAGTGTTTCTCAAAATGTGCTCTCTGGGCCAGGACCATCAGCATCATCTGGGGACTTGTCAGAAATCCAAGAGTTAGACATCATTCCAGACCTAATGAATCAAACACTCTGGGGCTCAGGAATCAATGTTTTAGCAAGTCCTCCAAATGATTCTGAGGCATGCGGTAGTTTGAGAACCACTGCTTTACATAAGAAAAATATGATTAATGGTACTCAATTAACTCTATTCATATTCATTACATAGAACAAAAACATTGAGGTCATTGTAACACACCATCATTATTTATAAAGAATCAGTCATGGCTGGGCACGGTGGCTCATGCCTGTAATCCCAGCACTTTGGGAGGCCAAGACACATGGATCACCTGAGGTTAGGAGTTTGAGACCAGCCTGGCCAACATGGTGAAACCCTGTCTCTACTAAAAATACAAAAATTAGCCAGGTATGGTGGCAGGTGCCTGTAATTCCAGCTACTCGGGAGGCTGAGGCAGGAGAATCACTTGAACCCAGAAGGTGGAGGTTGTAGTGAGCTGAGATCGCGCCATTGCACTCCAGCCTGGATGACAAGAGCAAGACTCCATCTCAAAAAAAAAAAAAAAAAGGCTGGGTGCAGTGGCCCGTGCCTGTAATCTCAGCATTTTGGGAGGCCAAGGTGGGCAGATCACCTGAGGTCAGGAGTTCGAGAACAGCCTGGCCAACATGGTGAAACCCTGTCGCTAATAAAAATACAAAAATTAGCCAGGTGTGGTGGCAGGCCCCTGTAATCCCAGCTACTTGGGAGGCTGAGGCAGGAGAATCGCTTGAACCCGGGAGGTGGAGGTTGCGGTGAGCCAAGATCACGCCACTGCACTCCAGCCGGGGGACAAAAGCAAGACTTTGTCTCAAAACAAAAACAAAAACAACAAAAAAAGAATCAGTCACAAAATTAGAAGGGACTGAGCTGTCTAACTCTATTGTTTTCTTTTTTTTTTTTTTGAGATGGAGTTTCACTCTTGTTGCCCAGCCTGGAGTGTGGACTGCAATGGCGCGATCTCGGCTCACTGCAACTTCTGCCTCCCGGGTTCAAGTAATTCTCCTGCCTCAGCCTCCCAAGTAGCGGGGACTACAGGCGCCTGCCACCACGCCTGGCTAATTTTTTTGTATTTTTAGTAGAGATGGGGTTTCACTGTGTTAGCCAGGATGGTCTTGATCTCCTGACCTCGTGATCCGCCCGCCTCGGCCTCCCAAAGTGCTGGGATTACAGGTGTGAGCCACAGCGCCCGGCCAACCCTATTGTTTTGAACATAGGAACTGATGTTCAAGACCAGCCTGGCAATGAAGTGAGACCCTGTCTCAAAAAAAAAAAAAAAAAAACAGCTGGACCTGGTGGCATGTGCCTGTAGTACCAACTACTCAAGTGGCTAAGTTGGAGGATCACTTGAGCTCAGGAGGTTGAGGCTGCAGCGAACCAAAATATGCCACTGCACTCCGGCCTGGGCGACAGAAACCCTGTCTCTAAAAATACTAAGAAGAAGACATGGCCAGGTGTGGTGGCTCACACCTGGAATCCCACCACTTTGGGGGGCCGAGGTGGGCAGATCACAAGGTCAGGAGATTGAGACCAGCCTGACCAACATGTTGAAACCCCGTCTCTACTAAAAATAGAAATATTAGCCGGGTGTGGTGGTGTGTGCCTGTAATCCCAGTTACTCAGGAAGCTGAGGCAGGAGAATCGCTTGAACCTGGGAGGCAGAGCTTGCAGTGAGCCGAGATCGCGCCACTGCACTCCAGCCTGGGCGACAGAGTGAGACTGTCTCAGGAAAAAACAACAACAACAAAAAAAACTAGACAGTGAGTAACAGGTGTTTTGACTACTTCAAAGTTATCACGTGGACTAAATCAGATAATATACAGGAATACATTTTATCAAGTCTAGTAATTACCTGGATTTTAGAAACAAGTTTCAAAAAAGGCCAGCTGTCATCATGTCGTACCAATTCTACAACAAGTTGTTCAAAAGCAGACAATTCATGAACTCCTCCCTGTCGGCCAGAACTCCTTCGACCCAGTGTCACAGGCGATGGCTCTGAGTAAATAATTACAACATTTTAGGTGATAACAAAGCAAAATATTGGTTCACTACACGCCAAACTGGATATATAAATACCAAATTCCAACAGAAAATAGACACTCCGTACACTGAGATGTTAACTATTTTCTGGGAGATATGAAAATTCAACCAAAATAGGACCAAATAGTCATTATTTCCTTTTTGATCTTAAAAATGTCCAATTGCATTAAACATTCATTGGGAACAGATTTTCAGAGTGTAATGCAAAAGAAAAATCTAGAACACAAAAGTTTTTGGATTATTTTTACTCAATTTTATTAAAAATACTTTACAGCTACAGTTTTTTTTTTTTTTTTTTTTTTTTTTTGAGATGGAGTCTCGCTCTGTCACCCAGGCTGGAGTGCAGTGTCGCGATCTTGGCTCACTGAAAGCTCCGCCTCCTGGGTTCATGCCATTCTCCTGTCTCAGCCTCCTGAGTAGCTGGAACTATAGGCACCCGCCACGGCGCCCGGCTAATTTTGTTTTGTATTTTTAGTAGAGACAGGGTTTCACCGTGTTAGCTAGGATGGTCTCGATCTCCTGACCTCGTGATCTCCTGACCTCGTGATCTGCCCGCCTCGGCCTCCCAAAATGCTGGGATTACAGGCGTGAGCCACCACGCCCGGCCTTTTCAGCTACAGTTAACTGAAACTAAGCAATTCTCTAGTATTTCCTAAAGCATATCCTTCAGAAAGTAACCTCCTCAGATCTAGAAACTAGGCTTACATATAAATTACCTTGCATAATGGAAAAGCAATTCTCACTGGTAAAGTAAAAGATTATTCTTACAGATCTTAATTTTATTTATTTTATTTAATTTTTGAGACAGAGTCTTGCTTTGTCACCTAGGCTGGAGTGCAGTGGCATGATCTTGGCTCACTGCAACTTCTGCCTCCTGGGTTCAAGCAATTCTCCTGCCTCAGCCTCCCGAGTAGCTGGGATTAAAGGTGCCTGCTACCACACCCAGCTAATTTTTGTATTTTTAGTAGAGATGGGGTTTCACTGTGTTGGCCAGGCTGGTCTCCAACTCCTCACCTCAAGTGATCCACCCACCTGGGCCTCCCAAAGTGCTGGGATTACAGGTATGAGCCACTGCACTTGGCCACAGATCTTAATTTTAATATCTAGATAATGTTCGAAAAGCAAAATGCTTCCTCACAGACCTAAGAAAGGTATAGTATAATGAAATCTAAAGTATATGCATTGGTAGAAAGGGTAGTATAGTCCATATATGTATTCAGATGTATAAATTCTCTCCTTGCAGTGTAGGTCCACACATTTCCCCTTTTGTTTGTCCTTAGTACCAGGCTTAGCAATTTCACAAATCAATGAAAACAAAAAGTTTTTCTTCCTAGTTTTTTGAGTAAAAATGTTTCAAGTGTATTATTTCTCCAAACAGCTTGGAGAATTGGGGAAAAGCAAAACAGATAAGTGGATAGGAAAAGCTAAATTAGATCCTGACTGGTACAAAATTAGGATACTTCCCCTAAAAAACTTGACAATCTGGTGACTGCATAAACAGATTACGTGCCATTCTTTCACCAATGAATTCCTTAATCCTGCTGCGTATCCGAATAATGCAATATAATGTATCTAAAATTCTCTGAAGAACAGTGGCTTTTTTTTTTTTTTTGAGAAACAGTGGCATTTTTTATGTTTAGCTTCATTTAAAAAACAACAACAAAAAAATAGGGCCAGGCCAGGTGTGGTGGCGCACACCTGTAATCCCAACATTTGGGAGGCCAAGGCAAGGCAGGCAGATAACTGAGCTCAGGAGTGCAAGACCAGCCTGGGCAACTTGGCAAGACCCCATCTCTACAAAGAATACAAAAGTTAGTCAGCTTGGTGGTGCATTCCTGTAGTCGCAGCTGCTTGTGAGGCTGGGGCTGGAGGATTGCTTGAGCCCGGGAAGCAGAGGTTGCAGTGAGCTCAGATTGCGCCACTGCACAGCAGCCTGAGTGACTGGTATAATTAATAATAACAATAAAATTAAAAAATCAAAATTTTATTACCACTTACATTAAAACAAGGGAAAGGAAGAGATTATGAATTTCTTTATGAATAAAGAAATTAGTCTATGAATAATGATTACTATAAACAAAAATGAGAACTAAAAAGACAACTGAGGCCAGGCGCGGTGGCTCACGCCTATAATCCCAGTACTTTGGGATGCCGAGGTGGGTGGATCACCTGAGGTCAGGAGTTCAAGACCAGCCTGGCCAACATGGTGAAACCAGCCGTCTCTACTAATACAAAAATTAGCCCGGTGTGATGGTGCATACCTGTAATCCTGCTACTCGAGAGGCTGAGGCAGGAGAATCGCTTGAACCCAGGAGGCAGAGGTTGCAGTGAGCCAAGATTGCACCACTGCACTCCAGCCTGGCGACAGAGCTAGACTCTGTCAGTCAATCAAATAAAAAATAAAAAGACAGCTGGTCATCGCTTCCTAAAAATATTACTGCTTCCAACTCTCCCTTTCCCCCAAATTCAGTATTTGAGATGGGAACCTTACCAAATAATCTGATGTAGCTTGTCTAGGTGATGCTGAGTATTTGCGTTTTGAGGGAGGAAAAGGTGGGAGAGAGTGAAATGTGTTATAATGTAGTATCCTGACACTGTTCAAATATTGGCCAAATATCTCCATTAAAAACAGAACGTCATTTGTAAGTTTATTACCCTGCTTCACTAGTAGAAATATTAGTAATATAATTTATTCATTAAATAGTTGCCCCTTCAATGACTATTATGCTTCAGGTCAGATTGTTCCCTAATAACTTTGTGTATCTTAGTGACAGACTTTAAAAAATGATCCAAAGTATCTCAACATTCGATATTTCCAAATTATTCAATTTTCCTAGGGAAGGAAGAGTTTAGATTTCTTCATACCTGGAGATTGTCTTTTTCTGCATCTTCTTTTGGATTCACTCTCTTGGAGAGAAAGTTTTGAAGCAATATTTACAGATCTTGACTGTTCACTTGACTTTGTGGCAATGACTCTGAAGTTAGGGAAGTTGGGACTATTTTCTGGTGTATTATTAGCACTTTTCCTGCCTCTGCGTTTTCTACGAGGACTAAGCAATTCCACAAATACATCTGCTTGCAGTGGGCCATGACTGTGGCGAGTAGAACGACTGGCAATTCTTAAAGATTTTGTTTCTGTAGGAGGAGCAGAGTTTATCTTTCTTAGGCTTCTACCAGTTTTAGAAGAAACAGTTGTTTTGGGTGTGCTCTGCTGACTCCTTGAAGGGTATCTTCCAGGTTCTTGTTGTTGGCCACGACTTGAGAAAGAAGAGCTAAGTTTCCCTCTTGTTTTAACTGGCAATCTAACTTGTGGTCTTCCTCGTTTGGGTAGGCTATAAATATTGTTAGAAAACACAATTATTGTACAGAGCAATGATGAACATATGATTAGCTCTATTCTCCTTGTTGTATTTAGCCAATGAGTTTATACAAATTTTCTATATAACTGAGACTTATCCTAGACTCAATTCCTTAAAGAGTCAGTAAGTTTTAAGTTCTCAAGGGAATCTAAAATGTGCTTTCATGTATTTCTTTGAAATGCAAAGAGAATTATCTGCAAAGAGAATATTTTATGTTTTCTTTTCTTTTCTTTATTTTTTTTTTTTGAGACAGAGTATCACTGTCACCCAGGCTGGAGTGCTGTAGTACGATCACGGCTCACTGCAGCCTGACCTCCCTGTGATCAGGTGCTCCTCCCATCTCAGACTCCTGAGTAGCTAGGTGTGTACCACCATGCCTGGCTAATTTTTGTAGTTTTTTGTAGAGATGGGGTTTTGCTATGTTGCCCAGGCTGGTCTCAAACTCCTGGACTCAGGCGATCTGCATGCCTCGGCCTCCCAAAGTGCTGGGATTACAGGCGTAAGCCACCGTGCCCAGTCCATATCTTCTTGGTAACTTCAGGACATCATTATGAAAATTAAGTCCTAAATTCTGATAAATTGTAATAAAATGCTCAGGAGAACCAACAAATAGACTTAGTCAATCATGTTGGAAAACTTAAGAGTAATGAAGTAATCTTAAAATGAAATTCTTTTGTCTCCTTTTGCTACAGGAGACTACCACTTTTCATTATCATTGATACTGAGATAACCTACAGTTTTAGCCAGTGGCTGCCAATGAAGTGGGCCTTGAACCCGTGGTTCCTGAATACCACGCCAAGAACCTCTCTGTTGTCTTCTGATTCTGACTATAAAACTATATTTAATCTTTTAACTGTCCTTAATTAAAAGAATGCAACACCTCCATTAACTCATTATTCCTCTCCCCATATACCTGGACTTCCAGTTTATCCCATGTACTTGCAAGAACTTTCCACATTCTTTATCATCTTTATGCCT